>NT_167248.2:4014410-4314410 GCF_000001405.40 Homo sapiens
GGCCACAGGCTTACTGGTAGACCCCCGAGTACAAGGCATTTGACCCTGGTTTTGAGTACTCCTCCTCCAGGTGGATGGCTGTGGAGCTCACACTGGCGAGGGCTTGTGTGGAGCCGAGGATAAGGAGGCATCAGAGGGCACTCAAGCCACTGGGTCTAACTTCCTCCCTTCTTCCTGCCCACACCTACCTTAGTCTTTCCCAGATGTTTTATTGCATTTGGAAATGGAGACAAACACTCAACACAGGCTAAGTGAACAAGGACACGGCACGGAGATGATCAGATGCAGTAACAGCATGAGCGGGTGGAAGAGGCGTGTGTCCCCTTCTTTGTAGACAGCACCATGGCTGGCTTCTGCAGCTTCCCTCAGAGCTGAAGGAAGGGCCATGTGGAGAGGAGAGGAAGGGCCTAGACAATATGGATCAAACGGGGGCCTGTATTTAGATTTAGAGGAGAGAGGGGGTTGATAAATGGCAAGGGATGTGGGGATGGGGAGGAAGTGGAGGATATGGCGCTGGACCAGAAAGTTAGGAGGGCTGCTCTTTCTTCTCTGTAAATGTGTCTAAGGCTCACAAACTCTAAAATCTGACTTGCCTACATAATAATAGCTAATGTTTGTCAATTGCTTATTATGAGTTCATTTTCTAAGCATTATATAAATGTGTGCGTGTGTGTGTATGAGAGAGAGAGAAAGAGAGAGAATCATCACACAAAACCCTTTGCAGTAGATACTATCATGATCTCCCTTTTACAGATGAGGTAAGGATGGAATGAACCAAAGTTCACATAACTAGTAAGTCCCTAGGCTATACTTTTTCTGTCACACTGTATTTCTTGGGAAGCCAGGGAAACTTTATTCCTACAGCTTTAGCATTCCGGTAATGATAAGGTACACAAAAAGGGAAAATAACCAAGGAATTTCATCATAGCTGTTTGGTGTCAGGACAGATCTCTGTAAGGAAATCATATCCTACCTAACCAAAGGAAATCAGTGATCTCACATGACAAGCAAGGAATGGCATAGAGCCTGGCATGGGAACTAAGAAGAGAAAGCAATAAGCTTCAGTTAGCAAGCTATGGATCTCCTTAGATGGCCTCTGGTACATCTTAAATAAACTGAAGCATCAGATTCACCCCCATTAGAAGCGTTTTTGAGTCATTTTCTGTGCATAGTGTCAGTGTCTACGATAGAAGGGCCTGGGCTTATCAGAGACACTGTTCAGTTCTGGGGAGACAAGAGGAAAAAGATGTGGTTTTCTTCCTTTCTCCTGTATTTATGTTTTTGTCTTCTACTTGAACGAGCCTGAAAAATAGGGCAGGGTGTTTTGATCTTTTTTTCCTGCCTGACTTCAGCCAGCAGCCCTCCCTAAATAGCTACAGGCTCCTCTGTGATTTTTCACTCAAGCTCATATTTTGCTTCTCTCTTTTCTTTCCTTCCCCTTTCTCTGAGGAGTGAGAGAATTTGGGTGTATGTGTGGTTGTTTTTTGAGGGTGGCATAAAATTATTATTCTCCCTATTGCCTGACACAAATATCCCTTCAACTGCTATTTTGGTGACTTTGACATGGAAGTAAAACGTACATCTCAATTCATTTTCTTCCTTCTACTTCCTCCTAACACATCAACATAATCCACACTGCCCTGGAGGAGTTATGAAAAATATTCTGAGTTTCTAGGTAGAATATTAAATCATACTTTTAGAGAACACATTGTTGAGCTACAGTTTAATTGAAGGAATTGTACTAGGCTAAGAATTTTGCCAGCTCAAAATACTGGTTTAATTCTTTCTCAGTGGTGATTGACGTCTCAAACCAGCAAGAGGTGTAACATGAGGGGAAGGGGCTGGGGAAGAGGGAAAGGATGTAAGAAACAAAAGAAATAGTTAGAATTTGGGGTGTCCAAAGCAAACTCATGATCCCACCTAGTGAGAATCCATTTGGAAACTGAGGAACCAAAGGCTTTGGGCTCCAATCTGCAGCCACTTCTTTGATACGACTTTGGGATAGGTGGACTCACCCGAAGTATTGTTTTACATGTACTATTTGCCTCAATTTCCCTGTGATGGTTTTGTCCATCACCTCATCCTGAAAAAATAAATGTTGGTGATGCTTTGTTCCACATATTCGTTCATTTGAACTCATTATTCCCAGGAAATATCCACTGAAATTCAAAATATCATGAACTTCCAAAGGGTTTTCTAGAAAAAAAAAACAAAAAAAACCCCTTGATCTTAATGGGTGTTTTTTAATCTGTGCTAGAATCTGTTTGCAATGTTTTATTTAGGATTTTTGTGTCAGTATAATAAGTAAATTCATCTACAATTTTTATATTTGTGCATTGTCATAGTTTAACATCAATATTATACTTGCTTCATAAAAAAATTTTCTTCTATGCCATTGAGCCATTTAATTTTTGTTTGTTTGTTTGTTTGTTTTAGAGACAAGGCCTCACTCTGTTGCCCAGGCTGGAGTGCAGTGGCACAATCATAGCTCACTGCAGCCTTGAACTGGGCCCAAGCGATCCTCCCACCTCAGCCAAGTAGTTGAAACCACAGGCACGAGCCACCACATCTGGCTAATTTTTGTATTTTTTGTAGAGACGGGTTTTCGCTGTTGCCCACACTGGTCTTGAGCTCCTGAGTTCAAGCAATCCGACTGCTTAGGCCTCCCAAAGTGCTGGGATTATAGGTGTGAGCCACTGCA
Organism: Homo sapiens; assembly: GCF_000001405.40. Classification (NCBI taxonomy): domain Eukaryota; kingdom Metazoa; phylum Chordata; class Mammalia; order Primates; family Hominidae; genus Homo; species Homo sapiens. The sequence continues at coordinate 4,017,112 of NT_167248.2, forward strand.
CCCGGCCTCTATTTTCAATTTTAAAAGTTTGATATAGATGTAGCATATCTATTTTTTTATTGATAGTAATATCTTCTATCTTCTGTGTTCATACTTTTTTTTTTTTTTTTTTTTGAGGCAGAGTCTCACTGTGCCGCCCAGGCTGGAGTGCAGTGGTGCGATCTTGGCTCGCTACAACCTTTGCCTCCCAGATTCAAGCAATTCTCCTGCCTCGGCCTCCCAAGTAGCTGGGATTACAGGCGCCCACCACCACACCCAGCTAATTTTTGTATTTTTGGTAGAGACAGGGTTTCACCATGTTGGCCAGGCTGCCCTCGAAATCCTGACCTCAGGTGATCCACCCGCCTTGGCCTACCAAAGTGCTGAGATTACAGGCATGAATCACCAGGCCCAGCCTATTTTTTTGTCCACTTAACTGGTCTAGTCCAGGGAAAGGGAATTAAAGTGTTCTATTGGTAGTACATTTCTGAATATTTTCCTTGTATCTACCTTAATTTCTGCTTTATAAGAGCTACCTATTTGGTATTTAGAACTTAAACACATGTCTCATATATTCATATGAATTTTATACTTTACATTATAAAGTGCCCTTCTTGTCACACTCAATTTTTTTTTTTTTTTTTTTTTTTGGTGAGGAGTGTCTGAATTTCATCTTGTTTGGTAAGACGAATGTGACCTCTGCTTCCCTTTTGTTTGCCTTCTCTTGTTATGTCTTTGCCCATCATCTTATTTGTTGAAAATAATGAATACATCTTTCTGAGTGGCTTTATGTTAGGTGTCTTTTGCATATTGCAAATAATAGAGTTTTTATCTTAATCTAATTTAAAAATATTTTCATTTATTTAGTTCAGTTAAGAAGCCCATTTATAATTATTCATACAGCAAATAGATTCAGTCTAATTCAGAGATATTAACTTCTGTTAAGTATAATGTTTACATGAGTATTTTTAAAAATCTTTCACTATGTCTTTATTGTGCATTTTAAAAATTTTACCTTTTCAGATATTAAGGAAGGTGTATATTTCAAGGTTGCTTTGATAAGTTTATTTGTATATAATACACTTAGTTCCCTCTTCCTTTAGATAATTCCTATTAGTTTTAAATAATGAACAATCACAAAACTAGCTCATATCCTCTCCCTTCCTCTTTCTGTGTGTGTGTCTACCTTTGTAGTCTTAAATGTGTAAATACGAGCACTTGATTTATTAGTTTTAAAGAATATATTTTGATTCCTAGATGTTACAGACAAGAACATCAACAGGCTTATTTGATATCCTTATTCATTTTTCCACTTATTCTATAATCATTGAGAAATGTGTTTCAATTTCTCAATTAATTTCTTCCTATAATTCTCCTATATTTCTTACATATTTTGTAGTTTTATTGCTAGGTGCAAACTGATTCAGTTTTAGTATAATGTTCTGGTGACTTCATTATCACTATGTAATGGCTGTCTTTGTTTTTACTAATGCCTTTGGTTTTAGACTATATGTTTAGATATTTCTGTAATTACATAAGCTGTCTTTCTGTCTTCTGTTAGTGTTTGCTTTGTGTATCTTATATCTGGTTTTGATTTAACATTTTCATGTTTTTAGGTTTCTTGTGATCTTATGAAGGGCATATAACTGGATTTTGCGATATTGTTAATCTAATCTGAGAACTTTCCTTTAACTCCCATATTTAAGCTATTTATACTTGTGATCACTGTGCTATTTACATTCGTTTCTGTTACAATATATGGTGCTCTGTATTTGCTATGTCTTACTTTGCTTCTTTTGTTTTCCTTGCATCACTTATATTAAATCAATTACATTTTTATTTAAAGTATTATTTAATTTCCCCTTACTGATTTAGGAATTTTAAATTCTAATTATATTAGTTAAAAGTCAGTCTTATATTTTTAACATGTTTACCAAATGTGGCAGCATCTGAAGGTAATCAATATCTCTACCCTCCTTTCAAACAAGACAAAGACTTTAGGTGCTTTAACTTTGTCTGCCTCATTCTCATGTCACTTGTGGTTGCTCTGCCTTATTTTTAAATTTAATAGTCATTTTTATTACTGATTTTTATCGTTACAGTCATATTTCATTTCTCATTCTGATTTTCCAATATTTTAGACAGATTTGTTATTGTTGTTTGTGTGTGTGTTTATTTTTCTCATCTTTGCTCCCTTATCCTTCTGGGTTTAGTATCTCTGTTACTTACATGATAATATTAAAAAGCAAATGATAACTACAATACAATGCTACTTTCACCCAGAAGATTGTCAAAATTTTAAAAATTAACACTGTCTGTTGGTTATATACATATATATATATATGGAGAAACAGATAAACTCATATGTTGCTGCTGGAACTATAAATTAATACAGCCTCTATGAAGGCAATTTTGCAATATCTATCAATATTTGTAATGTATATATTGGACTCAGCAACTCCCCTTTAAGATTGTATCATACTTGTATTTTTGCACATGTGCATTACAATGTCTATACAAGACTAACTAGCAACAGCAAAAGACTTCCAATAACCTAACTAGCCATCAGTAGAAGGAAACAGGATAAATGAAATATGGAACTTCCATAAAATAGAATACTACATAGCCATATATTTTTAATTTAAAAAATAAAGTTCAGAACAGTGAACTTAGACAGCTGCTGTTTGCGAAAATACTGAGCAAGAATAAAGATATACATATTTGCTTAATACACAGTAAACTTCTCTGGAAAGATAAACACAAAGCTGGAAGAACGGATTGCCTATGCAAGAGGAATTAGCAAACCTTGAGAAGGATTGAGAGTGAGGCTTTCCTCTGTATACTTCTTTGTGTCTTTTGAATTTCAAACCACATTCATATATTGCTTATTTAAATAAATAAATAATATATTTTAAAAAGAGGATAGTAGGAAGATAAGTGGAGTCAGGGAGTATAGGCAACTCTTTTGAGGAGTTTTATGCAAAGCTGGGCAAGTCCACCTCTTCCTTAGCTATGTGACCCAGGCAAGTTAGTAAATGTTTCTAAAACTCCATTTTCTCACTCTTAGAATTGAGATAGTAATACCTGCCACATAGAATTATCTTGAAAAATAAGGTAAGAAGACAGGTTTCAGATACTTGGCACAGCAATAGCACATAGTAAGCACCAGTGAATGCTTAGTAGTAGTAGGAGTCTAATTCCTAAGAGTCCATGGAACTCTAGGTTCAAAACCCAGTTTCTTCTGGGACCATTAGATGGCATCAGACTCAAGCAGGTGCTCCTCTAGCTGACAGCTCTAAAACACAAGGAAGATCTTTGTTTTCCTTATTCCCTAGTCCTTTCCCCACAAAATTCTGACAATTACGCATTTCCTGCTTGTTTCACAATTGCCATGTGGATTCCAAGTGGCTATCCCTGGGTGGAGGCATAAAGGACTTGAAACTCAATGCTGTTTCCACATAGGGCCGGGCAGACAGGCTATGGAGGTGTTTTGGCATCCAAGGAAATCTATCAGTTTCCCAAGCTTTCCCCTCTCCATTCATACTTTCCTTTAGAAAGAATAAGGCATGCCTGGGTGGGAAAGATACTGCAGGTAAGCGACAAGAAGGGGAAATTACAGGGTAAGGAGATCAATCAAATGGTGATGGGGGGTAGGAGTGAACAAAAAGAACTCTGGAGCAAACCAGGATTAGTGACATCTGTGGTTCCCAGACAAACCACACTTACAGGAATTTGTCTGTCTAGCCCGAATATTTTGACTTTCAGGGAGCATTTTTCTGTGTCCCTGACATAAAGCCTACCTGGGAGTTTCCCCTGAGATAAGAAACTTTCAGGACATCTTAAGGTCTACTGCATCTTCCTGTACTGCCCATCAAGATAAGTTTTCCACCCAGCTTTATCATGATTAGCTGCGTGATTTCATGTCAGTTTCTCTGTAAAATTAGGTTTGACTGTTGCATTATTTTTAAGATGCCTTCCAGGCTTAAAGTATTATGATGCATGGGTATAACTGTACTGAGGAAATCAAAGAATTTCTCAGATCATCTTCTTCTGTGAGGGCTGCAGCTTCCATGTAGTTGGGAGATACAGGAATTATTATTCCTGTTTTATGAATAAAGGACATTTGTGGGAGAGAAAGGAATCAGGCCAGAGTTCTTTCTCTCCAAATGCCTATTTTACCCTCTGTGAAATTTGAGAGATGGATGGGTGTGGAGCTGCAAGTCAGCCCCAGGATGAAAGAAAGGCAAATCTGCACAAGAAACTGCCCACTCTCACCCCATCCTCACTGCACCCTGCTCCCAACAGCTGCCAGGCAAGAAAAAATCCAAAACAGCAGTTCTGGGGAATTCATTGCCAGCACTGGAAACTACCTGCTGTTTCCAGGAATATGAAGGTTTCTCTTTCCTAGAATAGCAACTTTCCAAGGTAAGTCCCTCCCAACAACCAGTGATGTGTACAATGTTGCATTTTCAGTGGTGGGAGTGGGCAGGGAGGATTAAGATTAGTACGATGGTGGAGATATTTATTCATTTATTCAATTGACTATTTATTCTCCACTATGAATTAGGCCCTCGGCCAGGTAGCAGATATAAAGCTTAATAAGATATATGGCTTTCCGCCCAGGTGCTCATGGTCTAGTGGAAGGTCAAAAAAGGTGGGAAAGGGAAGATAGAACTTTAAAAGGGCTGTGAAAGAGGTAACCGCACAGTGATAGAAGCACATGGAGAGTTCCCCAGACTGACGACATAAGTAAGGCCTCCTGGAAGACCTGAACCCTGAGTTAAGTCTTGAACTTGAAAATCAGGGGCGAGTCGAGCAGAAAATGGGCAAGAAAACACCATATGCAAAGGCACAAAGGTGTTGGGGAAGGCAGAAGTTTGTCGTGGAGCTGGATACAACAGGAGAGGGTGAGACAGATGGGCTGGAACAGTGTGTGCTCTGAAAAGGATCTCTGCAGCAGGGCTTGAGAGCACCTGAAGGAATTTCCAGAAATGCCATCATCGTATGTGACACAGAATTTAGAAAAATGACTTTGTGAAGAATGGCCGGAAGAGGGAAGCTAATGGTAGAGAAACCTCTCTGGTGATGGGATCATCTTAAGTCTATGAGTGAAGACTATAACAACGGGACTGGAGAGAAGAGAATAGATTCTGAATTATTTAGAGCTAAGAGCAGCAGAGCTTTTCTTGATGGGATTATGGATTAGGGTTTATGGACCCAAGATGCAATATAATTGATTGGGTCAGGGTGTGGACTCTAGGGTCAGGCCTGTGTTCAAACTCCAACTCCACCACTACGACCACCTTGGGAAAGTCATTGAGCCTCTTTGAGCTTCAGTTTCCTCATCTGTAAAATGGGGATAATAACCAACCTCATAGGGTTGGGGATAATGATTAAAAACGATAATACATGAAAAACACTTAGCATAGCTCCTACTCCCATTAAAACTCTATAAATGGTAGCTGTTACCAATGTCGCTATTAATACTGTTAATCAGGGAACTGTTCTCTGTCCCTCCAGACCCTAGCTTCTTCAAAATAGCAGACACTGGTAGGAACAAGGAAGGATATAGGAAGGCAATCTCATGAATATTTATGTCATTTTTGGTTAATTTCTATCTCAAACAACAGATAAACGACTGATGGGACAGGCAGCAAAATAGCAACTATGGTTATCTCCAGGAAGTGAAACAATGGGTACTTTTACTTTTCTTCTTTGTACTTTTTTATATTGTCTAAATTTTCTATATGAATGTATACAGTTCATGTAAGAAGGAAAATATTTTAAAATATATGTATTATGCCACAAAATACTCCTCATCACCAGGCAAAGCTCTAGTCACCAGGGAATTAAGTTTCCTGGACACAGACAGCCCCCACCCCACCCCACCCCACCTCTCTACCCCACCAAAAGCACACAGTGTCCAAATCTCCATCGTGCCTGCAACTCAGGAACAGCTATCTGGCCGCACAGCTCTAGGGAAACTCAAAGCAGGAACAGCTCTGGGTCCTGGAGACGCCCCTGAGAAGAGGGCCCAGTATCCCTGGGGCCTCAGTCCATCAGCCGCTGCTGCACCAGGCGGGAATAGAGGTCCTGTCCCTCCTAGAGCTGGGCAAGCTTCTGCAGCTTGCCCTCCTGGAGCACCAGGATCTGGTGGGCGCGCTGAACTGTCTGCAGCCTGTGAGCAATCACCAGCACTGTGCGATCCCCACGGGAATTCCAGTCCTGCAGCTGAAGGGGTGATCACAGTGCCTCAGAAAGACAGGAATGAGATGGACACCACATCCACCTGGGCACCATCTCTTATGATTTAGGGTAAAGAAGGTGTGAAATAAAAGAAGGTAGGAAAGGGCAGTAGATAAAGGCCTGGACTGCCCTTCTCTCCCGGCTGTACTGCCACAGCTGGAGGAATGGAAGCCCAGGAGGGAACTGGGGCTGCCCTCACACCACCGGATTCCATTCCCCAACCCCAAGAAGGCACAGACTGTTTCCACTAGTAGGTCCTTCGTCCTCCCTCTGCCCAATTCTGCACAGTCTGATCCTCCCAGCATGCCCCTCCCAGGCCCCACTGTCCCCTGCCCTCTCACGGTACTCACGGCCTGCTCGCACTGCACATCTAGGGCACTAGTAGCCTCATCCAGGATGAGGACCCGCGGGTCTCGTACAAGGGCCCGGGCAATGGCCAGACGTTGTTTCTGTCCCGCAGCCAGCTGGCTTCCCTTCTCCCCTACATCTGAGGAAATCAGAGAAATTCCCTTCCTCAGATACAAGTGACACAGACAACACACAAGGAGGGACAAGTGCACAGCAGGTACTTCCAGTAGGACCTCGGGAGGTGGGAGGGCCCAGTGCGGGGAGGGCCCAGTGGGAGGAGGGCCATGGGGTGGGGACCTGACGGGGCTGCCCACGGAGGGAGCACCACTGCTGCATTGCTCTCTGCAAACAAAGACTCTTGATCAAGAGGGAGGCTGAAGAATTCAGTGTGTGGGGAAGGAGACGTAGGAATGGAGGAAAGGGCAGAGGAACAGCAAACATCAAGCTACAGGGACACGACCTTCACCACTAAGAGTAAGTCTGATTTTCTCTTTTTTACTGAAGGAGCAAGCTTACAATTTGTAGAAGATACCTGTGTATATTCCATGCTCCATTTCCTGGATGAAGTCATCTGCGTGGGCAGCCTGGGCAGCCGCCATCACCTTATCATCTTCGCAGCTCTGCAGCCCATAAGCAATGTTGTTCCTCACAGAACCGGAGAACAGCACAGGCTCCTGCCCAACTGAAACCACCTGTGCAGCAGGGACAGGGGCAGAGGACTATGTGTAAACCCCCAAGGCAGGGGCCCTTTTGTCCTCCCCACCTACCTCCCTCAGAATGAACACCTGGTGCGCCTTCCCGTGGATCTCCCATCCTCTCTCTGTACATGCTCCCCTCTCCTGTCCCCTGTCTTCTCCCTCCTCACCCACCTGGCTGTGCAGGTAGCAGTGTTCATACTGTGAGATGGGCTTTTCATCCAGCAGCACCTGTCCCCCTGTGGGCTGGTACAGATTCTGCAGCAGGGCAGCCACTGTGCTCTTCCCAGACCCATTGGGTCCCACCAGCGCCGTCACCTCACCAGGACGTAGGGTAAACGTCAGCCCCTAGAAAACCAGAAAAAGAGTTAAGGGCCTGCCCCTTCTCCCTCAAAATCCCTCCATTTCTCTTCTTAGCAGAGGCAAGACCAGGTTCTCAGAGGCAAATGAACTATAGGCTGTGATGTCCAATTATGCATTAGCAGCAGAGAGCAAGGGTCCAGGTTTCCTCCCTCTTTCAGGCACCTTGAGCACAGGCCTGTCAGGGCGATTGGGATATGCAAAGGAGACGTCTTGGAATTTCACAACCCCCTGCAGAGTGGTGGGGGCAAGCGTGCCAGGTGAAGGCAGATTTGGCTGTCGGTCCATGTAGGAGAAAACCTTCTCTGCAGCTCCCACGTTGCTGAGCATATCCCCATATATGTATACCAGGGTCTGGAAAACAGGAATGGGAGAGCCGGCTAATTAAACACACTTCTACCAGAAACCACCCTCCCAACTCCTCACACACTCCACTCACAACTGCACTGCTCCTCCTCCATACTCAAAAGAGATTCTCCACTTTTAAATGTACAATTTGGACGGAATTTAAAAGTGGCACCAATACCCCAGTGTTCCAATTTGCAATATAAAGGATATACAGTCCCTTCTCCTACCATACAGCATTGCCTCTAGCCCCAGATCTTTTCAGTTACTGCTTCCTATTACTTGTGCCCAGTTCTGTCTTGCTTGATTAGACGGGGAGCTCCTTAAATGCAGGCACTGTGCCCAACTCACCTTTGTAGCCGTCAGAGTGCCCAGCGCAGTTCTCTACACAAAAAAGATGTTTATCAAGTGTCTAGGAAAATGTTTAAATAAAGCCCTGGATGAAGTAGCTGTTTTTGAGAACTGGTAAATGTAGGAAGAGATCTAAATGCTCACTCTGCCTTTCCTCATCAAACTGTACCACCGGGTAATGAAATGGTAGATGAGGGGAAGTCTCCCTTCATAGACTACTTCAGCTAATACATGAAGAATGATAGAGTATCTCCCTTTTGCAGCCCTAATTCTGTCATGGATGTAGGTACTGCTCATCAGTGGCTGATGTTGCCACAAATAGAGAACCAGACATTGTGTGCCTCTTGGAGGAAGAATGCATCACCACCTAAAAAGTACTGTTGCTGGAAAAAGACCAAAAAAAACCCCTCAATCTCACAAGCTTCTAGGTTTATCTATCAATAGACAGGAAGTACAGAGGCAGAAGAGCATATAATACCACAGGGATTCAGTCAACAAAATCCAGACCCTAAGAAACTCCACAGGACAAACAACCTATTTCTTCAACAAATAAACTGTGCAAGGGAAACTTTTAGACAGATACATGGATTGATGGGTGGATGGATGGATAGATGGATGGATAGATAGATAGACAGACAGACTTAAAAGATGTATCAACCAGTCACAATATGTGGACCATTTCTGGATCCTGATTTAAGCAAAGTATAATAAACACACTCATACACATATACTACATGGATACCACAAGTGGAAATTTGACAATTGACTATTTGATAAATTTTAAGAACTACTGTTAATTTTTTGGTGTGATAATGGCTTTGTTGTTATACACTTTTAAAGATGTTTGTATTTTTAAGAAACATACTGAAATATTTACAGATGAAAGTATACAATATCTTGGATTTGCTTCAGAATAATATGGGTGGGGGGAAGTGGCTGGGGATACAGATCCAACAAGATTGGGCATGAGTTGATCATTGTTAAAGCACAGGATGTATACATGTGAGTTTGTAATATTATTTTGTCTCATTTTTGGCATATGTTTAAAATTCTCCATAGCAAAATTACTTGCGGGTTTTGGTTTTGTATTGTATTGTTAAAAAGAACAAATAAAGCCCAAGGCCCAGGAGTCCACAAAGAAAAAGAGAGGGAAAAAAGGAGAGCAGGCTTGGCTTCTCGCTCACCTGCACATAGCTCCCCACGCTCTCCTGGTAGATCATAAAGGAAAGCAGGCTGCCCTGGGTGAGCTCCCCATCCTGCATCTGCTGCAGCCCACAGCTCAGCATCAGCATCTGCACCCCCAAGTGCAGCACCTGGAAGAGGAGAAGAAAGAGATGAGGCTGGGAATCTTCCCATTCTTTCCCCCTCTCTGCCTCTATGAGACTGAGCTGCAAAGGCCTCTAGAACCAGCTGTAGTTTCCTCTTCCCTTGCCCTCCCCCTTTCCTGGGCTCCTTTCACAACCACTCTGGTATCTTACCCTCCTTACGAGCAGGTACAAGGCGCGTTCCAGGTCTCTCCGCCAATACAGCTGCCGACATTGTTCAAGGGCCTCTTTATAGCGACAGACTTCATGCTCCTCGGCCCCAAAACTGCGAACGGTCTGCAGCCCTCCAACGGCTTCCCGCACCACCTGCCCCGCCCTGGCCACTGCATCCTGGATCTCCCGAAGCACTTCCTGGAAAAGAGGGCCAGCAAACACCAGGGCTGATGTGCAAAGACAGCAGGCCCCCACATCTTACTCCAGCCAGTGAGATGCTCCCTAGTCTACCTAAAAATACCAAACTGTTTCTCTCCCTCTTCCTTACTCTTCTTTCCAGAAGGAATAAGAGTGAAGGAGCAAGGGAACAAAATATTATTGAGCTCTCAGTGTTAGGTAGTATAGGAGATACATGCAATTTTTTTAACCTTCATTTGAGGTAATTTTCCCATCCCCAGTGTCTGAATCAGGAAAGAAGGGTAGTTTTCCCAAGGAGCCACAGATAGTTAAGAAAGGTGGAGATGTAATTCCAAATGGATCAGAGGCCTAAACATAAGAGCTAACACTATAAAACTCCTAGGAAAATGTAGAAGAAAAGCCTCATGCCACTAGATTTGGCAGTGATTTCTTGGATATAACACCAAACGCACAGGCAACAAAAAATAGATAAATCAGACTTCATCAGAATTTAAAACGTTTGTGCATCAAAGAACTCTAGCAACAGAGTGAAAAAGCAACCATGAAATACAAGAAAATATTTGTGAATCATATATCTGATAGGAAATTAATAGGCAAAACATATAGTGAACTCCCACAACTTAAAAAAAAATCAGAAAATGGGCAAAGAACTTGCAGACATTCTTTCAAGAAAGAAACATAAGTGGCCAAAATCACACGAAAAGATGCTCAATATTTACTAATCATTAGGGAAATGCAAATCAAAACCACAATGAGATAATCCTAATCACCTAATCACCATTAGAATGGCTATTAAAAAAAAAGACAACAGAAAGTGGTGTTGATGAGGATGTGGAGAAATTGGAAACCTTATGCACTGCTGGTGGGAATTTAAAATGGTGCTGCCGCTATGGAAAACTGTATGGTGGTTTGATACGATCTGGCTGTGTCCCTACCCATATCTGATCTTGAATTCCCATGTGTTGTGGGAGGGACTGGGTAGGAGGTAATTGAATCATGAGGGCAAGTCTTTCCCATGCTGTTCTTGTGATATTGAATAAGTCTCACGAGATATAATGGTTTTAAAAAGGGGAATTCCCCTGCACAAGCTGTCTTTTCTCTTGTCTGCTGCCATGTGAAATGTGTCTTTCACCTTCCGCCATGATTTGAGGTCTTCCCAGCCACATGGAACTGTAAGTCCAATAAACCTCTTTCTTTTGTAAATTGCCCAATCTTGGGTATGTCTTTATCAGCAGCGTAAAAATGGACTAATACATGGTTCCTCAAAAATTGTTAAATAGAATTGCCATATGATCCAGCAGCTCCACTTCTAAGTATATACCCAAAAGAACCAAAAGCAGGGTTTCAAACAGGTGTACACTCATGTCCACAGCAGCATAATTCACAACAGCCAAAAGGTGGAAACAACGCAAATGTCCATTGACAGATGAATGGATAATCAAAATGTGATATATGCACACAACAGAATATTATTCAGCCTTAAAAGGGAGGAAATTCTAACACATGCTACAATATGGATGAGGCCTGAAGACATTACGCTAAGTAAAATATGCCAGTCACAAAAAGACAAATACTGTATGGTTCCACTTACGTACCGCACCGGGAGTCATCACAATTCATGGAGACAGAAGGTACAATGGAGGTTGCCAGCGGCCAGGGGTTGGGGGTAGTAGGCAGTTACTATTTAGTGGGTACAGAGTTTCATTTTAGGAAGATGAAAAAAGTTCTGGAGATGGATGGTGATGATGGCTACCCAATAACAATGTGGGTTTCCTAAATGTCACTGAACTGTACACTTCAAATGGTTGAAATGGTAAATTTTATGTTATGTATGTTTTACCACAATATAAGAGAAAAAGAGAAGGTGGAGCTGACATTCAGACTTAGGACTTCCTGATGACGCCTCCTTTCCCTATGCTGCATCCAGACTTCTTCTGCTGATTTTAAAGGGAAAATCTCCCTGCCTAAAAGCCTCTAAGAAACCATTTTTAATCTTCGCAGTGGGGGCGGGGGATGTACAGACTCCTTTGAGAAGCTAATGAAAAGTTATCATCGCCTATCATCTCCCCTTCCTATTCCCTCCCCCATACCTTCACATACACTTTACATTTTTGTTTACAGTTCTGGAGAATCATGAATCTTCTGAAGTCAAATATCCATTGTTGGATGGCTGGACAAACAAAATGTAGTATATACTACAATATACCTTCTCCCCTAATGGCTGAGAAGAGAACATCTCTCTCTAGGGGATCCTCTAGCCACAAATGTGGAAGCCTCCTCACCTGTCAGTTTTATTCTCCCTTTGGGGTTCCCTTACATGCACGCTCACCTGATGGCGGGTGTTGTACACCTTCTCCGCTGCTATTGTGAAGGGCATGTGCAGCAGAGAAAGGAGGGTGAGTCGAGGCGATATGCTGAGCATGAAGCCATACAGCCCCACCACTTTCACCAGGCTTCGCAAGAGCACATTGGCATTTAAAGGAAGCCAGTTACTCATCAGGGTGGTATCCGAGCTCAGCCGTGAGTTCAGCTCCCCTAAGAAGGACAGAGCAGGTGAGGAAAAAGGAAACCATGTGTACTGCAGGGCCCCCAGAAACTCCCTCCTGACCGTTCCCTCTGACACAGCCCCCTCCTCTGAACATCCTCCTTCACTTGCAGAGGGACAGTGGAGGCTGCTTCTCCACCCTGTCCCAAACAAGAGAAAAGCATCCCCAGGTCCTGGCATACGGGTGAAGGCAGGAGGAGAGGCTGTGGGTGGAAGGTCACTGAGGGGCAAGGGATGTCCATGGGAATCTCAGACCTGGACTCCAGGCCCCACCTGTCTTAGTCTCCTGGAAGAAACCGAGGTCCTGGCGCAGCAGGGAGGAGAAAAGCTGCTCCCGGATCCGCAAGTTGATTCGAGACATGGTGTAGGTGAAGCAGCCTCCTCGGCAGCCTGCAGACAGTGAGCTGTGGGGTAGGAGAATAAGAGGGGAGGGAGATGCAGAGAAGGAGCAAGCCAGCGGGTGAAACAGAGGAGCAAGCCAGGAGTGCAGAGAAGCGCAAAGTCAGGGGAAAGCATGCCAGGAGGGGCAAAAGAGAAAGAAATGAGAGACAGACACACAGAGAGAGAAGAGGTAAGGAATACACAGAGGAAGAAGAAAGAGGAGACATGGTGAGCTAGATGTGAGAACAAAATCATAACATGTACAAATTTACAAGTATTTATGGAGTGCACTCTGTACTAGACACAATAGAAAACTACAATAGAAGGGAAAAGATATTGTGAAAACAAGTATCCCAGTGCTTGCTTCTGTCCCAGCGTCCCTCAGGCTTGTCCCTCTGTGCGTCTCCTCCGCCTTGGTCTCCTTCCTGCCCCATACCCAAAGCCCTTCTCTGTCATCATAGATACTTCATCATGGGAACTGCAATAATAAATTCCCTGCCCCCACAATTCTCTGGAGCCCCAGAGTCATGTGATTCCCATCTGTCATCCTTCGAGTTGGAAAATCCCTCTTAGACCAACTACATGCTACAGTAACACTTAGAGGAAAAAATATAAAGCATAAAAGCATGTATTTTACAAAATATATGTTTCTAATACAAATTTAGTTACCATATTGAAGAGGCGTTTGGAATAGTCAGACATGATATAATGAGGGTTTGTACTTTAATGACAGGGATGTGTTCTGAGAAATGTGTCGTTAGATGGTTTCATCGTTGTATGAACATCATAGAGTGTACTTACACAAACCTAGATGTCATAGCCTACTGCACACCTAGGCCATGTAGTTTAGCCTATTGCTCCTAGGCTACAAATCTGTACAACATATGACTGCACCTAACACTGTGGGCGACTGTAACACAGAAGTAAGTATTTGTGTATCTAAACATAGAAAAGGTACAGTAAAAATATGGTATTATAATCTTGTGGGTCCACCATCTTATATGTGGCCCATCATTGACCTAAACATCGTTATGCAGTGCACGACTGTAGTTTCAGCAGAAAGCAGCCAGGATGGAATGAAGGCACAATGAAATGGTTTTCGAGGGTACTCTAAATTAAGTATGACCATAAAAATAGAGACAATCAGGCCGGCTGGGATTTGGGTAAGGTGAGTGCACACCTCCTTAAACTTTGCACCCCAGGTGCCTCGCTCACCTCATCCCAGTCCCAGCCTTATCAAACAGTTTGTTTGTTTGAGTATGTCTAGAAAGAGAAAGGAAAGCAAGTGAAGGGAAAAGAGTAATGATTCTGGAAAGAAAGGTGATAAGCCTCAGAGTAAGATCTTCAGGGATTAGCAAGATGAGCTGGGAAAGAAGAGTGAGAGGGAGAAGCATACCCATCCTGAGAGAGTGACCCTGGAGAGATACTTTGGAGACAGACTTAGGGGTAGGAGGTAGGAGGCAGAAAGAAATGGAATTTCATGGACCTAGGAATGTTGAGAGACAACTGAGAGACATTCCATCTGAGACTTAAATTCCTTTTGTACTACCTTCACTCATAACTTGTTCCTATAATAAGATCAGATAAACTTTGAAGATATTGGATGAATATGAACGAAGGAAGAAATGAATGGATAGATGAAACAGAATGGTGACTACATTCACCATATTTTAGTTTAAGTATTTTTGTGTTTTGCGCCTGAAAGGGCCTAGAAATGGAGTTAGGGAAGTGAAGACCCCTATAAAGATTTGGGGCTAGCAAATGGACCCAGCTGCCCACCACCTACCTGCCAAAGGAGAAGAGGCACATGAAGAAGATGGCACTGGCAAAGGCATGGGGGTCAAAATCACCTCCCAGGATGTCAATCACACGACCAGAATAGTGAGGGATTAATGTCTCACCTGAAAGAGGCATGAAAAATAACACAAGAATGTGCTGGTGCCCAGGCCCTTTTACCACCTCCAACTCACAACGTCCTCTCCTGACTCACCCAAAACAGCAAGGACAAGGAAGAAGAAGGCGGCAACGAGGAGAGGCAGGTCCGGCCTGGAGAGCTTCAGCAGCCTCCACATCAAGACTTTGTTGTTCACCTGGTCCTGCTCCTTCTCCTGGGCTCCAGGAGGGCTCAGAACAGCCCACAGTGACCAGCTGAGCCCCGCAGCCCCGTACCCCACCAGCAGCCAGCTCCAAGGGGCTGAAGCGACTCTGGCTGGGGGAGCACGTGAGGCCCCCGCGACCAGGGCTCTCAGGGAGACAGTCAGGGGGGTGGCCAGACAGAGCGGGAGCAGCAGTGTCCCCACAAATCCCAGCAGCCCTCTTAGCTTTAGCAGCCCCCACAGCCCTCCCAGCCGCAGGGTCCCCTCCAGCCATAGTCCTGGCAGCCCTTGAGGAAGCAAAGTCCCCAGAGGGCCCTGAAGCAGCCACAGTAAAGCCGCGTCCACCAGCAGCAGGGAGGTCCAGGGTCTCAGGTCAGGGAGCCGCATGGCTCTGTCAACGGATACGAGATGAGAAATCATGGGGGTGGAGTCCCAATCCTTGTCCCTGCCCTCCTACCCGCCCGGCTCCGCCTAACCCGTCCATCGGCTTCTCATTTTATCCTATTCAACCCTGAGAGCTCTCCTGAGTAACCGGTGCTCATCCGTACACCCCTCCTACGACAGACAGCTTTCGGCCTTCTGGGGAGCTGGAAGCATGACCATCAGGAGCCTCGTGCTTAAAAAAAAAAAAAAAAAAAATCCCCGGACCCCCACCCCCACCCCCGCCTGCCGCGGCGAGCTAAGTGGTCCGGGCTCCGCTCCCTCCTATCGCCGGGTGCAGAGGGACTGGGAAGCAGGAGCGTGGAGTGGGTAGTCACTTGGGCTGCGTCCCTGTTGGCGCTCCAGGTTCCCCTCCGCACCAACTCACCAGCCGCGGCGGGGAGACCGCAGCTCCGGGGACTTCTGCTTCAGCGCTGAGGTCCGCTCCGTCTCTCCCAACCTCGCTACCGGCTCTGGTCCGCCAGCTACGCTCGGCCAGGGCGGGCGTCAGGGCTCGGGCAGCTTTCGCTTTCGCTTCCCCAGCCAAGGCCTTCATTCTGGGCTGGGCCGCCGGGAGGGGGCGCGCGAGACCCGCAGACAGCGGAACTGGAGCCCGAACTCTGGTTCGCACTGTACAGGCCTGCAATGAGTCTCACTCGCCTTTAGTGGCGGTTACTCTGGGATATAAAACTGCAAAAATGTTTCTTTATCATTAAGTAAAATACAGTTGTCTCAAGGGCAACTTTATCTGTTGTCCTTGCTTTGTAATTGGAGAATGCTTTGTAATTGGAGAATCACTGAATTTTCTCAAAGTTACTACTTCAAGCTCTGAGCCTACTATTAAGAAGTGCCTTCTTTCTGGTCCGGCGCGGTGGCTCACGCCTGTAATCACAGCACTTTGGGAGGCCGAGGCGGGCGGATCGCCTGAGGTCAGGGGTTCGAGACCAGCCTGGCCAACATGGTGAAACCCTGTCTCTACTAAAAATACAAAAATTAGCCAGGGCGTGGTGGCGGACGCCTGTAATCCCAGCTACTCGGGAGGCTGAGGCAGGGGAATCGCTTGAACTCAGGAGGCAGAGGTTTCAGTGAGCCGAGATCGGGTCATTGCACTCCAGCCTGGGCGACAAGAGTGAGACTTCGTCTAAAAAAAAAAAAGTGCCCTCTTCCATGCAAGCTCCAGTTTTAGGCGAGCGAGCCGGGCTCTCCTAAATAGAAGGTTCCAACCAATCTCACCAGGCCAAAGGGGATTTTCACGTACAGACTTTGAATTTAGTAGGCCCTGAGCGTTCATCTTCATCCGTCCTTCTCAGCCGGAGCACCTTGAGCTGGCGCGTGTTCAGGTGCCTCTGAGTCTGTACTCCAAATTATGTTGGGCGCACCTTCAGCCTATGAGGGAAATGCCCCGTACTGAGCTTTGGTTCTTGTTCTATTTTAACACTGTTTAGAACAGTAATTAGGTTTTTAAATATCCTTCCTGACCCAGAGCCTTCCTATGCAACAGAAAGATTCGTTTATTCCAGAAAGGACTCTTCAGATTGAAACCACCTCCCAAACTAAAAACAAACAAACAAACAAATTCCCCAAAGGAAGGGTCGCTTGGATTCCAGATCACCATTTTGAAATGTTACCTGTGTGACTACCAAGGAGTCACTTAAAGTTTAAAATAGTGGTGGTGGGGAGGAGGGATTTTAAGTAGGGGCTCGCTAAAGTTTTACAACTCTATTCATTCTGGCATTTTAAGAATCTCTCTCTAATGAAAAAAGCTCCATGCTCAAGCTCATGCTCCTACTTTCAAGCATTTGTTTCCTTTATTTTCTGGAAAGTGACATGGTCCATAGTTCCAGCATGATTCCGAAAATCTCATGATGTGTGTCTCTTTCTTCTAACCTGGATCTTTTACATTTTCCCCACACTCCTCACTTAGGGGAGTCCTCCTGATCTCTTCTTCCTCTAAAATTATAGTCCTGCCATCTTGCAATTCAGCATGACACATCATGAAATTAGACCCTTAATGTCTGTCTTTATATTCAATATCCAATATCTCCAAAGTGTTATTTGGGATAAATGGTATGGTGTTTATATGATTACCATATTAAAGTGAAGTGGAAGCTTTTTCATCCTACTCTATAAAGTCAAAAACAGTTATCCTAGGTGCCCTACTCCCTGTTCCTCAAACCATTAACAATGGAACACACAGGAGTCCCCAGGTGCCTCTCTATGGAAAGGACCCTAACCTATGTGAAATTGCAAACAAGTGTCCATGGACAGCAATGAGCAGCCTTCCTGAGGTCTTGGAGAGATGAGTGTGGAAGGAAACCCCAGGAAGAACTATGTGGTGAGGCCACATTTCTTAGATAGGGGTCTGAGCCCCTTCTCCAGAAAAAGCGTCTCTTTACTTTCTGCCCCACCCAACAACCACAGGCCCAACCCCATTCAGCCACAAGACAGAGGTATTTATAACCGTTTTTCTTTATTCTACTTAGTGGGGCACCCAGAAACTTCCCTGGGGGAAATGCTTGTTCAAATAGAGAACACGCAGAAGATGCACTTCACCGGCCTCCTCTGGCTGCTGAGCCCGTACTCTCTCTTTGGCTCAGGCTAGGCCTCTTCTTCTCCTTGGACTTAACGTGGCTTAGGTCCCTGAGTCGGCCAAGACCTCCCAGAGGAGACCTGCCCAGCTGCCACCACCACCATTATTGATTGGCTTCCCGGTACTGGTGCAGCAGGTCACTGACATCTGTACTTTCTACTTTCACCCAACCATCTTCCTTCATGTGGTACACTGTGGACAAATGAGAAAAGAACATGGAGTCACCTTTCACCTCAGCAAGTTCCTGTCACTGATGTTATGTTGAAGGCAGCAACAAGACACATGCGCAAGCTTAAAACCATATGACTGGGCCTTTAATGCCCTTCTTCTGACTCTGAAAATTTCCTCCCTACTACTCTCCCTCCTTTGAGTCTCTCAATCATTTTCTTTTTTTTCTTTTGAGAAGGAGTCTCACTCTGTGGCCCAGACTGGAATGCAGTGGCGCCATCTTGGCTCACTGCAAGCTCCACCTCCCAGGTTCAAGTGATTCTCCTGCCTCAGCCTCCCAAGTAGCTGGGACTACAGGCACCCGTCACCACGTCCGGCTAATTTTTGTAGTTTTAGTAGAGACGGGGTTTCGCCATGTTGGCCAGGCTGGTTTCTCAATCTTAAATCACCCCCCCCACCACCCGCCGACTCCTCCCAGGCATGGTGGTGGGAGCATTGGTCTCTTACTATTGACAACGCCTCCAGAATAGCTGTCTCTGTGAGTGGCATAAGCAATAGCCCTGCGGCCAAGGTCATAGGCCTCTTCAGGGCTAAGATTAGGCCGATAGCCACTGTCCATGACCCCGTAGGCATAAGTGTTCCCACTACCCGTGGAGAACATATTTCCTGAGAGCCGAGTCCCATGTTCATCCACGTAGTAGAGTCCAGGACCCTATAAGATGAAAGATTTCAGGCTGAAATTGGAGAGGAAGATGTTGGTAACATGGGGGTTCAAATATGAGACATAAAAAGTGAACAAAAGAATTAATATTACCACAAGAACATTGGAATTAGGAAACCACTTTGGTAAAGTCATCGAACTTTAGAAATGAAAAAGGAAAAACAAACTTGAAATCAACTGTTTAACAAAAGGGACAAGCTTACAAAACACATGCAATGATTCATATCTGGGCCAATAAATAGTCCATGGATATACTGAAACAGTTCTATAACCAAGCACTCTATATGCCATGCATCTTGTCAGGGAGGGAGTAGGAGTATATGATGGGAAACAGATCTGTCATCCATAGGGAACATGGTGGGGGAACATGAAGAATGGAGAGCACCCACCTTCTTATCCCAGCCACAGATCATACTGCCCATAGAGAGGCCCATGCCCCGGTACTGGCACATCATGTTGGACAGCAGCTTGGAGGCTGCCGACACTGAAATACGTTCTCCATTTCGCAGATAGTACAGCCTGGGTGAGGACAAGGTGGAGTGAGGAAAGAGAGGTTAGCTCTTTCCAACTTGATGGGGCAGGAAATGATTAAAGAGATAAGCATTGGAAAGGAATTATTTTGTAGGATCTAAAGATCAGAGAAAGATTTGGAATTTAAAGTATCTGAAACATACAAAGGCAGCCTAGTAAATGATACTGTCCCGCCAGGGTGGATGTGTCAGTGCTAAATACCTGACGTACTATCTGGCTTATGAGTGGAGCACAGGCTGAGATTTGGGAGAAGGGTCTTATCACCAAAAAGCTGTTTTGTGAAATATACTATTAGCACTAAGATGGACCACATAGGACAAGAGTAAGGAGCAATGATCTGAGAGATCCAGGGATTAACCACTAGGCTAAGAAAGGAAGATGAGAGGCCTCGCTTACCTGCATTCCTTGGCCAGCAGGCGCTCCCAGTACTGACAGTCTGCTGCACAGCCAGACATGGTGCCAAGCAGGTAAGGGTTAATCTCAATCACCTTGTTCACCCGTAAGGCACCTGGAAGAAGATGGAGCTTTGGGAGAGAAGGGATGACCCCATAGATCCCCCAGTGTGTCCTAAATCAATATCCACTTCCACTTTGTTGCAGAGTTGGCCTCCTGTGGAAAGGAGAGCCCAGCTCCCCAGATTCTGCCTGCTGGAGCGTATACACTCACTAATGTAGGACCCAGCTGAGGCCCGAGAATCCACTGCTGCAATCACTCCATGCTGGAACTTGAAGGCGAGCGTGGTGGTGCCATGGGCCATCTCAATCTGAACGTTCCTTTCTCCGTCCCCACCCAGGGACTGGAAGAATTCTGTGGGCTGATAAGAGAAAAGAGGTTGAGAAAGGCAATGAAAAATTCTGTAGTAAGAGGCTCCAGGAAAAGGTTTTAGGGAGTATGAGGGTGAGGAGATATGCAGAAATGATCTAACCATCAATAAATGAAACAGTTAATAACCAATCTCTAGAAGGAAATGGCTTGGGAGAAGGAAAAGAAGAGGCATGCCAGTATCAACCTTTTCCATTTTCCAGCACAACAGAAATGAAAGCAAGCACATGTTACCATTACTAAAAAATTTTGAGAGTGACTTAAAGGGTTTCTTCCATGCATAAAGCATTCAACCCTCACAAAACACGTTTAGTAACAGTATCCTCACTTTACAGAAGAGGGGCTTGGGACCTAGACTAAGTGACTTGTTCTAAGTCGCGCAACAGTGAGTTGCTGAGAGGAGGCCAGCAGGCAAATTTCATAGGTTTCCCAAGACACCACACACCTCCTATATCATGTGATAACCCCATGAAAAAGGCTCCACCATTTGTGTGTGGACAAGGGCAGGAAAGTTCTCTTGTCTTCCTTTGGGAGCCCCCACCTCACCTGTAACTCTTTGTCCTAACTTGCACTTCCTCCTCTCAGGCCCCATCCCCATGTGGCCTCTTCTTTGGGTCTGGCGCTCTCCGGGACTGAAGGCTACCCCCGACCCTGTACCCCGCGCTCCCGCTCTCGCCTCCTCCTCTCAGGCGACCCTCCACTCCTCAGCGCCCGCCTCCCTGCATCCCTAGGGGCTTCCCTACTGCCCCGACCTGCATTCCCCGGGGTAAAGCGAGCTCTGGAGATCGCATAGAGAAACTGTAGTGTCCTGGGTCCGAGCGACGCCCGCTTCCCGCAACCGGGAGAGCCGATTCCGGCCGCTGCCCTCGGGGGGCTCCGCATACATCTAGTAGCGCCATGACCGCCCAGCACCCAGAGATCTGTCCGCTCTCGGAGGAGGAAGTGAAAGCGAAAGCCACAGATCGAAGGGGAGGGAACAAGACTCTTTTCCACATCCCCCTGCCTTTTCCGAGAAAAGGACAGTTAGTGCCTGGACCAGGACCATCACACTGGGGACCGGCTTCTCTGCTCTCCCGTTATGGGGGTCGGGGGAATGATGGGTCAAGGGTCTTCCGAAGAAAGCGAGAAAGGAACAGGCGCCTTCAAAAGCCCACTTGGCGATGGGTTACAGTAAGAGGTACCTCCAGGCCCGGGCATCCGCTGGAAACAGGGGTGGGTAGGGTCGTGTCATCTAAAGGCGCAGCTTCAACCAGAAGACTAGAAGTCAGCCAGGAGCTGGGAGTAGTGTCACGCGGGGTGGGGGTTCCTATGAGCATCACTTTACAAAACCAGGAGGGACGGAAGTGCGAGGGGGCAGAGTCTTGGAAACAGGTCCTGGGCCAACTGCAACAGAATATACCCGCCGCGTGTAGGGGAAGGCGGCGCCAGGGAGAGGGCGCAGTCTCTGAATCTTTCCACGGGGTCCATCCTAGGGCCCCTCCAGGTTCAACGGTCTCCTAACCTGTAGTCACCCACAAGAGCGTGCCCTTTCTGCCCGCCCTTCCTAGCGTTGCTCCCTGCTTGGCTGAGCACTGCGGAGTTTCACGCCTCTAAACCCCGCCTCTTCTTGCAACCTGTGTTGGCCTCATCTACCCAGCAACTGTCGACGTCACACGACCTGGGCCTCCCTGAATGGGAGATATTTACTAGGCAATCCCGCCTACTGTTCTGAGGTTTCCCCTCCAGGTGCAGCTTCAGAGCCAGGCGAGCCAGGAAGGACCAGCGGGCGAGGTGGTGAGTTGTGAGGCGCGCCCAGTCCCTCTGTTCCCGCCTGGCACTTGCTCTGGCCGCGCCCGCCCCATCTGCCACTTCGGAGAGGCCACGGCTCTGAGCTGCGGCCGCTAGTGCCCTGATGGGCCCTGTGGCTGGGGTCTTGCACATTCTTGGGGGTGGGCCTAAGGGGATAGGGGAAGTGGAAGGGGCCTCATAGGAATTAAAAAGCTTAAGGGAAAAGGTGATGCAGTTAGGGGGTAAAACATTGAGGATGATAAAAGAGGAGACATCCGCAGCTGAAAAGTGCGCTGCAAAAGGCAGTGGGCCGTTTGGTGTGCCGGAAACATAAGAAACCACAGTACAAAACACCAATTTTATTATAAATATCAAGAACCTACAGGGTGTTTATGGGCCAGCATATGCCTTCAGTTATGTTGAAAATAGCTGATCATCTTTCCGTACATTCTGAACATTTCTCAGTTTCAGAGTGCTGGCCACACCAAAGCATCAGCCCTGGCTCTAAACTCCGTTACAGTAAGGAATTACAAATCCTGTGTTTGTACTCCAGGAAGTCTGCATTATCACGAGGAGCTTGGAAAGGAGGTAACACACTCAAGGCAAATTTCAAGTAACTCATCCTGGAGGCAGCTGCCTACTCTGCAGCTGTGGTTCTCCACCACAGAGAGAAGAAAAGGGAGGGAGATGGAGTGCGCAGGTCTGAGAAGGCTTTCATTCTGGAGCATCTGCAGGAGCCTGCACCATGGCCCAGTAGCACCCCTTTTTCTCCATGAGCTGCTGGTGGGTTCCCCCCTCCCGGATAGCGCCTCCTTCCAGAAAGAGGATGTGGTCAGCCTGCTCCACCAGGCTGAGGTGCTGGGTGATGAGAAGCACTGAGCGGGAGTACCGCTCAGGGCTTTCGTACAGGAGCTGCTCCACCTGAGGAAAGACATCGGACCGTCAGAGCCGGGGACTACCCTCAGCCCAGGGAGACACCTGTGTTTCCAGGGCTGGGACTGACCTCACAGGATCACTGCTGGCTCTGCTAACAACCCCAAGGACACCAACGTTTCCCATTCTGAGTACTTCTCCGCAAACCCTTTGTTTCATTAAGGACTGTTTTACATGAAGGGTGCAAAAGTAGGATAAAAATGAGAACCCTAGGGTGAAACACGTGACAGAAGAATAAAGACTATTGAATAGTCCTCTTCTCTACCCATGGACTTGGCATTTTTATATTCGATTTTAAGGAAATATAACTTAGTAGTAAAGAGATGAGCATTCAAGTCAGGCAGACCTGAATTTGGGTCAAGGCTGCGCCACTCAAAAGCTATATGACCTCTATATGAGCAGCTTATTCAACCTCTTTTAACCTCCATTTTGTCATCTGTAGAATGATGATAAATGCCTAGCTCAGAAGGATTCCTAATGAATAAATGAGTGACAGTGCATGTAAACAGACTAGCTTAATTAATATTAATATGATTAGGATGGGCTGGGCCCGGTGGCTCATGCCTATAATCCTAGCACTTTGGGAGGTCAAGGAGGGAGGATCACTTGGGCCCAGGAGTTCAAGGCCAGCCTGGGCAACATAGCGGGACGCTGTCTGTACAAAAAATAATTTTTTTAAATAAACGATATTATGAGGATGGTCTTTTCCTTATGTTTCGCTTTAGAAATTCAGTCTATAGGACTGGGCGCAGTGGCTCACACCTATAACCCCAGCCCTTTGGGAGGCTGAGGGGGGCAGATTACCTGAGCTCAGGAATTCAAGGCCAGCCTGGGCAACATGGTGAAACCCATCTCTACTAAAAATATAAAAGTCAACCAGGCATAGTGGTGTACACCTGTAGTCCCAGCTACTCGGGAGGCTGAGGGGAGAATCGCTTGAGCCCAGCAGGTTGAAGCTGCAGTGAGCCAAGATTGTGCCACTGCGCTCCAGCCTGGGCAACTGAGTGAGACACTGTCTTAAAAAAAAAAAAGGAAAGAAAGAAAGAAATTCAGTCTGTAGTTTGTAGATAGTCTCTTTTAACTGATTCTAGGTGTCTTTGCCTCGTCTTCTATCTCTACTCCTTGGGGAGGCATCCAATGGAACTGGATTTGGGAACTGAGAACTGCAAGGACTGGTTTGTATAATTATGATGTTAGTAAAACTAACAGAAGATGTATAAAAGAAGCAAGATTGGGTGGGATATAGCCATTAAGAAGATGACTGCCTCACCTGTAACTGGCTGTTTGCATCCAGGGCACTGGTGGCATCATCCAGGATAAGTACACACGGTTTCCGGATCAATGCTCGGGCCAACGCCACTGCCTGTCGCTGACCCCCTGACAGCTGGCTCCCAGCCTCGTCTACCTCTGCAGAGCAAAGGGCCAAGATGAGAACGGTATAGCCACATGTGTGCACGCATGTACATGCACACAGACACACTCATGCATTCACGCACTCACACACACCAAGATCTGACGGTTGTAGCTGGATAGGGGAGATTCTGGGAAGATGAACAGAATCCTGAGGATGTCAGGATGAAGAAGCCATAGGAGCATGATCTTACAACTTCAAATTGATGTCCATGAGTAAGGAGGAACTGAAGGATAAAGGCAAGACTACTGGGGTTTCAGCAAAGGTAAAGATGGCTGGGTGGTGAGATGAGTGGAGAGAGTACCTGTGTCATAGCCCTGAGGGAGTCCAGAGATGAAACTATGGGCCCCAGACTTTACTGCAGCAGCTGTGATTTCCTCCATAGTTGGCTTCTGGGTCAGGCCATAGGCAATATTTTCTTGAAGACTTCTTCCAAATACCTGTGGCTCTTGTCCCACTGCAGCCACCTGAGATGAAATATGATGAAGAGTCATAGAACAAGGCACATGGGAGTATGGTTATCTAGAGATCGAAGACTCAAAATCTTTATTGAGAACATGTCACAAAATCATACTACCTCCCTCCTGACTACACCACCATCTCCACCCAAGGTCTCTTATCATTCCCTAACCCCTCTTTCAGAGTGCTCAGTAAGAATGCTCTTCGTATTTGATGCTCCCTGCCCTCCTTCAAGCCACCTGCTTCCATACCTGCCTGTGCAGGTAGCGGTGCTCATATTGGGGAAGGGGCTTCCCATCCAACAGCAGCTGTCCCCCGGTGGGCTGGTACAGATTCTGCAGCAGGGCAGCCACTGTGCTCTTCCCAGACCCATTGGGTCCCACCAGCGCCGTCACCTCGCCAGGGCGTAGGGTGAATGTCAGCCCCTAGAGGCCAGAGAAGCACACGATAAGAGGCTACCAAGGCCTCTAACCTTGAGAGTGTCATTGCCTTGTTACATAGCATGATGTCTTACCCCAGAAGAAAAACAGGGAAATATAGAAACTCCTACCCTCCCACATGCACAGATTTCTGGGTGATGCCTCCCCAAGGAGTAGAGATAGAAGAAGCGGCAAAGACAAGGGCAGAGACCCAGCACCACTATGCCACACACTTGATGTCAGATACCACCAGGAAAGGGAAAAATCACATTCCAAATTACAAAGGAAAAGGAAAGATGGAAGACCGAAGACACAGATTTTGCTGCAGCAATTCCTTGGAACGTGAGAGCACTCTCTTCGAAACCTCTTCTCTCATTCTCTTTGGAAGCCCAAACTGGGTTCTTGAGTTTGGGGAAGATTTATGGAACAGATGATGCCTACCATTGCCTTTAAAGGGTTAGGGAGGATATATGCTTGGCAGTAAGCAGGCTGAAGGCAGGAAGAAAATTTAGGATGGCAGAATTGCAGTTGGGGCCAGTGGAATACAGGGAGTGGTAGGTTGTACCTGTAGCACTAAGACATCTGGGCGGTTTGGGTAGGCAAAGGAGACATCTTGGAACTGGACAAGGCCCTCCAAGTGTAAGGGAGTCAACAGACCACTGGGTGGGCAGCGAGGGGTGCGGTCCAGGTACTCAAATATTTTCTCTGAGGAGCCCACAGCCTTCTGTACTCTGGGGTAGATGGAGAGCAGTACCTAGAGGGAGGTAAGAATAGTGAAAGTGAGGTAGTCTGCTTGCCAGCATTATGTGAAGCAAGAAGGGTAAAGAATGGAAGGACATCACACAGATGGTGCTGGGCCAGAGGAAGGAATCACACTGGGGAGTGAAGGTGGAGGGACCTCACCTCCACAGCCTGGGTGAACTGCATCTGGTAGAGAACAAATGTGACAAGGTTCCCACTGCTTACAGCCCCACTGGTCACCAGCTGCCCACCAATGTAGAGGATTCCCACTTTCAGCAGCATACCTGAAATCTATAAAGAGACCACAAAAAAAGGGACTGAGGTAGAGAAATCTGGAGGGGACACAAAGAACCACAGTCATTAACCTGAAGGAAATATCAAGTCCCTGTCTCCTAAGTGACATCGGCAGGCTCAATAGGCAGACAGGAGAATGAACCAGAGACCCCATGGAGTCTGACTCAATGCACATCATGCAAGTCACAGTTATCTTCACCACCATCACCACTATCACCTTGTCTGGGGAGCATTTTACTCTTCACAAAAGGCTTTCATTCATGTGATGTCAGCTAATACATGAAGAGCCTTATAAAGAAGGTTATATCACTCCATTTTTGAAAAATGAGGAAACAACCAGTCGGGCGCAGTGGCTCATGCCTGCAATTCCAGCACTTTGGGAGGCCGAAGTGGGCGGATCACAAGGTCAGGAGATTGAGACCATCCTGGCTAACACGGAGAAACCTCGTCTCTACTAAAAATACAAAAAAAAAAAAAAAATTAGCCGGGCGTGGTGGCGGGTGCCTGTAGTCCCAGCTACTCAGGAGGCTGAGGCGGGAGAACGGCGTGAACCCGGGAGGCGGAGCTTGCAGTGAGCCCAGATCGCGCCACTGCACTCCAGCCTGGGCGACAAAGCGAGACTCCAGCTCAAAAATAATAATAATAAGTAAAAATAAACAAACAAACAAACAAATAAATAAATAAAGAGGAAACAGTCTCAGAGAAGGTAAATTTGTTGTCATGATCACAAGACAAGTAAATTGCATCATCAAGCCAGGATCTTCGGATCACTGGCGTAGCTCTCTTTCCAGTGCATCACAGATGTCCCTCATCCCTGGCTTCCACTATTCCCATCACTCTCACTAACAAATCTACAAGGTACCAGCATGAAGCAGTCCCAGGTGCAAGAATTTATGGCGCCCTGCACTTCCCCTGAGAGGCAAAGGAAGGCCCTAGGACTGGAAGACACGCATCTCTCCAATCCACATGGTTGGGTGGATTTTATGTACCATACTGAAAGGAAGCCACCTAGCATCTTTAAAGAGAGGGAGGGGGCTAGGGACACTGAGTAGAGTCATTGAGCCTCAGGTTGCTAGGACGAAAATACTGAACCAACCATTTCCCAGTAAAGAAGGAGTGGGAGCAGGGTCATAGGAATGGGAATGGAGTCACGGCATCTTAAGGACAAGGGAATGGGTATTCATCTTCAGGTGCTCACACTAGTGGTCCAGGAGTTGACTGCATAGGCCACAGCCTCCTTCTGGTTGAGTGTCTTTATTTCTTGCAGCTTTTCCCTAAACTTCTGGGCTTCGCCCTCCTCGTTGGCAAAGCTTCGAACTGTAGGCATGGCCGACAGAGCCTCAATGGCCACCTGGCTGGACTTTGCCAGAGATTCCCGCACCTGCACTTCCAGCAACTGTGGATACATGGACAAGAGATGTCACACGGGTTGGCAAACCATCAGGGACACTAATACCTGAGTTACCTATTTGGAAATTAAAGGTGAGAAGAGACAGAGGAAAAGGAGAAAAGAGAAAGAGACACAGCTATGCCCCTTGGATGCTAAAGAAATACGAGGAAGAGGAAAATGACTCAGAACGGGTTGGGGATCAAATTCTTAAAGACAGATTGTGGGGAGAAGCTAGAAAAGAAGACCCAGAGAGTATGGAGGTTAATGTTGAGCAACCTGGGAACATGGACCACAGGGACAGGGTGTTCCATGAAGATGGAGAATCAGTAAGGGTGCCAGGAAAGCTGGACTGAAAGCAATGTGAGAGGAACTGAGTCTGCCAAGTCTGGGAGATGAGGGTCTGTGTAGAGCGGGCCAACTCCATGAACATACCTGGTACCATTTTCCCACCTTCTTGGGCAGAAGGAAAAGCAGAGGCAGGGTGATCAGGGTGACCATGGTGAGGGACACTGATCCCCAGAGCATGATCCCCAAGAGACATAGGCCTCGCACCAGGTACCACAGAAATAAGCTCAGATTCTCACTCAGAGAATCACTCAGGGTGGACGTGTCCTCTGTTACCCGAGACATGATGTTACCTGCAGGGTTGGGGAGAAGAGAGTGAGGTGAATCAGACAGGTTCCAAGTGATGAGACGAACTAACAATGAGCCAGGATGCCAGGGTCAGGGGTGTCAACATGGGGTTCTAAGGAGGCTGCAGGAAACAAGGTTAGGGTTCTCCAGAGGTCTGCAAATCTCAGTGCAGGGAAGATGAGTGTTAAAGAGGAAAGGCCTGACCTTCATTTTAATTATAAAGTCATTAATGCACATGTGAATTTCCATTTTCCTGAAAGCTTTCTGTTCCCTAGAGAACCTGTATGTCCCATGCTATACACACAGGCAGGAAGAGCTTAAACTGGTCACATAACAGAGATGGAGGAGGAGGGTGCTGCTAGGAAGCATGCCAAAGTCTGTGGAGCACTCACTGGGACTAGGGTTCTAACCCCAGGTCTATCTCTAGCCATATGTAACTGTACAGCTTCTAGTGCTGCTAGAAAGCATGCCGAAGTCTGTGGAGCACTCAAGAGACCAGGGTTCTAACCCCAAGTGTGTCTCTAGCCATATGTAACTGTGCAGTTTCAGCATTTAGGGTCTTGGCCTCAGTTTCCTTCTCTGTCAGATGAGGCAGTTGGTCTCTATGAGCTCAAAATTTCCAGGTTTGAAATTCTATGGTTTCTATCTAAGGATACATAGGAATAGATTTATAAGAAAATGCTAGATGAAAACTCTAGGTTTTTCTTAAGGTAAGGAGGACAATATTTTGCTCCTGAGGTATATCAAGAATGAGAAAAACAATTGTGTGTGTGTGTGTGTGAGAGAGAGAGAGAGAGAGACAGAGACAGAGAGAGAGAGACAGGGAGAGGGTATATCAAGAATGAGAAGGAACAATGTGTGTATGTGTGTGTGAGAGAGAGAGAGCGGGGAGGGGGGAGATCAAAGCAGATGTATGAGGATATGAACAGTACATGGCGTATAATGAAAGAGTTTCAGGAGAAACCTGTCTGGTTCTGTTGGAAAAACTCCGTCTCCTGGCGCAGGACAGCCCCAAACACCTCTCCCTGCAAGTGGCTGTGCACGTGGCCCATGGTGTTGTTATAGATCCCGTCACCCACGAACTCCAGCACTGCACTATAAAGAACCCGGAAAAAAAGGGGATCAGGGTGTGTTCAGGGAACAGACTGAAGGTCCCAGGTATCCCCATATAAGTGCATTTCGGACAGCAGCCCCAACTTCCAACTCCCTCATTTGCAGGGTGCCCCATTTTCAGCCCCCAGACCTGGCTATGGTGAGAATGGACATGAGAGTTAAGTTTCGAGTGAAGGTATCGGCTGAGCCATCTTGTAGAATCCAGTCAGTGAGGCGGCCCGTAAAGAATGGAATGGCCATCTCCCCTGGAGAAAGAGAAGAGAGGTCACGCACAAATATTAAGTCTAAGTAGGTCAGTTCCAGTCAGACTGGCCCCACCACGCCTCCTCCCCCTCACCATTATCCTGGAGGGCATCAGCAGAAAGGAAACACTGACGTCTCAATCCCGAACCTAAATAGGCTGCCCTGGAACTCACTACCCTGTGGTTGCTCTACCAGAACTTTCAGGATTTTATTAGGAAGGCTGGAGATCATGAAGTAGAAAAGCCTCCTGTTAGAGATGAGGATGCCCCGCCCTTCGGCCCCAGAGCAAAGGATTTCCCCGCTTCCGGCGTGGCCCAAAGAATCAAGACCCGGTCAGCAATGGAGCCCAGAACCTCTGGCCCCCGCCAGTCCAGTGCCGTTTCTTCTACACCGAAGTGGTGTTCCAAGACCCACGCTAGGAGTCCTTCTCCTGCTCCACATTTCCCAGAACCCACGCTACTCTACCTTACTGACAATTACCTTTGATTCCTGTCCCAGTCCCCTTGTGTCCTCCCCTCTTGCCCTGCGTTCCCCTTACCAAGAGAGGAGAGGACCACCAGGACCAGGAACAGCGAGAGGCGGCGCGTCTCCGAGCCCAGGCAGCCTAGAAGCCGACGCACAGGGTTTCCAGAGCCGCCCTGACCGCCGGGCACCCAGAGGCTCCCGAGTTTGTGCCACAGGGCTGCTGCGGGCAGTGCCGCTGCATAACTGACAACGAAGGCGGTAGGGTGACTTCCCCAGTGCAGTAGCCTGGTGCTATCCGCGGACCCGGGGGCTCCCCATGAGATCAGCTCTCGGAACAAGGCAAGTCCCGGCAGGGCCAAGCCCAGTGCCGCAGCTAATGGCTTCAAAGCAGCCAGCCAGCCCTGGGCACCTGCGTTTTCGCTCTTGGAGCCAACCGTTGCCCTGAGGACCCCGCAGGCCCCCAGCCAGAGCACGGCCCAGCGGCTCAGGCCCACCGCCCAGACCCGGAGCAGTGGCAGCGCGGTGGGCACCAGCAGGGAGAATATGCGGGGCAGCGCGGTCCGGAGCAGCACCCAGTCGGCGAGAAGTAGCAGTACTGTCCCCAGCCATGCGAGAGAAGCTCCGGGGAGGCAGCGGCACCCGCGGGGAGCGGGACACCTAGAGCTAGCCATTGGCACTCGGACGCCGTCCCGGTCCCGGCCGGGCCTGGGACTCTCCGCGCCCCGGTGGGGCCTGAAGCTCCGGGTACCGCCGAGTCCTCCCCTACTGGCGGCTGGGGGAGGGAACGAGGGCGGGGCTCTCGGAAAGTCCCAGGAACAGGCTGATCCTGCGCTGGCGAGAAGCTCAGCCATTTAGGGGAAAGCGAAATCGAAAGCGGCCGCCTGCTCACTAGATAACGCCTACTTCCAAAAGTGGCCTGCCCAGACTATTTTGGTAGCAAGCGTGGAAATCAGATCTGAGAATCTCGGGAGCAGCCCTGGTGCCCAATTTTCTCCATCACGCACACCCTTCTCGCCTCTCCCTGCCTCCTGCCTTTCCACTTGCACCAGTTTTCCCACCCCAGCCTCAGGGCGGGGCTGCCTCGTCACTTGTCTCGGGGCAGATCTGCCCTACACACGTTAGCGCCGCGCGCAAAGCAGCCCCGCAGCACCCAGGCGCCTCCTGGCGGCGCCGCGAAGGGGCGGGGCTGTCGGCTGCGCGTTGTGCGCTGTCCCAGGTTGGAAACCAGTGCCCCAGGCGGCGAGGAGAGCGGTGCCTTGCAGGGATGCTGCGGGCGGGAGCACCAACCGGGGACTTACCCCGGGCGGGAGAAGTCCACACCGGGGTAATGGGTCTGGGCTTGAGGGTTGGCAGAGGGGTGGAGGAGATGCAGCGGCCAGGGGACCCTGGAAGCGCGCGCGGAGAAGTGAATGCAGAGACCAACGGGAGCGCAGGGAGGTCGCCTGTAGCAGCCAGCGCTTGCAACCCGCAATGAGCATAGAGTATTTCTTTTCTGAGGGGGGTCGTCTAGAGTGTCCGTGAAGGGAACAGGCACGCGAGGCTGGTGGAAAAAGCGGGTGCTTTGACTCTTAGCTGGAAGCGTCAACGGGAAGCTACTCTAAAGCGCTTTCGCTTTCACTCTGGTCCCGGACAGTGGGGGCTGGTTAAATCAAGAAAGGGGGTTGGGGATGGTGCAAAGAGATGAGGAAATGGTGCCCTGGGTGAAGTAGAACAGCACTTGGGAGAAGGAAATATAGGCACTTATTGAGAAGGACCAACTCATCACACAGACTTTTGATAAACTTGCCACTGGGCAACTCTTAGCCCAAGCACTGATAATGGGCGTTCTGTGTTAACTAGTGATGCCCTTCCCTAGCTTGACCCAGGAAGGCCTCTCCTTGGCCCAGATGCTGCCTTACTCCCTTCCCTGTGTCTTCCCTGCCCACTCCCATGTGCCCACTGGGGGGACTTTGCTTAGGATGGGCGCCTGGGGCAGATGGCAGCCCCAAGACTGGCTGGCTGGCTTCTGCTCTGGACTACTGCCACCACTCGTGGCTTGGGGGCGGCTTTGTTAGAGAGGAATAGCCTCTAACTTGAAGTTAACCCTGTTCTTTGACCCTCTATTCATGATAAGTCGGTCCGTCGGAAAGCATACTCAGAGGAGCGTCCTTTGGGGCCAGAGTAACTTACGGCCTGGTAAGAAAGACACAGTGAAACCACTTATAATTTGGGAAATCTCCCCTCACTGCCAAATGAGCAGTGGCAAGTAGGAAGTAGAAGTGGAAACAAGGGATAAGAGTTAGACCTGAATTTTAGTCCCAGGTCTACTATTAACTCTGTGTGACTTTGCATAAGTCGTTTGCATTTTCTGTGACTTGGTTTCCTCATTTGAACCGAGGATCTTTAAGGCTCCTTCCAACTCAATAGTAGAATAAATGTAGCTTTATCTTCCCTCACTTCTTCTTGATTCTTTTCTTGACCTGGAAAAGTCAGCTTAAACTTCTCAGTCAAATTATCTCTTGGTACAAATTTACCTCCCTGGCTGCTGAGATATGTATTTACCTCTTGATCGGAAATTCCATAACTGAAACTTTTATTTTCAACCATCTGTATGTGTTCCTTGCTGCTTCTCTCCTGCCTTGCCCCTGGCCATGCTAACCACTGCCCTCCTCGATTTTTTCCAATGTTCAGTAAATTGGAAGAGCTCACTTCTGATGAAATGGGGGGTGAGAGTGGAGGATTGTGGACCAAAAAAAAAAAAATAGACTGACCTTGTTTCCCAAGATCATAGTCAATTACTCTGTGTTGGGTCTACACCACATCTGCACATACTATGAGCCCTTCCGTTGGAGATAATTTTCACTTGCGGAGCTGCTTCACTTCTACCTGTAGGAGCCTCATCTCCACCTCTCTACAGTGGAGAGGATTCCACTAGGCAAGTTGGAACTTAGGGACACAGTTCTTTCTGTGTTGTATCACAGCTGGGCTGTGGCATTCCCCTGCAGCCGGATGAAGCAATAGAGAAAGTGGAAAGATGAAGGGAAAAAAAGCCTGTACTGACAGTCAGCTCTGGCCTGTTACTGTGTAATCTTTGAGCCAGTCACTTCGCCTCTCTGGGAATGTTTCTTCTTCTCTAACATGAGGGCATCAAGGCTGTTCTTGCCCTGACATTCCATATTCTGTGTCTCTGCAGACCACCATCATGGCAGTGGAGTTTGACGGGGGCGTTGTGATGGGTTCTGATTCCCGAGTGTCTGCAGGGTGAGTAAAAGTGAAGATGTATGCATTTGGAAAGAAGCTAATGGCCTCAAATACACACTTTCCTTACCCATTCATGAAAAGACTGGCAAACTGGAGCCTTGGAGGAATGGAGTTGACCTTCCCCAAAAGCCACTATGATAAGCTATTTGGTGGGTGCTTGGGTCTCTGAATTTGTGGAGGAGGATCTGGGGTCTGAATGTGTATGTGACCTGTCCCAGTAGTGTACAGGGATGAGTAAAGGAATAGGGTCTGAGAGGGGGACAGGAGATAGATTTTTGAGGGTCTTCTTTCCATCTGTGCTTAGGGATCAAAAAGATGATTCTGTCAAGCAGATACCTGGTTTCTCATTTACCATATATTGAACTATTTTGTCTCTTCTCCCACTCCTAACCAATTTCCTCACATGCAAAATGAGTATATGGGGTTAGGTCAATATTACTGACATTATGTTCCATAGAACATAACTCTCTCAAGATTGTTAATAGCAAAGAAAATTGATGAGGCATATTTTTCTTACCTTAGCATTTTTTGCTTTGTTATAAAATCTAAGCCTGAAAAATAAGCCTAATTTTGATTAACATCTGCAGTGATTAATAATATCTGAGATGATTATTTGCCTCCTGCTTTAATCCAAGCATTAAACTTCATGCTATTCTCTTGTCAAAGAAATTTGAGAGACATTGAATGATCACCCTCAAAAATTCCTGAGTTCTGGTTGGGTGCAGTGGCTCACATCTATAATCTCAGCACTTTGGGATGCCGAGGTGGGCAGATATTTGAGGTCAGGAGTTTGAGACCAGCCTGGCCAACATGTTGGGACCTTGTCTCTACTGAAAATACAAACATTAGCTGGGCTTGGTGGTGGGTGCCTGTAATCCCAGCTATTCGGGAGGCTGAGGCAGGAGAATCACTTGAACCAGGGAGGCGAAGTTTGCAGTGAGCCCAAGATTGATCCACTGCACTCCAGCCTGGGTGACAGAGTGAGACTGTCTCAAAAAAAAAAAAAAAAAAAAAAAACCTGAGTTTTAACTTGGTGACTGTTGACTCCCTCCTGACAGCGAGGCGGTGGTGAACCGAGTGTTTGACAAGCTGTCCCCGCTGCACGAGCGCATCTACTGTGCACTCTCTGGTTCAGCTGCTGATGCCCAAGCCGTGGCCGACATGGCCGCCTACCAGCTGGAGCTCCATGGGTATGAAGCTCTGGAGTTCTGACTCCCCACCCACTAGAGCTCCCCCAACCTGCATGAATCCCTGTACAGTGTGCTGTTCCAGGAGCTGGACACTGGGAAATGGAAAAGTCTTGTTTCGGCTCTTGCTGGCACTTGAATCTGTCAGTTTCTGCATCTGTAAAGTGGAGATAATATAGTACCTCATGAGACGGTTATTTTGAGAACCACATTCTATATGTGAACACAGTTTAAAAGCTGTAAATCACTATCCTGATATAAATAATCAGGAAGAAGGTGATATTGTGACCCACCATAATATCAGGCAGTTACCATACGAGAAATCAAGGTCGTTGGGACGGAAGTAACCTTATCTGCTTTTCCCCATAAGAGCAGGGTCCTTGCAGCCAAAAGAAAGTTATGTGGGTGGGGCTGAGCAAAAGAGTGAGCAATTGAAAGCTTCTTACCAGTTGGTGGTGTGGGACTCTGGTTCCCCTGTACATGTGGGAGGGAGGCTGCAGTTTGAGCTATTGCAGTTACAGTTTTCAGGGGTCGTTTAGCAGGGATGATGGTAACAGTATAGGAGAATGAGACTTAAAATTCTATCAACCTTTATTCCTAATATTTCCCTCAGGATAGAACTGGAGGAACCTCCACTTGTTTTGGCTGCTGCAAATGTGGTGAGAAATATCAGCTATAAATATCGAGAGGACTTGTCTGCACATCTCATGGTAGCTGGCTGGGACCAACGTGAAGGAGGTCAGGTGAGTTTCTCCCAAAGCACTCTCTCCTCTGGGCTTCCCCACTCTCCTGCAGAGGAAGATGGAAGTCCTATGTCATTCTAGCAATGAGTTCCAAGGACACTACCTCTGAAAGCATAGTACTTTGGGGATATGAGATACCAGGGCTTCATTGCAGGGTGCAGAGACCACTTAATGTCTCAGTGGGAAGGAAGGGCTTGATGATTCTTTAACCTGAGGATCCCTTTCCCAGGTATATGGAACCCTGGGAGGAATGCTGACTCGACAGCCTTTTGCCATTGGTGGCTCCGGCAGCACCTTTATCTATGGTTATGTGGATGCAGCATATAAGCCAGGCATGTCTCCCGAGGAGTGCAGGCGCTTCACCACAGACGGTAACCAGCCAAGTGGAAGGGTACCTGGGGAGGGCTTTGAAACATGGGAAGGAAGTAGATTATGAGGAACAGGAAGAGAAATACAGGGGTGGCCATTTAAGTTAATGCCGGGCCTGGTACACTTTTAAGAGTGAAAAGGGGCAGGACAAATGCAAAGCTCAATGGGGTTCTTGGGCAATACGGATAAACCAGGGCTGTTCTGAGTAAATCAAATGAGGATACACAGTCACTGTGAGAACCAGTGGTGTGCTAAGCACAGTGGCTCACACCTGTAATGCCAACAATTTGGGAGGCTGAGGCAGGAGGATTACTTGAGCCCAGGAGTTTGAGGCCAGCCTAGGCAAGATGGTGAAACCCTGTCTCCACAAAAAACAATAAAAAAAAGTAAAAAAAAAAATGAACTGGGCATAGTGGTGCACACCTGTAGTCCCAGCTACTCAGGAGGCTGAGGTGGAAAGATCATCTGAGCCGGGGAGATCAAGGCTGTAGTGAGCGGTGATTGCACCACTGCGCTGCAGCCTAGGTGACAGAGAGAGACCCTGTCTGGAGAAAAAAAAAAAAAAAAAGAACCAGTGGTGTGCTGAGGTGTGCTGAGGCTGGCTTGGGACCACTCATGAGAGCGGACTGTTAAATAGTCAAGGATTTGTGAACTGCTTAGCTATTTGTAACTTGCAATTCATCATAGCGGGAGCATTTACACCACGGACATCAGCAGATGCCACATATGGAAGCCTTTTTGTAAAAAAACTGATTTACCAGCACACCACTAAATATGCCTTCCTGGAAGATGAGTTTTGAGGTGAAAGTGGTAGTAGGCATATGGATGGAGGGGGAGTAAAAAGATTTTTGAAGCTAAGCCATCCTCTCTCTCCCTCTCTCCAACTTGAAACCCTCTGCAGCTATTGCTCTGGCCATGAGCCGGGATGGCTCAAGCGGGGGTGTCATCTACCTGGTCACTATTACAGCTGCCGGTGTGGACCATCGAGTCATCTTGGGCAATGAACTGCCAAAATTCTATGATGAGTGAACCTTCCCCAGACTTCTCTTTCTTATTTTGTAATAAACTCTCTAGGGCCAAAACCTGGTATGGTCATTGGGAAATGAGTGCTCAGGGAGATGGAGCTTAGGGGAGGTGGGTGCTTCCCTCCTAGATGTCAGCATACACTCTTTCTTCTTTTGTCCCAGGTCTAAAACATCTTTCCTAGAGAAAACAAAAGGGACTAAACTAGAAATATAAAGAGCCCTATACATGACAGGTGATCACGTACTGAATGATTTTGAAGTAGTACAAACAATAAAAATTCTCATTCCGCATCATCATGCGGTCCATGATGATGAGGCCGCAAGTGAGGTGATGGGACTCTTTCCTTTAAGGCTAAGACTGACAGATAGGCAAGACACCTACACACATGAGAATTAGCTAAGACTATCAGCAAACTCGCATGTAAAAGAATTCCTTTCATAATGCATTCATTCATATTAAAGGGCAATACATGAAAAATGCTTAAATATTTTGGGGCACTTGTGAATTTCAAAGAATAATGACAATAACCAAAAGAAGCTACATTTGTGGCATTGGCTAAATGTTTTATAAATTTTATCTCTTAAAATTCAAACCAAAAAACCCCCTGTATTCACACCTGTAATCCCAGCACTTTGGGAGGTCAAGGCGGGAGGATTGCTTGAGCCCAGGAGTTAGTGACCAGCCTGGGCAACATAGTGAGAACCCCATCTCTACAAAAAAATTTAAAAATTAGTCGGGTGCGGTGGTGCATGCCTGTAGTCCCAGCTGCCTGGGAGGCTGAGTGGGAGGATCGCTTAGGCCTGGGAGTTTGAGGCTACAGTGAGCTGTGATTGCGCCACTGCACTCTAGCGTGGGTGACAGAGAAAGACCCTATCTTAAGAAAAAAAAAAGAAAAGAAAAAGAAAAAACAAACAAAAAAAACACCCAACCCTATATAGGTATTATTATTACTTCTATAGGACACATAGAGGTTTGGAAAGATTAAATCACTTGACCAAGGTCACAAAATAAGTTCTGAGGCTGGGATCTGGGATTCAGTCTTATTATATGCCCTTCCTCTACCACTCCCTAAAACTTCTCATTCCCTCAATCCCCATATATCATCTTAAAATCTGCAATAAATAGCCCCATA
Source organism: Homo sapiens (assembly GCF_000001405.40). Taxonomy (NCBI): domain Eukaryota; kingdom Metazoa; phylum Chordata; class Mammalia; order Primates; family Hominidae; genus Homo; species Homo sapiens. Next base: position 4,054,951 of record NT_167248.2, read on the forward strand.
CATTCGTTGGCACTTAGGAAACTGTTACCAGATGGCTGAGTAACTGTATTAAAACAAATTTAATTCTGCTTCTATCTTTGCCTTGCACTTCCTGAGTGACAGGAGTGAACTCTCATATCCTTTTCTGTCAAAAGATGGTGCTGAATGATTTCTAAGGTAGTTTACAGTTCCAACATTCAATGCCATTTTGCTAACAAGTGGGCAGTCAACAGGCATATTCAACAGAAATACTAGTAGGATCTCAGGCTAAACATACGAATTCAAAACTCTAAAACAATCACATCCCCCTGGAGTGTAAAGAAAAAAATCTAAAATTACAAATGCCTGGAGTTGTTTCTAGCCATGATATTTAACTTATTTGAGATTTTAAATAGCCCATTTTTCCCACTGATCACAAGTAGAAATTCTGGGCAGTATACAAAAAGCAAGTACTCAAGGACTCCAAAAAGTAAACAAAAGCAGGTGGATTGTGAAGAGGGTCAAAACTGGGAGAGGGGCCCCTCCTGGGGAGTGGGTTTTCAATGTTTTCCCCTTTTTTCCTCCCAGCTCTGCCCTGACGTCAGGCCTCAGGTGCAGAGCTGCACTGCGTGGTAGCACAAGCCCTGAGTTAACAAGAGAAATACCGGCTTTCTGGCCAGAGGAATGAAGAAAAAGGGCCCCTGCGGGCAGGAATGTGTAGGGGAATCTCCAAACTGAGAGTACAGGCGGAAATTCCCTAATTCTGAGTCTGAACCCTCAGGAGTACCAGGTTACCCCTGAGCTGCACATGCGTGTGACATGCCTTAAGGGCACAGCAAAGACTTTGAGAACTGAATGAAGATTAGATCTTTTAAAATTGGAAGACTTCGGCCAGGCGCGGTGGCTCGTGCCTGTAATTCCAGCACTTTGGGAGGCCAAGGCGGGTGGTTCACCTGAGGTCAGGAGTTCGTGACCAGTCTGGCCAACATGGTGAAACCTCATCTCTACTTAAAATACAAAAATTAGCTGGGCATGGTGCCTGTAATCCCAGCTACTCGGGAGGCTGAGGCAGGGAGAATCGCTTGAACCCGGGAGGCAAAGGTGGCAGTGAGCCAAGATTGCGCCATTGCACTCCACCTGGACGACAAGAGAGAAATTCCATCTCAAAAAAAAAAAAAAAAAAAAAATTAGAAGACTTCATTTTTCTGTATTGGCCAAATAACTGTTCTAATGCCCTTCATTCCAATAAAAGGTTTGTAGCAGCTTACAGAGATAATTTAAAACAATTTTTAAAAGAAGAAAACAACACTGGGTCAGAGAGAAAATATGGTTAAGAAAAGTAAGTGAAGCCAAGGAGTGAAACTAATGGAAACTAATGGACAACGTGAATATCTTAAAAAAAAAAAAAAGTGGTGCGCTGTCTTATACTGGCTAGCAAGAGCAGATTGCAAAGTATTCAGGATTTTTGAAGACAGTTGTTAACTATTGGTAACTTGATATTGACCACTATGGAAGTATTTATACTATAGAAATCAGCAATGCTACAAGTCAGAAGCATTGTTTTTCTTCAGAGAGCCGGTTTAACAGGACACATATTTATCAGCCAACTATAAATGGATAAAAAATAATTGGCTCCAGGCCATAGGATAGTGAAAGCAAAGAAGGAAATAAAATGAGGTACAAGATTCATAAAATTCATTTTTTAAAAGTTGCCAGAAAACCAAAAATTATATATAATAGTTCAAGCCACACAGAACATTTACTCAAATAGGACATGCATCATTCCATAAAGGTAACGCCAATAAATTCCAGAGTATCGGTATCTTAGAAACTATCTATATTCTAGGCCAGGAGCAGTGGCTCATGCCTGTAATCCCAACATTTTGGGAGGTCAAGGTGGGCAGATCCCTAGAGCCCAGGAGTTTGAGACCAGCCTGGGCAACATGGCAAAACCCCGTCTCTACAAAAAATTTAGCTGGATGGGGTGCACCTGTAATCCCAACTAGTCAGAAGGCTAGACGGGAGGATCGCTTGAACCCAGGAGGCAGAGGTTGCAGTGAGCTGAGATTGTGCCACTGCCCTCCAGCCTGGGCAACAGAGTAAGACACTGTCTTAAAAAAAAAAAAAAAAAAAGAAAAAGAAAGAAAGAAACTATATTCTGCAACCATACTGTAATAAAATTAGAACTTGATAACTAAAATATACTTAAAATTGTAAGTGAACAAATATATTTATCAGTAACATGGATTTAAAAGGCAGTCGTGGATGGGAGCATCGCTGGAGTCCAGAAGATGGAGGCTGCAGTGAGGCATGATTGCGTCACTGCACTCCAGCCTCAGCAATAGAGTGGGACCCTGTGTCAAATAAATAAACAGCAGTTATAAAGAAAATTAACTCTTTTAGAACCAGGTGTTAAAAATGTTACACATAAAATATACATATAAAATAATATTATAATTTCAAATACATTTATTAGAACAAGAAAAGTTAAAATAAAGGACCTAGAAATTCTACTCAAAAATTTGGAAAAAGAGAAGTTGAGCAAACCTAAAGAAATACGAAGAAAAGGAGTTATAAAGATAAGAATAGAAAGCAATGAAACAGAAATAGAGAACAAAAAACTAGGTAGTGAAAATTAACATACTTTTGATTCCAAAAGCTGCTTACTTAAAAATATTTGTAAGATATTCAGAGTTACAACAAGGCCGATTATGGATAAAGGGAGAAAAAATGAATAAACAAATACATAATGAAAAAGGGGGAACAGCTACAGATATGACACAGATATAAAGCATAGAGTGTTATGAACAAGTATATGCTAATAAATTTGAAAACCTAGGTGAGATAAGCAAATTCCTAGAAACATTTAATCTATCAAAATTAGCACAAAAAGAAATACAAAACTTGACTATACCAATGAGTATTAAAGCAATTTTTAAAGTTATCAATGGCATCTAATAAAAAAATATATTTTTGAAAATGCCCAGATGGTTTCACAGATGAGTTCTATCAAACATTCAAGGAACATGAAACTTCTATATTATATACTTTTTCCAGAAAACAGAAAAAAACTAAACCTGATTAGCTAATTTTATCAGCCGAGTGTAATCTTGACTCCAAATTGAGTTGTGGAAAACTCAAGGAAAAAAAAATAATAGACCCATTTCACCTTGAACACAGATGGGAGAAAAAAATAATTATTTATGAACCGAATTCAACAATATTACAAATAATAATACTGGGAGGCCGAGGTGGGAGGATCGCCTGAGGCCAGGAGTTCAAGACCAGCATTGTCAACATACTGAGATCCTGTGAGATCCTGTCTCTACAAAAAATTAAAAAATTAGCCAGGTGTGATGGTGAGCACCTGTAGTCTCAGCTACTAGGGAGGCTGAGGCAGGAAGATCATTTGAGCCCAGGAGTTTGAGGCTGCAGTAAGCTATGATTGCACCACTGCATTTCGGCCTGTGCAACAGAGCAAGGCCCTGTCTCTAAAAATATGTATAATAATAACAATAATAATAATGATTATGCTAATAATGATACATCAAGATCAAATAGGGAATCCTTGGAATACTAGGGTGGTTCAATATAATAAAACATATTGTTGCTATAATTTACCATATTCATAGAAAAGTCATTTCCTTTGCTCAGTCTATTAATAAAAGACATTTGGTAAAGTATATCCATTTGTGATTTTTGAAAAACAGTTAAGGAAGCAGGAATCAAAACTTTCCTATTTTGGCAAAGGTTATAATCCAAAAAATCTGTAACCACTAGTATACATAACGGAAAAACCTTGGGTATCCAAGACAAGAATGTTCACTATAATTACTAGCTTATCATAGCACTAAAAACTATGGGCAACATAACAAGACCCCATTTACCAAAAATAAATTTAAAACATTTTAATTAGCTGGCATGGTGGCATGCACCTGTAGTCCTACCTACTTGGGAGGCCAAGGCAGGAAGATTGCTTGAGCCCAGGAGTTTGAGCTTACTGTGAGCTGTGATCACACCACTGCACTCCAGCCTGGGTGACAAAGGAAGACCGTATTTCTAAAAAATAAAAAATACAAATACAACTACAAACTAGCACTAGACCAACAGTGACTATGTACCATGAACTGAGGAATATTATTAATTCCACCATTTGCATCTGAGGTTAACAATATGTCAATGACTTAAATAACATCATATCTCTGAGAGTAATTTCTCCTATATTTCCATGACAAATGTTAGATAATTTTCCATTTTTTCCATTCAATAAAATAAACAGGAAATATAATTAAAGAGTTCAATTGAGGATTGGGATTTAGAAAGGAAGGCAGGAATTAAGAATAATCCTTAGTTCTCTTCCTAATTTGCACCTCTCTCACTGATACATATGTATTATTTTCTTTTTATGTCTTTTAGAATCTAATAAACATGTTTTATATTATATAACAAACTAGAATATATGGATTATCTTTGGTCTTCCTTACCAAGTTCTTAACTCTGCTGGCTCTGGGGCACTGGACATACCATGTAAGAAGAAAAATGTTTTAACTCCATTGAACTTATTCAGAAGCATCGGAAATTGGTTCAGCAATATTCAACTTTGCCCAGCAATGTTTATGAAAGTTTCATATATAGTATAGTATAAGTATGTGTAATACAGAATTTATGTTCTCAAAAATGAAGAGATAAAGTATGGAGATTCTAAACTCTGTTGACATAGAAGAGGGTGGATTTCTCGAAGAAACAGCCTTCTATAGAAAGTGGCTTGTATGAGTCGGGATTCTCCAGAGAAGCAGAACCAATAGGATGTTGGCAGAGAGAGATTTATTTTAAGTAATTGGCTCATACTACTGTGGGAGCTGGCACGGTCGAAATCTGCAGGTAGGCTGGAGACCCAGGAAGAGCTGATGTTGCGGCTTGAGTCTGAAGGTGGTCCAGAGGCAGAATTCCCTCTTCCTTGGAGGACCTCAGTCTTTGCCCCTAAGACCTTCAACTGATTGGAAGGGCCACTTACATTATGGAGGGTAATCTGCTTTACCCAAAATCTATTGATTTAAATGTAAATCTCATCTAAAAAATACCTTCACTGCAATATCTAGACTGGTATTCAAATGTCTAGAAACCATAGCCTAGCCAAGTTAACACATAAAATTAACTATCACTTGGCTCAAGGTGAAACTTCCAGATCAATGTGGCAGGAGTGTTGAGGAAGGAAGTGAACTCGGTTCTAACCAAGTAGGACAGCCGAATCATCACTGAAGTGTGGCACTGGCCTTTCGCCAAGGTAACATGTGGCAAGGTTTTAGGTTAGGATAGGTACCAGGCAAAAGCTGGGTGACTCGATGGAGGCTTTTGTGCCAACCTTCAGAGACTGGCTGCGTCAGACTGCCCTCAAGAGCATACAAAGGAAAAAAAGACAAATTAAAAGCCTTTAATCCAAACTCAAGACATGAATGAAAAACTGTAAATGCCTCTATAGCAGTTTTAAAGGCTATCTTTTCTCCTGCAACCCAGCACAGATATGGCTGAGGGTCAAGCCCGGGGGCTTATGATAAAGGTTATGAAGTTGTAGAAATGTTTGTTGCATCATCCAACAGCAGCTGTTGTGATAAGGCAAGACCCCTGGTTGGGATAGACCGGACCCTGAGATATGAAATAGGGACATATGAGCAGACACAGAGAAGTCTGAGTGAGAACTATGAATCACCGCACCCCCTGAGGGTCCTTGCTGGAAGAAGCAGACTCACCGTATTAGTTACCTATTGCCATGTAATGAATGACACCCGCTTAAAATAACAGACATTTACTATAAGGTGTTACTGGGACAATAGGGGATTTTTTAATATGGATTGTGTGTTTGATAATATGGTATCAATTTTAAGTATCTTGGGGGTGATGACAGTATTAGGGTTTTGCAGGAGAAATGTCCTTATTCTTAAATTATACATGACAAAATATTTAGGGGTCAAGTGGCATAATTTCCACAGATTACTCTCAAATTGTTTAACAAAATGGTTCTTCAACAGTAAATGGATAAACAAAACGTAGTCTATTCGTGCAACACAGTACTATGTAAACAATGAAACTTCATCAACTACTGAAAATGTAACAACATGGACGAATCTCATAGAAACAATATTAAGTGAAGAAGCCAGACTTGCAGAAATACATACTGTATGTTTCCATTATCTATTGCTGGGCAGCACACCAACTCCAAACTTAATGGCTTAAAACAAAAATAATCATTTTATTATCTCTCATGAATCTGTGAATTACTGGACTTTAAGAGCCACTGATGTAGTCCATGAACCAAAACACATATTCACGGCAGCCACTCCACCCAGCACCTCACACCTGTGATGTTTACTGGCTGCCCATGGGATTTGAACACCTTTAGAGTACTGTGAAATTTCCCCTACCTTTTGAGTCCTGCCTCCCTAAAGTGGAAACCAGAAAGCTCACTTCCCCTAGCCTTCTTTGAAGCTAGAGCACCTAAGTTCCACCAATTAAATTCATCCACCTAAGACTTCAGTTACAAAGGGGCCACAGGAGGAACCAGGGTGTGGGGGTTGCAGAGCACCTTTTACTGTATTTATTTCTCTGGCAAAGGTGACAGAAGAAGCAACTGTCTTTTGGGGAAGCGGTGGGTTTTTTCCTTTTTTTTTTTTTTTTTTAAGTGAAGTTCCTGAAACAGAAGTGGTTTAGGAGGTGTCTTCAGTGGTGGCTGCAGCAACCTCCAGGTCCTAACAACAGAACCAACAGCAGCGTCTAGAAGCCATGGGGCAGCAGCAGTGGTGTGGCTCATCAGACCTGCTCTCTGCGTGGTCTGACCCTGTACATACATGTGCCTCTCATCCGTAGTTCCAGCATTTCCTCTCTAAAGTCTAGTTCTGAGAGAAATTTCTTTGGTAGACTTTTCAAAGTTTTATCAAACTCAAAGAGGGAACCAGCAAGAATACAAGAGCCTTGATCCAAAGAGTATTTGAAAAACAGAGCTGTATCTCTCTGTGAGGAAATAATTTCTAGGCTAGAGATTCAAAATGGCTAACGTGCTAGAGGGCAATAAAATCATAACCTTGGTGTTATCTTCTTTACCGGAGAAAAAGAGAAAGCCAGCATCCCTTATCAGCTCTCTGCTGATTAACCTCTAATCGCACAGGGCTGGCCGGGTTCGTCTTAGGCAAATTACAATCCCTGAAACACTCTGGTTTTGATCAGGCAGAATTATGAGCAAAGGTTCAAGTGTGATATAAAATAATCAAGCACGTACAATTTTGCCTTATTTATAATTTTGAAACACTTTTCCTACACAATTTCTGACCTTAAGGGGCAGAATTAACCAAATAAAACTTTTCAGAAATGCTCTAATTCAGTTCCACTCATTTTATCGTCTCTATTTGGCCTGTTTTAGGGCTAAACCCAGAAGCAAAATCTTCTTCAAAATGAATGTATTGACAGTCACCATGCCAGACTTGGAGTACGAACAAGAGCATCCTTTTACCCTTACTGAAACCTATGTGGTCACTAAAACATATATCAATAATATTTTTAACCTGGACAAAATTAATCTAGAAAATTGAGCTACTGTTTTTTATTTGTCAGCTTTTACCACATTGTGGGTTTGAGACACAGGTAGTTCTTTTGATAGTACAGCGTTAATTTAAAATATAAAAATCATGCCAAACACATCTAATTACTTTTAGCTTCCTTCACAGTAGGCGGAGGAAGGTGAAAAATTAAGCCTTTTGCGCCACCTAGTGGCCAAATGGGTAGTGGCTGTCTAGTGAGAAAAAACAAAGATTTGGGGGCGTGAAAAATAGCTTGACAGTGTTAGTATTCTGAATTCAGGGTATGAGGTTGGAAGAAGGCAACAACAAAAAAGAATTTTCAGAGAAACTGGTCACTTAAGTGCATAGGTACCTGAGAGTGAGCAATTGTTATAACTTTGATATCTCAATAACCAGAGTGACAATAAAACATTTGAAAATAAACATAAAGAAGGTAACAATTATAAGAAACTTTAGGTGTTTCAGAAGCAAATGGTTTTTTGTTGTTGTTTGTTTTTAAAATAATTTAAAAACTTGATGCTATCAGCACAAAGCACTAAAAGTTATCAAGGTATTAAGTGAGAGCATTCTGATAAGAAACCACCGCTAGCTGGGCAGATTATGCTAAAGGGAAAGAAAAAGTTTTTTCTCTGTCTTAAGTGTAGAGTGTATATTCCAAGATCAATTTTAAATTACAAATCCTCTCCTTTTTTGCTTATTAATTCGAATTCATCATTACGTGTGTGTTTTACAGAAATACATATATAGTTGAATGACAATTTTGTTTAAAACTTTCCACTTTAGTTTTAAAACGTAGTTAATCTTATCAATACAATACATGAATGTATATCCACACTAAGTTTACCACCTTAATTTGAGTTTTGCAAAAATTAAATATGGACAAAGGTATATATATAGAAAGCCACTTAGTGACCCAATAATCTTTCTCTCTATGATACACTTAAGAATTTTTTAGACAATAAAAAGTCACTTATTAACTAGCTCAGTGAAAATTAGTCCAAAGTAACAAAATCATTTGAGGCTGCAAAACAACAATATCACTATTGATATTAGGAGTTTTTCAAAGAGGTAAAATTCTAAAATTTTTACATAGAGTGCAAGCTAAGTAGCTAAGTCAAATGACTTGCAATATTTTTCTGAAATTCACAAGAGCCAATAGTTTAAAAAAAGCATCTCATAACATTTAATTAAAAATATACATTTTCATTTAAGTTTGCTTCCCACAAACCACTGACACACTCATTGACACAGTGAATGAGTCTAGTGACAAGAAACAAATCCTTTTTGTTAGGTCACTTCTAACACTCTGCCTCCAACAAAATAAAGAGGACCTATTCAAGCTGTCAGCTATTATATCATTTAAAGTAATTTTGGGAAGGAGGCCAGGCAGGAGGATCGCTTGAGGCCAGGAGTTCAAGACCAGCCCTGGGCAACATAATGAGACCCTGTCTCTATGAATAATAATAATAAAATTAGTCAGGCATAGTTCGATGTGTCATAGTCCTAGATACTCTGAAGGCTGAGGCAGGAGGATCACTTGAGCCCAGGAGTTCGAGGTTACAGTGAGCTATGATCGCACCACTACACTCCATCTTGGGTAATGGGGCCAGCCAAACACCACAGAAAAAACTGCGACTCCACCCCCACCAGCTAAGGTCAAATGAGGAGCCTAGACTTTCACCCTCACCAGGCTGTCATAAGGAACCCAACACTTCAACACACACATGCACACACACCAGGATGGTGTCAGAGAAAGTGAATAGGGAGTCAGGATGGTCATGCCCTCTTGGTGAAAATGTACTCCTTTCCCCAAGCCCCTGAAATGTCAATGGAAACCTAGACTTCCATTCCTCACCCAACAGTAATGAAGCATCTCTTCCCCTCTCCTCTAGGGTGATGTCAGACAATGCCTAATGGAGAGTCAGGATTTTCATCACCACCCAGAGTTAATCCAGCAACCACTCCCTGATACCTACCACTCACTCCTCCACTCCACTGTCCCATCTTGGTGTCAATAAAGGTCATGTGAGGGATAGTAAGTGGCACTCCTCTCCCAACCAACCAGGGAGGTATTAGTGGGCACCTAATAGGGAGCCAGAATTTCTGTCCCCACTCAGTAATAATGGGGACCTATCTGAGGTGTCAATGAAGGCAGAGTGAGAAGCCTGGACTCCTACCCCTACCTGGCGTCATGAAGCTCACCTGCCTACCTGCTGGAGAGGTGTTAAAAGAAGCCAGCTAAAACAGTTTAAATAAGACCAATAGCCTTATAACATAATGCCTGAAATGTCCAAGTTTCAATTGGAAATTATTTGTCATATCAGGAACCAGGAATATCTCAAATTGAATTTTTAAAAGACAATAAAATAGATGCCAAAACGGAAAGAAAAGCCTGATGAAGATTTTAAAGCCACCATTATTAAAATGCTTTGATGAGCAATTAACACTTAAAAGAATGAAAAAAATAGGATGTCCAGTTCAGTGGTTTAAAAAAAGAAAGAAGAAGAAAAGAGCAGAAAAGAAAAAAATAGGATGTTTCAGCATAAAAATAGGATATATACGGAAGAAAACGTGGAAATTTTAGAACTGAAAAGTGCAATAGCCAAAATAAAAAGCCCAGTAAATAAGCTCAGCAGCAGAAGGAGAGAACAGAGGAAAGAATTAGCTACCTTGAAGACACAGCAATAGCAATCACTTAATCTGAACAAAAGAAAGAAAGAAAATACACTGGAAAAAATGGACAAAGCCTCAGGGACCCATGGGGCTATAACAAAAGATTTAATGTTCATGTACTCAGAGTCCCAAAATGAGAGGAAAAAGAGAGTGAAGCTGAAAAAAATTATCAAATAAATATGGTTGAAAACTTCCCAAATTTGGCAGAAGACATAAACCTAGTGATTTAAGAAGGTGAGTGAACCCCAAATAGGACAAACCCAAAGAAAGCCACACCAAAATCATAGTAATTAACTAAAAATTAAAGATAAAAAGAATCTTGAAAGCAGTGAGATAAATGACATCTAACAGGTGAAAAAAATGACAGAGCAAAATTTTCATCAGAAACTGTGTAAGCCCGAAGGAGGTCACCACCTTTTTCCAGTGCTGAAAGGAAAAAAAAATATCAACTTAGAACACTATATCAGCAAAAATATCCAGGGAAATTAAGACATACAGAGATGAGGGAAAACTAACAGAATTTGTCACTAACAGGTCTACCCTAAAAAAACAAAAAGTTAAATTGAGGACAGTTGGAACATCAGGAAGGAAGAAAGAACATGGCAAGAAAAAATATGGGTTAAAAAATGGACTTTACTTCTTCTCTTGAGTTATTTAAATTATAGGATTGAAGAAAAACGTATAATACTGTATCATATGGTTATAAATGTATATAGAGAAAATATTACAGGCAATTATAAATGAGGGAGGGTAAACAAAGAGAGAAGAAATTTCTACACATCACTCAGACTGGTAATTAATGACAATAAATAAGTTACATAAATATAATGTAATACCTAGAACAACCACTAAAAGAGCTATCCAAAGAGGTACACACACATACACACACACAGCTATAGATAAATTAAAATGGAATTTTAAAATTATTTAGGAAGCAATGAAAAAGAAAACAAAGAAATGAAAAACAGAGAGAACAAACAGAAAACAGAAAATAAAATGTCAGACTTAAGCCTGGACATAACAATATTATAGGAAATATAAATCGCCTAAATACATCAATTTTAAGAGACAGAGCTTGGCAGAATAGATTTAAAAATATGACTCTGTCAGGTGCGGTGGCTCACGCCTGTAATCCCAACACTTTGGGAGGCCAAGGCAGGTGGATCACAAGGTCAGGAGATGACCATCCTGGCTAACATGGTGAAACTCCATCTTTACTAAAGGTACAAAAATTAGCCAGCTGTGGTGGCACAAGCCTGTAGCCCCAGCTACTCGGGAGGCTGAAGCAGGAGAATCTCTTGAACCCGGGAGGTGGAGGTTGCAGTGAGCTGAGATCACACCACTTCACACCGCTGCACTCCAGCCTGGGCAACAGAGCGAGACTCCGTCTCAAAAAAAAAAAAAAAAAGACTCAATTATTTGCTGTTTATGATAAACTCACTTCAAATATAATGATATAGGCGGTTTATAAGTTAAAGGATAGAAAAACATATATCAGACAAAAAATAATAAAGGGAGGCTATATTAATATCAAATAAACTTAGAACAAAGAAAATTACTAGAAATGGATAGGAACACTATGTAATAATAAAAGGGTAAATCTACCAAAAAGACATAGCAATCTTAAATATGTATGCACCAAACAACAGGGCTGCAAATTATGTAAAGCAAAAACTGATAGAACTGAAAAGAAAATAGGCAAGTCAACAATGATAGTTGAAGACTTCAATAGTTTTCTCTCAACAATTGATTAAACAAATAGACAAAAATTGAGAAAAAACATAGAAGAATAAACAACATCAAACCATAAGATCTAATCAACATTTATAGAACACACCACCCAACAACAGAAGATACATTATTTTCTTTTTCGTTGCTTTTAGTAGATTCCACGAGATTTTCCTTTTTCTTTTTTCTTTTTTTTCCTTTTATTTTAAGTTCAGGGGTACATGTGCAGGTCTGTTACATAGGTAAACAGTGTCATGGAGGTTTGTTGTACAGATTATTTCATCATCCAGGAATTAAGTCTAGTACCCATTAGTTATTTTTCCTGACCCTCTGCCTCCTCCCAACCTCCACCCTCCAATAGGCCCCAGTATGTGTTTTTCCTCTTTGTGTCCATGTGTCCATCATTTAGCCCCCACTTATGAGAACATGCAGTATTTGGTTTTCTGTACCTGCAATAGTTTGCTAAGGATAATGGCCTCCAGCTCCATCCATGTCCCTGCAAAAGACGTGATCTCATTATTTTTATGGCTGCATAGTATTCCATGGCAGAATACACTTTTTTTTTTTTTTTTTTTGAGATGGAGTTTCACTCTTATTGCCCACACTGGAGTACAATGGCACAATCTCGGCTCATTGCAACCTCTGCCTCCCAGGTTCAAGCAATTCTCCTGCCTCAGCCTCCTGAGTAGCTGAGATTACAGGCACACACCACCATGCCTGGCTAATTTTTTATTTATTTATTTATTTATTTATTTATTTATTTATTTTTTGTATAGATGAGGTTTCACCATGTTGATCAGGCTGGTCTCAAACTCCTGACCTCAGGTGATCCACCCACCTCAGCCTCCCAAAGTGCTGGGATTGCAGGCATGAGCCACTGCACCCAGCCAGAATAACATTTTTTTAAGTGCCCACAGAATATATGCCAAGATAGACCATATCTAAGACAATAAAAGACCAACAAATTTTTTAAATAAAATCATAAAGAAAGTGTTCTCCTACCACAATGGAACCAAACCAGAAATCAACAACAGGAAAATATCTAAACATTTGGAGACAAAACAACACACTTAGAAATACATGGGTCAAGGAGGAAGTCTCAAGGAAATTTTTTAAAAATACACACAATAAACACAACTAAACAAAAATGAAAATATGCCATATCAGAATTTGTGGGATACAGTTATAGTAGTTATAAGAGGTAAATTTAAGTTCCAGGATACATGTACAGGATGTGCAGGTTTGTTACATAGGTAAACATGTGCCATGGTGGTTTGCTGCACATATCAACCCATCACCTAGGTATTAAGACAAGCATGCATTAGCTATTTTTCCTGATGCTCTCCCTCCCTCCAACCTCGCCCCAGACAGACCCCAGTGTGTGTTTTTCCCCTCCCTGTGTCCTTGTGTTCTCATTGTTCAGCTCCCACTTATAAGTGAGAACATGTGGTGTTTGGTTTTCTGTTCCTGCATTAGTTTGATGAGGATAATGGCTTCCAGCTTCATCCATGTCTCTGCAAATAACAGGATCTCATTCCTTTTTATGGCTGTATAGTATTCCATGGTGCATATGTACATTTTCCTTATCCAGTCTGTCATTGATGGGCAGTTGGGTTGATTCCATGTCTTTGCTATTGTGAATAGTACTGCAATGAACATACAAGTGCATGTATCTTTATAATAGAATGATTTGTATTCCTTTGGGTATATACTCAGTAATGGGATTGCTGGGTCAAATGGTATTTCTGGTTCTAGATCTTTGAGGAATTGCCACACTGTCTTCCACAATGGTTGAACTAATTTACATTCCATCAACAATGTAAAAGCATTTCTATTTCTCCACAACCTTGTCAGCATCTGTTGTTTCTTGAGTTTTAATAATCACCATTCTGACTGGCGTGAGATGGCATTTCATTGTGGTTTTGATTTGCATTTGAGAAGTAAATTTAAAGCACTAACTGCATACATTGGAAAAGAGGAAAAGTCTCAAACCAATAATCTAAACTCTCACCTCAAGAATCTAGTAAAAGAATAACAAAATAAAAAGCAAGCAGAACAATGAAACTGAAAACAGAAAAACAAAAGCAAAAAAAAATCAATGAAGCAAAGAGCTGGCTCTTTGAAAGATTAATAAAATTGGCAAACCACTAGCAAGACTCAGAAAAAAAGACGACAGAAGATAGAAGCTACCAACATCAGAAATGAAATGGGATATCATCAAAGATTCTACAGACATCAAAAGGATAACAAAAGAATACTATGAACAATTCTACACACATAAATTTGACACTTAAATTAAATGGATCATTTTCTCAAAAAATATAAAGTGCCACAACTCACTAAATATAAAATAATTCAAAAATGTCTACACCTATTGAGGAAATTGAATTCATAATTTAAAAACTCACAAAAGGAAATATTTAGGAACAAATAGTTTCAATGAAGAATTCTACCAAAGATTTAAAGAAGAATTAACACCAATTAATCTCTTCCAGAAAATAGAAGCAGAGGAAGCATTTCCCAGTTTATTTTATAAAGCTAGAATTACCTCAATACCAAAACCAAACAATGACAATGGGAAGAAAAGAAAACTGTAGACTAATATTCCTCATGATGCAGCAATCTTTAACAAAATATTAGCAAGTGGAATTTACCAACATATAAAAAGAATTATATACAATGACCACGTGAGAGTTATCCCAGGGATGCAAAGCTGGTTGGATATTCACAATTAATTAATGTAATCCATCATATTATAGGCTGAAGAGGAAAATTTACTTGTTCATATCAATTGATGAAGAAAAAGTATTTAACCCACTTTAACACCCATTCATTATTTTTTTTTAATCTCAGAAATATAGGAGTAGAGGAGATCTTTCTTTACTTGATAAAGATCGTCTACAAAAATCCTATGGTGAACATACTTGATTCTGAAAGACTGAATAGTTTCTACCTAAAATCAGGAACAAGGCAAGAATGTCCACTCTCACCACTCTTATTCACAGTGTTGGAAGTTCTAGACAGTGCAATAGGCATGAAAAAGGAGATTAAAGGCATACAGATTGTGAAGTAAGAAATAAACAGCTCCCATTTGTAAGTGACATGATTGTCTATGTAGAAAATCACAAGGAAGCTACAGAAAAACTTCTAGATATGTGATTTCAGCAAATTAACAGAATACAGGATAAACCAGTATCAATTGTATTTCTACATACTCACAATGAACAAATGATACATATATATATATTTTTTTTTTTTCTTTTTTTTTTTTTTTTTTTGAGACGGAGTCTCACTCTGTCGCCCAGGCTGGAGTGCAGTGGCACGATCTCGGCTCACCACAAGCTCCGCCTCCGGGGTTCACGCCATTCTCCTGCCTCCGGAGTAGCTGGGACTACAGACGCCTACCACCATGCCCGGCTAATTTTTTGTATTTTTAGTAGAGACGGGGTTTCACCGTGTTAGCCAGGATGGTCTCGATCTCCTGACCTTGTGATCCGCCCACCTTGGCCTCCCAAAGTGCTGGGATTACAGGCGTGAGCCACCGCGCCTGGCCCAAAAATATAAATATATTATTTACAATTACTCAAATACATGAAACACTTATGTGTAAATCTAACAAAACATGCAAGACTTGCAAGCTAAAAACTATGTAATGCTGGTGAACGATATCAAAGAAGATCTATTCAGTCTCTATCTATGTGGAGAGAAATACTGTTCATGGATTGGAAGATTCAATATAGTAAATATGTCAATTCTCCCCAAACCAATATACAAGTTTAACACAATTCCAATCAAAATCTTTGCAAGATTTGTTAATTATAGGTAGGATTACTCTAAAATTTACATGGAAAGGCAAAGGGACTAGAATATCTAAAATATTCTTTTTTCATATTATTATATTTTATTGTAGTATGTGTAGTGTATACTAACTTAAAGGGAAAAAATGTAAACAAAATGAAAGACATGGGGAAAATGGCATCTTGCTTTAATCTTCAACTTAAAGTTACCCTTAACAATTCATTTATACCATTATGCCAAATTGTAGTCATCCCTGCAGAATTTTAGACAAATGAAAATGGACAAGGTAACACCAAAGAGATTAAGCACAGAAAGTGATATTGATTAAAAAGTTGAAAGTAAAATCTACCTTGGCTGGAACTGAACATTCAGATCCATCTCTAGAGGAAAATCTAACATGAATCATATGGTTCCTATTTTGACTAGTTCATAGCATATCAATTAGCAACTTATGACTTGAAAATACTTTTTCTCAGCTGCATTTGACTACCTAAAATCCTACCGAGCACGCTGTTTGGCATGTCTTACTCCTCTGAAATCATCATCTACTTTCTAAAAACCAGAAAATTAGTTTGCTTGTGATTTAAAATTCAAAAAAGTTTGTAGAAAACACAAAAAGAATCAACTATTTAAAGTCTCATCCTTTTCTTCTCTCTAAAACAGCTACTTCTACTAAAAGAAGAGTATGTGGATACTTTCTAAGAACTCAAAAACGAGAAAACCAAAATCAGAGGGTGCATGAATATATGTGCACAGGTATGTACAGATTTAATCTCTATATTCCCTAAAACATATTTAAACAGGTAATCCCAGCATTCTAAATTCAGAAAGCAAAAATAAACAGTTTTGTTTCTAAATCAGTGGTATTACTAGCTGAAATGTTTAGTAGAATACTGCACCTATAGTTCAGCAGTACTTTGATTATGTACCATTTAAGAAATCAAAATAATAAGCACATTCTTCTAACAGCAAAGAATTGTCCCACTTTTTATTTTGACATATTGATATTTCCATAAACTTGCAAGTGGAAAATAAGCTGTTCAATAAAAGCCTTCTTACATATATAATATACAGAAATTATTTTAGAAGTCTGTTCATATAACAGATTATTTTGGCACTAACAAAAATTGTATACAATCCATCAGTTGTATGGCTAGAAATGAAACCATCACTAAACCAAGACACACAGGGCTTTCCTGCACTTAGTTTCAGGAAAAAGTTCCAAGTAATTCTTACTGTGTTAGAAGAATAAAGTACATTTGTCATAGTATACATTATCATATTCCCTTAAAGCAGGGACTAAAGTTTTTAAATTAAACAATGTCCAGGCTTACTTCTGTCTGTACATTCAGGAATAATCATATCACTGGTTACATACAATTCTCTCCTCATGCAAAAAAAAAAAAAAAAACCTCAAAAAAAAAAAACCTGTTGTTTTCTTAAGTCTAATTAAGCCAAACAAACTATTAATAGCAATTTAATTAGCAAGCTATAAATCAGAGAGGTATAAAAATTCAGCAGTTAAACTGTATTTCCCACCTATAGTACTGCTGCTACTCAATCATTTTCTTCATGTATTAGAAGAATTAATAGGCATTGATGGTCAAAATAAGAATTTCAATATTGCAGCAAATGACAGAAGAGTGAGCGAAAGAGTTCCTAATGTGTGACAGTCTTAATGATTCTTTAAAAGGTAAAGGATTGTATGCATGTGTGTGGAAAGGAGTAGGAAATAAAAGTAGGAGGTTAAGACAGGTATTTAAAGGGAATGCCAAGATAGCTGCATTAGAATCTTTATTTTTTAAAAAACTGAAGTCTGCCCAGAGTACCAAAAACATTAAAAAAAAAGAGCAGACATTGGTGCAAGTTTAACCTGTGAGAAAAAAGCTAGTTTTGATGAGAAAAAGTTCAGTCTTTTCCTTGTAAATACAAAGAAATGCAACAGGAATTTTAAAGGTAGTAGGCCAGAAAATGTAACAGTAACTCTTACAATCCTTTTCTTTTTTTTTTTTTTTTTTTTTTTTTTTTTTTTTTTTTTTGAGACGGAGTCTCGCTCTGTCGCCCAGGCTGGAGTGCAGTGGCACAATCTCGGCTCACTGCAAGCTCCGCCTCCCGGGTTCACGCCATTCTCCCTCCTCAGCCTCCCGAGTAGCTGGAACTACAGGCGCCCGCCACCATGCCTGGCTAGTTTTTTGTATTTTTTTTAGTAGAGACGGGGTTTCACCGTGGTAGTCAGGATGGTCTCGATCTCCTGACCTCGTGATCCACCTGCCTCGGCCTCCCAAAGTGCTGGGATTACAGGCGTGAGCCACCGCGCGAGGTCACAATCCTTTTCAATTAAACAGACAAATCAAGTTGAAGACAAGTGTTAAAATACTATTCAGCCTGAATATTTATCAGCATACATATCCTGTTGTTCAACTGGCTTTTGGTTAAAAAAAAAAAAGTCAACAAACTTTATAAGAGCTATCACCACATTTAGAGTGATGAAAATAAATTAGTTCCCCCCCAAAGATATTGTTTAACCTCTAAAGCATGAAAAGCTATATAATATACAAATTAACCAGTATTTTTACAAAAGTAATACAGTTTTGGACTGATGATATTACACCGTATTTGTGGTAAAGTACTAGGCACAAGAATATATATATCAATTAGGCATTTTCAGTCTAATCAGTCTTTAAGGTTTTCATTTAATTCTTGGCAATATATAATAACTGGTATGCACTTTGGTACTTAAGTCATGACTTGTGGAGAACGAGAAGCAATGTATTATAGCAACGGGGTTCATATCTAACAAACAATAAGAGTGTTGAACAAATCCCTTCTATGAACTTCGTGATTTATTTTGCTGTTGGTCACTTGCAGTAGATCCTTGATTTGATTCTTCCGTATTCATGCTTTCTCCATGTGCAGTCTCTAACATTTCTTCAACTTTGTCATCATCGTGTAGGTCTTTTGAAATTAATTGTCTAGCTAGTTTGATATTGAGTCCTTCATTGTAGTGAAGCGTCCTTCTCATTTCAAATTGTCGCTTTTTTTCTCGTTCTTCAGGTGAGAGGTCACTATCCTCCTCTCCACTGCTTTCTTGTTCCTGAACCTGATACTTTGGCTCCAAGCCTTCAGCAGCAGCTAAGTTCTTAGCCAAGCTATCTGTTGCCATAGCTTCAGTGGTTTCTGTATCACTACATGCATCTTCATCATCACCCATCGTACTATGGTAAGGAGTGCTTGGTTCATCTATTTTCATTAAACCATAGTCTTTGTCTGCTGGACGATATGTCGCCAGGATGTTCATTTCATCCCACTTCTGGGATTTTTTGCTCAGCTGCTCGTGGACACTCCCACGGGGATGTTCGGCCGACGCCACCATAGAGGAAGTCGTAGAGGTGTTGTCCTTCAGGATCCCCTTGAGGGGCCGTTGCGAGGCCGTGGAGGCCGCCATTGCCGGGTGCTCCGCCTGTCGGCTCAGGGTCGCTGCTTGGCGTGGGGTCCGCGAACAGAAGGGTCGGCACTAGCAGAGACCAGCAGGCAGACGCGGAGCCCGCTCAAGGCTAAAGCGGCCGCACCTGCTGCCTCGGAAAGGGGTACCGGAGCGGTTGTCAAGACACAATGACCCCGACGCCAGACTCAAGCGGGGAAAAGCGGGCCTAGAGCTCCAGGGCGGGAGCGACGCCGACGCCTAAAACATTCTTGAAAAAGAAGAATAAAGTGAGTTGAAAATCAGTCTGCCCTATTTCAAGTATTGTTTTATAGCTACAGTAATCAAGACTGTGTGTTACTAGCAGAGGAATGGACACACAAATCAGTGGAACAAAATAGAGAACGTAGAAAAAGACCCACACAATCTGCCCAAATGATTTTTGAAAGAGGTGCAAAAGGAAGTCAGTGGAAGAAAAATAGCCTTTTTCACAAATAGTGAATTGAACAATGGTGAAATGGAACAATTGGGCATCCATAGGCAAGATAATAAAATAAAAATGAAACTTGACCTAAGTCTCACGCCTTATGCAAAATTTAATTCCAACTGGATTGGATTGCTTGAGTCCAGGAGTTCAAGACCAGCCTGGGTAAGATAGCAAGACCCTGTCTATACACAAAAATGAAAAATAATGTTGGTGTGGTGGCTCCTGCCTGTAGTCCCAGCTACTTGGGATGCTGAGGCAGAAGGATTGCTTGAGCCCAGGAGTTCGAGGCTGTCATAAGCTGTGACACACCACTGTACTCTAGCCTGGGTGACTGAGCAAGACTCTGTTTCAAAAAAAAAAAAAAATGTCAGAGAAATGCAATACCTTAACCTTTACCAGATACAATTAATTAAAATAAATAAACAAAATGGATTATGGAGTAAATGTAAAGCATAAAACTCTTAAATTTTAGAAAAATAGAAAATATTTGAGATATAGGTCTAGGCGAAGAATTCTTAGGCTTGACATTGAGAGCATGATCTATGAAAGGAAAAACTGATAAATTGGATTTCATCAAAATGTAAAACTGTTGCTTTGTGAAGATCTGGTAAGTGGATGAAAAAATGAGCTACACAGTAGGAGAAAATATTTGCAAACTATGCATTGAACAAAGGACTAGTATCTAGAGTATATAAAGAACTCTCAAAACTCAACAAAGAAAACACATTAAAAATCCAATTAGAAAATAGGCAAAAGACTTAAGGTAATATTTCACTAAGGAGGATATAAAAATGGCAAATTAGCACATGAAAAGTTGTTCAACATCATTAGCCATTAGGGAAATGCAAATTAAAACCACAATGAGATCATCGCTCCACACCTATCAGGATGGCTAAAATAAAAATAGTGACAATGGGCTGGGTGCGGTGGCTCACACCTGTAATCCCAGCACTTTGTGAGGCCAAGGTGGGCAGATGACCTGAGGTCGGGAGTTTGAGACCAGCCTGGCCAACATGAAGAAACCCTGTCTCTACTGAAAATACAAAAGTAGCCAGGTGTGGTGGCACATGCTTGTAGTCCCAGCTACTCGGGAGACTGAGGCAGGAGAATCACTTGAACCCGGGAGACAGAGGTTGCGGTGAGCAGAGATCGCACCATTGTACCTAGCCTGGGCAACAAGAGTGAAACTCTTTCTCAAAAAAAAAAAAAAAGGCGACAATGCTAAATGCTGGCAAGGAAGAAGAGATACTGGATCTCTCATAATTTCTGATGGGAATATAAAATGGTACAGCCACTCTGGAAGATGATTTGGCAGTTTCTTAAAAACAAAACAAAACCAACAACAACAACAAAAATCCAACAACTAAGCATACTACTACCATCCTGCCCAGCAACTGTACTCCTGGGTATTTAGCCCCAAGAAATGAAAACTTGCATACACAAATACACAAGCACAGACAATGCCTTCACACAAAACCTTGTATGCAAATGTTTGTCTAACTGCCTACTCATTGTAGCCAAAGATAACCCAGATATCCTTTAACAGGTAAATGGTTAAACCAACTATTGTACACTTATACCATGAAATAATACTCAGCAATAAAAAAGAATGACTGATACACACAACAACCTGGATGAATCTCCAGAGAGTTATACTGAGTGAAAAATGCCAGTCCCAAAAGGTTACATACTGCAGTGAGCTGTGATCACGTCACTTCACTCCAGCCTGAGCAACAGAGCAAGACCCCATCTCTAAAAATAGATAAAGAAACAAAAAAGATGGATTACAGAGTAAATGTGAAGTGTAAAACTATTAAAATTTTAGAAAAATAGGAGAAAATCTTTGAGATGTAGGGCCAGGCAAAGAATTCGTAGGCTTGACATCAAAAGCATAATCCAGGCTGGGCGTGGTGGCTCACGCCTGTAATCCCAGCACTTTGGGAGGCCGAGGCAGGCAGATCATTGAGGTCAGGAGTTCGAGACCAGCTGGCCAACATGGTGAAACCCGTCTCTACTAAAAATACAAAAATTAGCTAAGCAAGACGGCACATGCTTGTAATCCCAGCTACTCGGGAGGCTGACTCATGAACATCACTCGAACCTTGGAGGTGGAGGTTGCAGTGAGCTGAGATGGTGCCACTGCACTCCAGCCTGGGTGACAGAGTGAGACTCTATCTCAAAAAAAATAAATAAATAAATAAAATAAACTTTATTGAAAAGAAAAAAAAAGCACAATCCATTTGTATAACATTTTGTATTAAGAAGCTTGAAATGACAAAAGTACAGAAATAGAGAAAAAATTCATAGTTGCCAGTGGTTAAGGAAGTGATGGGGGTGGGAAGGAGGTGAACCGACCATAAAAGGGCAAGATAAGGGATACTTGGAGTGACAAAAATACTGTCTTGACTGTAATATTGACATTGACACAAATGTCAATATCCTGATTGCAATACTGTACTGAAGTGTTATAAGATGTTACCATCAGGGAAACTGGATTAAAGGGTAAAAGGTTCTGTCTGTATTATTTCTTACAACTGCATGTCACTCTCTAATTACCTCAAAATAAAAAGTTAAATTTAAAAAACATGTATGAGGATGTGCATAGTTTTTCAAAATACATTTAAGAAGTTCATGAGTGGAAAGTTTGAGTGAATAAAAATTATATCTGGAATTCTGGTTTGCAAATTAGCCTGGGAAATGTAGCCTGACTCAGTGTGACTCAGTTCTATACCACTGTTCTCAGCTCTGCTGTTGCTCACTGCTAACGTTGAAGCCAAATATCTCTTGAGTTGCAGGGCAACCAAGATCCCATGATCCAATGTTGCTCTCACTCACCTTGGCCTTTGAGAGAGAACAGGAAAGAAGATGGAGAAGAAGGATTTTCCCTTTGCCCCATTTTCCTCTTTTTGGGCTGAACTGTGTCCCCCTATAAGTTCATAATGTTGAATAAACCCAGTACCTCAGAACGTGAATTTTTTTTGGAGTTAGAGTCTTTAAAAAGATAATTAAGTGAAAATGAGGTTATGAAAGTAGGTCCTAATATAGCTAGTATCCATATAAAAAGAGATTAGGACATACATACACAGGGGGCAGTCCATAGGAAGATGCAGGGAAAAGACAACCATCTGCCAGCCAAGGACAGAGACCTCGGAAGAAACCAACCCTGCTGACACCTTGATCTCACATTTCTAGACTCCAGAGCCAGGCGGCAATAAGTTTATGTTGTTTAAGCCATTCAGTCTGTGGTATTTCTTATGGTAGCCCTAGCAAACTAATACATCCTCCTATATTTGGACATAGGCCTGTCCTTCTTGATTAAAGGAATGTAAAAATAAGACTGTTGTCAAAGTTTTAACAAGACTTTATGAAGGCTTGGGCAAAATTGAAAAGGAAAAGACAATAGAAAATTCTTCCATTCTGATCACAGATATTACAGATGTAAGAGATCACAGGCTCCAGTCATCTAAGGGTTCTCCAACTAGAAATAGACCTGGTATGGCTGATGCTACTAATACCTGCCATGTTCCTTGGGCCTTACCACTGTAGTGCACACTGGCTGGACATTTGCATCATTCCTGAAGGCTTCCTCAAAGCCAAGAAGGGCCACTCTGCCCGACTCACAGCAGACTAGAAGGGCCGAAGAGTTCACGTGTCAGGCAGCAGCCTTCAACCAATGGGAATTGATGTACAATTGCCCAACTCCCTCCTTCCGTGGCTGGGTTAACTCTGAGGCAAGTGCTTTCCCAGAATTTCCCCAGGGGATTAAGTTCCAGTCATTCACCCTTCGTTGGCTGTTTTCCCTTCCCAATCTTTTACTCAGCTGCTACTGAAGTTTCATGCACCTCCAAAATAAATTACTTTCATTCATGTCCCTGTGTCAGGGACTGCTTCTGGAAGAAACCAAACGAATGCACCCCGGGTTAGCTTCTAATTTGCTTCACAGCAGTAAAGGTCAACTTTTCTTTGCATTACCCAAGAGAAAACTTAGCCATTACCTCATCATGGTGCTTGGATCCCTAGAACCCTGTCTCTCATGAAACCCTGATTCCTTCCTTTCCTTGTCAAGATCTTTCCTTACCCAGCATGGATGACAGTCCATTCTATTGAGTACTAAGAAAAGAGAGTTTAGAAACTGTCAGAAATATTTTTATTTCATTCAAATTTGTAATATTCCGTAGACCAGAAACAGCACACTCTTTGATCCCATCCTTGTATGCCCAAAATATCTGAGTTGGAGGAGGCACTGACCCTCTGTCACACAGTTTAACTGGATTACAGAGTGCAAGACCCCAAAACCAGTTCCTGACACTCTTTCTGTCTTCAGCCTGTGGATTCTTATCACTTCCACAGAAGAAAATTGGCTCTAAGATTATCCGGAGTACTTCCCAAATCTATTATTTATGGAACAAGTGCTGACTTCAGATATCTAGTAATCTAAGGTTTTTCATCTCCAAAGACCTTTCTTTCATTTGGCCTCTACTGGGTTTTCTATTTTTTTTATTTATTTATTTATTTATTGAGACAAGGTCTCACTCTGTCACCCAGGCTGGAGTACAGTGACCTGAACATGGCTTGCTGTATCCCTAACCTCCTGTGCCCAAGCAATCCTCCTGCTTCAGCCTCCTGAGTAGCTGAAACCACAAGTGAGCGCCACCATGCCCAGCTAATTTTTTTTTCTTTACTTTTCTTTTTTTTTTTTTTTTTTTTTTTTGTAGAAACTGAGTCTCGTCATGTTGTCCGGGCTGGTCTTGAACTCCTGGGCTCAAGCAATCTTCCTGCCTTAGCCTCCTAAATGGTTAAAGGCATGTGACCATCACACCTGGCCTACCATGGTTTTCAAATGTAAAATTTTAAATGAAAAATCTTAATCTTTTGGTCATTGCTGTTTTGCTGTGGTCTGTCTCCCATGGCATGAGGGGAAATGCGTTATCTGCCTCTGTTGTAGAAAGATGCCTGAGGAAAATAATCCTCAGTTGATGTCTCAGGATTTTTCCTGCCATATACCTGGAATGTGTAAAAGCACAGGAAATATCCTAGTATAACACAAACTACACACAGTTACCTTTGGGACCTAGAATGGAATGGGGAGGAGGGAGAAACAAAGGAGACCTTTTACTCCGTACCCTTCTGTATGGTTTGAACTTGTTGTTTTTTTTTTATAGACGGAGTCTTGCTCTGTAGCCCAGGCTGGAGTGCAGTGGCACAATCTTGGCTCACTGCAAGCTCCGCCTCCTGGGTTCACGCCATTCTCCTGCCTCAGCCTCCCGAGTAGCTGGGACTACAGGCGCCCGCCACCACGCAAGGCTAATTTTTTGTGTTTTTAGTAGAGACGGGGGTTTCACTGTGTTAACCAGGATGGTCTCAATCTCCTGACCTTGTGATCCGCCCGCCTTGGCCTCCCAAAGTGCTGGGATTACAGGTGTGAGCCACTGCACCCGGCCGGTTTGAACCTTTTATAACAAGAGTGAATCCAGATATTTACTATGTAATTTTCTCATTTAGTCTAATCATTTAGACTAAATGATTAGAAGAAGCAGGACTTAAAAAGAAATGAATGAATTTCCACTAGGGGGTGGTAGAGAATCATAATCCATATCATAGTCTGAAACTGAAGGGCAAAAGGAAATAGTCAAGTTCAGAATCACATGCTGCAGCCCATTTGTAATTATAAATCTTTATTAACTAGCTCAGTGTGAGATCTAATTTCTTCATAAATGCCCAATAATATATAATATGCTCTTTTGAGCAACGCTTTTCAGATTATGTTCTCATACAGCCTTTTACAGCCCTTTACAGCTTTTCTGTAAACTGGGCTGAGATGTACCACTAAATGAAATTGAATGATAGGAGTCCATTGTGGTTGGAATAGATACACACAGTGATTGATTTAGGTAGATTAGAAGGTGGATGGATGGATAGATAGATAGATAGATAGATAGATAGATAGATAGATAGATATGCGCACACACATTCCTCTCCTTGAGTCCCCCTGGGTAAGCCGAGGCATGAGTACTCTGAAGGAAAAGCAACCATGAGTGAGCTGCAGCATCCTTACTTAACCTCCAAACTTAACCTTTGTTGTAATATATATAGAAAAATGAGTTCCGAATTCCCTCCTTAATCTCCAACATGCAGGCACTATGCCTCTGCCCAGTTTCTTTACCCATGCCTTTTATTATATCCCATCCCCAACTGAACCCTATCTCGACCTGGTCAATAGGTGTGAGACCCAGATATTCTTATCCGGGAGATGCTATTTCTTTTTTTCCAGAGGCCAGAGGTGGTTTTTAGTAACCACCTGTATCATTTTGCAGGGGCTTCTTAAATGCGTGGCCAGACTCACCTCACTGTGCCTAGGTGCCAATATGGCCTCTCAGCTTTATTCCCCTTGCAATCCAAAATCTGCCAGAACTGGACAGCAGTTTGATCCTTGAATTAGACCGTGGTTCATGATGCTTGCTTCTCACCCTCCCACCAGCTGTGCTTTATTTTTCTTTGATTCTAACTATTACAGAAAAGACAAGTCAGACTCCTTCATCGCTGGGCAAAGTTCCAAGTAAACTGCATTGGGAATCCTTGGCATTTTAACAATGGCTCACTGCTCCCCTTGTGACTAATGGGCAACACAGGCCTGTTTATGAGTTCAAGTCTCTGTCCCTGGATCATGTAATTTTAATTGTTCTGTTACTTCATTTCAATCCTGGTCCCCACAGCATTTTTCTCACTGTTCATTTTCAAATTTAGTGTCCAACCTATTACTGTGTGCTTTTCTTAATCCCTAGACCAAGCACTCTCTGGCTTGCTCATTTTCCCACTTGGGCACCCTGGATCCCAGCCAGAGGTGGCCCTTACCACTTGGCTCCTCCCTCAGTGCCCTTGGACCTCTTTGGCTCGTAACTGCTTCTGCTGAAGGTCATCCTTTTGGCTCCATGATCTTCATGGCTGAGGTTGCTTCATTACTTCTGGAGGGAAATCTTGCTGCTTTCTGTAAACATTTTTTTCTCATGGCATATTTATGTGGAACTGTGCCATTTCTTTTCCTACTTATTCTGAATAAATTGAGCATTCCTGGACCAGATATTAGTGGAAGACTCCTATTGGATGGGGGTGGGATGATGGGTTGGTGAGAGAAGACATGGGCAATAGTAACCTCCCAGGTTTTACAACCGAAGGACCAATCCTTTATTACTAACACGTAAACTTTATCTTAAAATACGCTGCATCCATGTTTTTTCCAACTTGGGGAATTTAATCTATTTCAGCAAGGATTCTACCACGGTGTTAGGACCCCCTGCATTCCAGAGGGAACCTTTGTTATCTGCCACCTTGGAACCTCCAAAACAAAGTCTGCTCCCCCAATATGTGGGCCTTCTTCTGCCTTCCCCAGCATCTGGGCCTCACTGTAGCTCAGGCCAACTGCCAACAGCTCCAACCTAGGCTGGCTTCTACTCTTAGAGAGAGAATATTTTCGGGCCCTTTCCGAGATCCCGCACCACTAGTTCCCTCCACGCTTTCATCTGTTGCCACAGCAACATTTTGGCTTCTTATGCCCAGTTCTGCTCTCCGTTGCTTTAAGCACAAATGACATGCAATTTGGGATGTAACCATACTTTTTGTTTCCTAGTTTCACTAAAAATGAGGTTCTTGTGTGGTTTTCTTTTTCATTCTCTTTGCTGTACTATATAGAGAAATGAATTCTGAACTGAATTCCCTCCATATTCCTAGCAAAAACATAACTCCTTTGAATTGCAATTTTGATTTCCTTTTCAACCCAAAAATTAGTGAGATGTTTTTAAGTTTCCAAGTGGAGGCTTTCTTGTTAGTACTGTTTTGGTGAGGTTTTGTTTTGTTTTATTTTAGTTTTGTTTTGTTTTTCTATGTATGTGTTTTATACCGGTGAGAGAATATAGCCCGTGTAGTTTCTAATTTCTATTTAATTTTACTTTGTGGTTTAATGCATTATGTTTGGGAAAATATGCATTCACTATTTGTTGAGTACACAATTTTATAAATATTTGATAAGATCATTATTTGCTTTAGCAAAATATCTTACATTCACATTATTTTACAATTGGATATGACAGTTTAGTTTAAAAGTATGCTAAAAGCTCTTAAATGTGTCAATTTATCTTTCCTAACAAAGCACATTTTTTTCCCTAACTTTCAAAGACTTGTTTAGGATATGAAGGCTTATAACTTATGGGTAGTTGGTGAATTGTACATTTTAGCATAATAAAGTATCCTTCTTTGACACTGAAAAATTTCTTCATCATTTATTCTACTTTGTTCAATATTAGTATTTGTAATGGTTTGAATGTGTCCCCAAAAAGCATATGTTGGAAATGTAATATTCAATGCAACAGTGTTAGTAGGTGAGGCTTAATGATGAGAGGTGTTTAGGTCATGACGACT
Source organism: Homo sapiens (assembly GCF_000001405.40). NCBI lineage: Eukaryota > Metazoa > Chordata > Mammalia > Primates > Hominidae > Homo > Homo sapiens. The sequence continues at coordinate 4,082,996 of NT_167248.2, forward strand.
CCATCCTCATAAATGAATTAATGCCAATTACAAAAAGGCTAAAAGCCTGTGAATTCAACCTGTTGCACTTGGGCGCTCTCTCTTTCTCTTTCTCTCTCTCAGCTCTCTTTTTATCCCTTTTGCCTTCCACCACAGTATGAGGCAGCCAGAAGATTTTTGCAAGATGCAGGCCTCTCAACCTTGGATTTCCTAGCCTCTAGGACTGTAATAAGTCAATCTCTGTTCTTTAAAAATTATCCAGTCTTGGATATTCTATTATAGCAGCACAAAATGGAGTAAGACAGTATTTCTATCCATAATTAATTTTTGTTAGCATTTGCCTGAGTTTATCATTGTCCATTGGTTTAATCACTCGGTGTCATTTTGTTTTAGGTGCTTTTTGTTTGTTTTTGTTTTTATTTTGAGACAGGGTCTCAGTCTGCCGCTCAGGCTGGAGTGCAGGGGTGCGACTACGGCTCACTGCAACCTCAACCTTCCAGGCTCAAGCGATCCTTGCACCTCAGTTTCCTCAGTAGCTGGGACTACAGGCATGCACAACCACGCCTGGCTAATTTTTTTATTTTTGTAGAGATAGGGTCTCGCTATGTTACCCAGGCTGATCTCAAACTCCTGGGCTCAAGTGATCCTCCCTCCTTGGCCTCCCAAAGTGCTGGGATTACAGGTATAAGCCATTGCCACCAGCACTTTTTGAATAGCAAATACACACACACACACACACAGACCATCTTTACTGAGCAGAAAAATTTAGATTTAATGCAATGATATAAATGGACATTACAAATGCATATATATCTGGATTACTTCTGCCATCATATTTTTATATTTACCATGTTTTTTCATTTTTTAGTCTTCTGTCTCAATAAATTTCATCAAATTGCCTTTGTTACTTCTGTCTCTATGCAAATGATTTCTTATACATCTTTTTCCTTTTTTCTTATGATCCAGTTTTTGAAATATTTTTCTACAAATAAGTAATGCATGTGATGCATATCTACAAGAATTTTAAGCATCCATTTTTTCCCACCAGTCACATGAAGGAATGGAACGTTACCCTTAACATTAAAGTTTCCTGTATTTGTCTTCCCTTAGAATCTCCCTTCCTCTCTGCAAAATGCAACTATTATTCCAAATTTGGAGTTGATCATTATCTTGCTTTTCATCATAGTAAATATTGTCTTTGTCTGACAACAAATTAACATCATAATTAATATCAAAATGTAGTTTTCTGTTGTTTTCTTCATTCAACAATATGATTTTAAGAATTATGCAAGTTTATTATTTTATCTGTATTCCACTGATCTTGATGTTGCATAGAATTCCACATTATGATTATGCCAAAATTTGTGTATCAGTTTACCTGCAAATGGACACTGGGTTGTTTCCAGCTTTTTGCAATTACAAAGAATGCTCTCATGACTTTTCCTGCACATTGCTCTTGGTGCCTTATTCAATAATTTCCCTAAGGTGCATATATATTTAAGGGTAGAGCTGCTATGCTTTAGGATATTCTCAGCTTCAACTCTACAAAATGCCAATTTTTTTCCAAGTAGATTATTTCAGTTTGAAGTCCACCATCAGAGTATGAGTTCCCCTCACCCTACATCCTCATTGATTTTTGATAATGTTAGACTTTTCAATGTTTGTCTATTTAGTGATTTTAAAATGTTATTTCAAGGACTGTTCTAATTCACAATTCTCTGATAACTATTGTGAGCTTAACTTTTGTACGTTTATTGGTCTTTTATATATCCCTTTTTGTGAACTGCCCTTTCACATCTTTTGATCATTTTCCTATGGGGCTATTCTTAGATGTTCTGGATATTGATCCTATGTAAATTATGTGTGATATAAATAAGTTTAGATTGTGGCTTTTTTTCCTTTAGAGTGTGTTTTGATTAAAGTTTCTAATTTTAATGTGGTCAAATTTATTCATCTTCTCTTAACATTTTTGTTTTTAAAATGTGTATGTGTGTCTTTTTAATAAATATTTTTCTACCTTGAAGTCATACAAATATTTCTTTCACATTTTCATTTAAAAGTTTTACAGTTTTGCCTTCAATACGTTGGTACTTAGTTCATCTGGAATTTATTATGATGTATATATATCCACTAATCCAGTGTCATAAATTCAAACTTATTGAATTATACATCCTTTACCCACTGGTCTTTAATGACCATTCTTCACATACAAGGGGTCCTGACACTCTTTCCATTCTATTCTATTGGCCCAGTTGTCTACTCCCTCTCTCACCAATAATAGCACATGGTCTTAAATCCAGTGGTGTATATAATATCTTCTCATGTAGTCAGGAAATTCCCCAACTTCCTCTTTATTTTCAATGGTATTTTGGCTCTTCTTGAACTTGTGTTCCTTCGTTTCATTTTAATATCATTGTGTCCAATTCTATAAAACATTTTGTTGAAATTTTTCTAGAAATAGCATGAAACTATAGATCACATTGGGGAAAACTGGCATTTTAATGATATTGATGCTTCCTAACCATGAATGTATCTCTCCATCTGTGCAGTACTTCTTCAACTTCTTTTAATGATTTTAATTTTCCCCACTAAGATCTTGCATGCCTTTCCTTTTTGAGAATTTATTCCTGATTACAGTGGACCCTTCAACAATGCGAGGGTTAGTAGCGCTGACCACCTGTGCAGTCAAAAATCTGCACATAATTTTTGACTCCTCCAAAACTTTACTAATAGCCTACTGTTGATCAGAAGTCTTACCAATAACATAAAGTTATTTAACATATATTTTATATTTTTATGTGTTATATACTGTACTCTTACAGTAAAGTAAGCTAGAGAAAAGAAAATGTTGGCCAGGTGCGGTGGCCCATGGCTGTAATTCCAGCAGTTTGGGAGGCTGAGGCAGAAGTGCTTGAGACAAGGAGTTGGAGACCAGCCTCAGCAACATAGCGAGACCCCATCTCTACAAAAAATTAAAAATTTAGCCAGGTAGGGTGGCGTGCACCTGTAGTCCCAGCTACTTGGGAGGCTGAGGTGGAGAATCGCTTGAGCCCAGGAGGTTGAAGCTACAGTGAGCCATGATAACACTGCACTCTAGCCTGGGCAACAGAGCAAGACCTTGTCTCAGAAAAGCAAAGAAAATGTTATTTAAAAAATCATAAAGAAGAGAAAATATATTTACTATTCATTAAGTGGAAGTGGAGCATCATAAAGGTCTTCATCCTCATGTCTTCATGGTGAATATGCTAAGAAGGAGGAAGGGGAGGAGAGGTTGGTCTCGCTGTCTCAAGGGTGGCAAAGGCAGAAGAAAATCATATATAAGTAGACCTGCACAGTTCAAGCCCATGTTGTTCAAAGGTCAACTGTACTGTAAGTTTGTTATATAAACCAGTTAATCACATTTCTACTTTTTTGTTTTTATAGAAAATGCAATAGATTTGTTTATATATTTAGCCAACCACTGTGCCAAACTCTTAATTCTTATGTTTTAGATTATTTTTCTCTGTAGACAATTGTATCATCTATGAATAATGAAAGTTTGCTTTATTTCATTCCTATCCTTCCAACTTTTTTTTTGGTCTGTTGTTAAAAGCCCCCCTATCCCATGCCTAAGTAATAAGTAATCTCAATATTACATTCCATCTCATATAATAAAATTTGACTTCCTAAAAGGGCTTGCTTCTTTTTAATTCAATGTCAATGCTGGAATTTCAGTTCTTAGCCTTGAAACCCTGGTGAAAAAATTCTCAGCAAGGTAAGAAGGAAAAAAATGTTCTCCCCTGCTCCTGAAGCTGGAGAGAACAATAAATGAAAACTGTTGTCATAAATGGTTATTTCTAACAATTTTTCAAACCCCTAGACTTCAAATATTTTGGACAGGACCTGACAAAATGACCCTTAATCTGTAAAACATCTGTACTTTTGACCACTCATCTTTCTTAATAATTCAGTTCTCTGGTGATAATGTTTGAGCTTAAAATCTCTATCTTCAGAAGGTAACGTGATTTGTGAATTTTCTGTCAAATCAGGAAAGAATCACTGGCATTGCCCTCTTCCCACACATGCATAGGATAAAATAGCTCTACTGGACTTTTTATTAATCAAAGAGCCCGAGAGACAGCTGAATGGCTGAACCAAGCAGAGAGTGGAAACTTGGGGAGGGTAATTCCTTGCTGGGCCTTAAAAGGAGTCCACAAGATAGGAAAAAAACGAAAAAGCCAAATAAGATGAACCTCTATTCAGGCCCCAATGAGAGGCTGCTTGACTCTGATCTTTCGTTAGCTGGCTCAAAATTTTGTTCTTAAAGAATTATTTTTACTCAAAATCAAGAACTGTTAGAAAACAAGAAAAATTATGGAGTTTTGTTGTTGATTTCCACCTCTCTACATATATATATGAAATACATATCTCCTCCCGATACACATGCACACACGCAAAAACATATTTAACTGAAACAACGGTTTCATGAAACTATAGTTACTCTCATTACCTGTGATGCAGGCAAGTATTTTCAATTGTATTTTATTCTATTTCATTCTACTTGGAAAAAAAGTCTTTTGGTCTCAACATAAATGGGTTCTGACCTGCAGTTTCAAGCCAATACGTTACAGTAAGAGTAAATGTAGGGTTTCTCCCAGTTTTATCTGGCAGTCCCAAAGTCAGGATCAGAGTAACCGATGGAGCATCATTTGTACGCTCCACGTCTGAGGAGGAGGTCTGGGAAAAGATCCAACGTGTAGGACTGGCGCAGAGGCTCAGGCCTGTAATCCCAGCACTTTAAGAGGTGGAGGCGGGAGGATAACTTGAGGTCAACAGTTCGAGACAAGCCTGGCAAACATGGTGAAACCCCGTCTCTACTAAAAATACAGAAATTATCCAGGCGTGGTGGTGCGCACCTGTAGATCCAGCTCCTCGGGAGGCTGAGGCACGAAAATCGCTTGAACGCGGGAGGCGGAGGTTGCAGTGAGACAAGATCACACCACTGCACTCCAGCCTGGGCGACAGAGCGAGACCCTGTCTCAAATAAAAAAAATAATAATAATAATCCAATGTGTCCCTAGTCTGGCTTTCAGGGTCTTAGATGAGGTTCGGAAGTGGACTTAGGAGCCTTAGGAGCGCAGCCAGTGCTGTGGATTCCCACATCCACGGGACCTGCGGTTTCGGGTTATTCCATTCAGGGATACATGACGTCCCTCATTTCTACCTACCAGTGGGCTGGTCAAGATTCTCATTTATCAAGTCAGTTGGAGTGGGCTTAAGTAAGTTCTCAGCCAAGGCTGTGGGGTCTGGAGGACCAGATATCCCGACCAAAAGCCCCCCCTCCCATTCCTTTCACACGCCTGCCGCAGAGGTGCACGGGTGCGAGTGGGGAACTGAGGCAAGAAGCAGATGGGGCGGCACCGAGAGAAGAGAAACTACGCTAGAGGAAAAGCTCGAGCTGTTACCCCTCCCAACTTCTTCCGCCTTCCGCCTTCCCCCTTCCCCCTCTTTCCCCTCTTGCCCCTCTCCAGCTTTTCTGGTCCAACCCTCTTCTGCGCCTAACACTGGCACCTCCTTTTCTTCCGGCTGATGAATAATTGTCCGCAAACCAGCCTCTCTGGGGCACTGAGGGGCGGGAAGGTTAGAAGGAGCCAGGGCTAGAGTCCTGGAAGGTGGCAGTCAGGTCGCAGGGCCACAGCAGTCACTCTGCGACTCTCTCTTCCGGTGTTTCTCCAGCGCCAAGCGGGAGAAGACGGAGCCTGGGAGCTGGGACTGGAGGAGCGGGAAGCGCAGTATCGGGACCACGGCTCTGGGACCAGGAAAAACGCAGACTCTCCAGAGTCAATGTCTACTTCAGCCAGCTCAAGGGCGCGACAACCTGGCGCCGAGCATCTCAGGCCGCCGCGGGGACCCCCCCTAAGGGACTCGGGAACACCTGCCTACCCTAGAAGAGGCGGAGAATAACCCCGTAGGGAGTTAAGCGGCCTCTGCCTACAGCGTTCCTCCCGCCTCCACGGCGCCGAGCCCTGATTGACGTTCAGCCAGGCCAATCATAGCCTGTGTCTGAGGCGCGCGGAGCTGGAGCGCCCAGGGCATGTCCGCCGATCCCAAGGAGGCAATCTGTCAGGCGCCGCCCGGGCGGCAGTATGCCTGAGGGGGTCCTCCGTGTTCGCGCCTCCCGCCGCCTGCACTGAAAGGTCTGTACCTGAGCCTGGATACTTGAACAGAGGCAGACACTGCGGCTCAAAACCCCAAGGGTAGGTACCTATTGTGCGGAGTCTCGGAACGCCTGCCTGGAAGAAGAGTTCCGGCGGCTCCCCGAACGCTTGGAGAAAGCGCTTGGATGCAGTTGCAGGGTGAGATTTGAGACGGTGATTGTGTTTTCCAGCAGGCGCTCAGGCGGGGTGGTGAAGGAGGGATACAGACCTCTAAAGATTCCTCTCTCGTTGGGGTGAGGTGGGGAACAGCAGTGACAGTAGTTCTCATCCCTGAGCCTCCTCCGGGCCGGCCCGTGGAGGAGAGAGAAGGGGAGGGAGAAGGGTTTGCCCAGGCCTTCAGACACTTTACTTTGTGGGAGATGTATGTGCTGAGTGTCCCTGCTCTGGAGGGATTGTTAAAGAATCCAGGTTCTTGGGGAGTGTCTCAGGAGAACACTCCAGGTGATATCCTTATTCTTCCTATTTTCACCGTGTTGGTTTTTTTTTGGATATAACTTGTTCCCTTTAACCCGAGGTGGCCTTGGTGTCTGGCAGCTGTTTTCTCTGCCAGGCACCACCCTCTGGGCCTCACGTCTTCATCCCTCAAGTCCGCTGCCTCTGAGCTGCTACTTAGATCTGGTCTGTTTCTACCTCTGCTGGACCAGAAGTTTGCATTAACGCCCCCACCCCATCCTGCAAGACCGGCGCTTCCAACCAAGGGCTCTCTCCTCTGAACCTAGAACCTGCTTGGAAATCGAGTATTTCCTCTATGCCCAGGTGGAGATTGATGTTTGGGTTTCACATCTCCCAACTCTGTTGGGTACTATGTCGTTTCTCAGCTTGGTTGTATGTGCCTCCATTGAGTGGACCGTATCTCCAGAATTTCTCCTAACCCTCCCAGTGTACTCCCCTGCAATCCTTTCTTTTTTTCTCCAAATCCCCCACCCCCCACCAGAAATGACTTTACCCCTGTGCCACTTATTTTGGCCTGGAGCACTAAGGAGCCATACTACACCCAATGCCAGAGGTGGAACAGAAATGAGGTTTGAAATGGGAACCAGAAGCTAATCTGTGGGAAATTCTTTTACTCCTCAGACGTGTAAAGATGTGTTGGAGACTCTCGTAAATATGTATTCAGTAATGCAGCATATACAGTGATCACCATGTATTCATTTTTTATGGGAATCAACAATTCAGAATGATCAAAAATCCCTGTGTGTAGAGACATGAATCTATAGGAATATCACACATAGTGAGCACAACTGTGAGTGAAATCCCATGTTTCATGCATCCCAGCAGTCCCAAAGGGAGCCTCCAAATGTGTACGGGATTCAGACTCCATGTAACCTGCATCTGTCTATGCACTAGCTATGTGAGCTGTTACCTCAGTCTTGATGAGGTTACTCAGGAAGTCTGGGATCTTGATTTTTGCCGGTCACTGATCACCTGGCTACAGGAAAGGAGACCTAAATCCAGAACTTAAATTTATGAACACCAGGTCTGTAGGCACTAGACCTCAGAAGTAGGTGAGTAGGTGGCTATTGGTTGGTCCCTTCTGGAGTGAGGCAGAGATACCTATGCCATATGCAACATAAAAGGTTGCCTGAGCCCCTCAGCCTGAGGTAGAGTAAGGAGGGAGAGGTGGAGAGGGACTTTCTTCTCAGACCAGGGAAATCAGAAGCCATCAGATGCCTTCAGTAGGGAATCCAGCACAAAGAGGATCATAAGTCATCTCCCCACTTCTCTATAGTCATCATAGACGTAATTGCTAACCTACCCTTCCTTGGTGCTCTGGTTAGTAGAGTGAAGTTGAGATAATATAAATGAAAAAACTGAGCAGAAAGGGAGTGAGGATACGGGGCCTCTTCAGTTTGCCTTATGGGCTTCCCACTCTAAATAGATGAGGTACACAACATTCTGGCAGTATCACACTAGGGCCAGAGTTGGTAGCTCACAGATGTACGATAGAGGATGGAAGGAGTATGCCTCTCAGGCAGGCAAGTTTAGCCTGGTAGACAGAGGATGTGGCTTAAAAGTCACTGCCTACAAGACCAGTGCATGCAAGTGAGTCCCTGCTGCTGCTTGGATCAGAGGAGGTGAGGCAGAAGGCTGATGAAAACCCACCAACTGATGGTCAGTCCGAGAAGCAGTCAAGATGGAGAACTGCAAAATTAACAGCTTAAGTTTTCCAGGAGTCTCAGTGCCCAATGTCAGGTCTACCAGGGATGTCCAGCCCCTCTGGTCAGAGCCCCAGGAGCCTTGTCTGAATGTGGATCCCCTCTGCTTATTCAAAGAGACCTGGGAAGCTGAGCCAGGAACCTGGATAATGACCAGAAAGTCACCCAGACACCTGAGAAATGCCTCCCTTATATCCAAGAGATCCCTGTGTGTAGAACACATGAATCTATTGGAATATCACACACAGTGAGCAGACTCTTCTTACACTTACTAAACTCTCTTCGTAGATTTACTAAATTTTTCACCAGTGACTCAATGGAGCGAAACCAGGTCCCAGACTCGATTTAAAAAAAAAAACCACACACACACACACACAAAAAGTTCTTTAGGTGAGCATGTATGCATGTGTAAATGGTACTATACAATGGTATGATTGGATAGTCAAAGGAATATCTAACCCAAGTGTACATAAGGAGTAAATTTGGAGTCAGAGGAAGTTGGTCATTGTAGGAAAGTAACTGCTGCAAGAAAGATTTCTTAGAATGTAACTGTCTAATATGAGGCATTTATGCCTCTTTTCCTCCATGTTTCTAGTTTCTGCCTTGGGTTTGGCATTTATTGTTTATCCTGCTTCAAGTATAAGACTAGTGGTTTATTCGAGGGCCCACAACTTCCACTTCTACCCTGGCGTCACACAGATCATTTTCTCTTCTCAAGTCATTGTATTTTCACTGGTAGTAAAAGAGGATAATATCTTCATCTTCAAATAAATTAGTGGGAGGGATTCAAATTATGAGGGAAAAGAAAAATTGGTTCTTCTGCTGTAGGGAAGGGTTACTGAAAATTAAAGGACAACCTACTGAGCTGAAGAGAGCTTTGGGGTTTGGTAATTTGGGGTGTGAGGTGGATCTTCAGGAATGCCATGGGCTTCAAGACTAGTGTGTCTCTCCCTTAGTATGTTCCTCCTCAGTTTGAAAGGACTTCCTGGTAAAGGACTGAAAGAAATGTCCACTCCATCATGTCTCTGCTGACACCTAGCTTCTCTTCTCCAGTTATAAGTCCATTTTCCTACTGGGGTAACACAAGAAGGAGGAAGAATAGCTCAGGGGTCTTCCCTTCACATCTCTCCTACAAGGATTGTGAAATGTCATATGCCTCCTCCCATAGACTTAGATAGACCTAAAATTGTCAACATGTGTCCAGATAGTTGCAAAAAATATATAATTTCCAACATATTCTCCATATTAACACTTTAAAATAAAACTGTTAATCGCTCATATGTTCAATTCAATCTAAATATCATAATGTTTTGACACCCATTATCATTAATTTAAAAAATATACAAACAACCTCTTTCTTAATGGTTGGAAATTTTACATTGCTCTTTTTTCCCACTTTGAATTCATATTTTTATTCTACCCCCCATGTAGAATTTTTCTTTTTCTTTTTTTTTTTTTTTTTGAGTTCTCAACCCTGGTTACATCCTAATGTAATTTTTTTCTTTGTTCTTGGAAATCTTTTATTGAGCCACCTATTCTGCTTCTTTGCAACAAAATATGTTCTTACATTGAATTTTTAATTTCTTGTTGTAAGTGTAAAAGTTATATGGGCTGGGTGCAGTGGCCCACACCTGTACTCCCAGCACTTTGTGAGGCTGAAGCAGGAGGATTACTTGAGCCCAGGAGTTCAAGACCAGCCTAGGCACATAGGGAAACCTCATCTCTACAAAAAAAAAAAAAATTACTGGACATGGTGGCTCCTGCCTGTAGTCTCAGCTACTTGGGAGGCTGAGGTAGGAGGATCACTTGAGCCCAGGAGGTCGAGGCTGCAGTGAGCCATGATCGTGCCACTGCATGCACTCTACCCTGGATGACAGAGTAAGATGCTGTCTCAAAAAAAAGTTATATGGATTAAGATAGGATTACCAACTGTTAGAGATCAAAATAATGTCAGTACAGATTGGATATGCCTTATTTGAAATGCTTGGGACCAAAAGTGTGTTGGATTTCAGATTATCTTGGATTTTAAAATATTTGTATATACATAATGAGATATCTTGAGGCCGGGACCCAAGTCTAAGCATGAAGTTCACTTATGTTTCTTATATACATTATGCACATAGCCTGAAGGTAATTTTATACCATATTTAAAATAATTTTATATGTGAAATGAAGTTGTGTTAAGTACAGTACTTACATGTGGCATCATATTGGTGCTCAAAAAGTTTCAGATTTTGGAGCATTTCAGATTTTCTGATGAGGGATGCTCAATCTGTAATACACATTTTGGTAAATAAAAGTGTAAGTTTGTAATGGTAAAATTTAACTAGAAATGCATCTCTTAATGAGATGGATAGGGACTTTATTTTCCCAATTTCATGTTGACAAATGTTACTTATTGTTAATGAATCTGGGCTGTATATTATTTCAATTAAAAAATTTTAACATGAAAGAACTAAGGAATCTTGATCATATAAATGAATGAGAAAATAAAGACTTGTTGAGGCAACTTCACCCAATTTTTAAAATTTCTTCTTAGTCGTATGCAAAACTCACATAATGGGCTATTATTAAATAATATTTTTAATAATCTGTCAGCTGACAACTCAAGTATAAGGTTCTTCTTCAATTTTGTTGAAAGCAAAGAATTAGAAACCAATTGACTTGCAAAACTATTTTTATACATACATTAGGTTCTTTCACTTTGTTTTTAGAACTATACCAAAGACTTCACAAAGTCTTATAAAATAACTAATAATTATACCTGCTGCTCTTTCCCTTAGAGATACCTTGTTCATGAATCTCAAATTAGATAAAACTAGGGTTAAAGAAAAACAACCCCCCACACACAAAATTGGAGATCAAAAATCAATAGGTTCTTAAAAAATATCTCTTCATTTTTTATGTCATCTGGAAGTGCCTTTTAAAACTATGACACAGAGATGGTGCTGTATAGTTTACAGTTCATGTGTGTGTGTGTTTAATTTCATTATTGTACAAAATTGTTAATTTTATAATCATGCATTTGATAGATGTAAAACAGTGTGTCAGCCTCCAAGCGGGAGAAATTAATCCAAAATAAATGAAGCTGGATTTCTAAAGTTTAGAGCATCACATCCAAGATTGCATTTGGGAACATTCTGTTTTGTATCCATACACAAATGAATTTCTGTTTTTAAGAACACAATTTAATCTACTTAGTGGAAATCAACAGCAAAATGAAGAGAAGGTATTAGATAATTAATAAATATAGGTTTACAGAAATTCTATTACTGACTGCTATTATGTGCATTAATTACAGCAGAATCCACAAAACATTTCCATCAAATTAAATCTTACTCTAGGAGGTATATGATAAAAATAAATAAATGAACAGAGAAATAACAGCATACTATAAACTGTTACCCAAATAGAAAAATATATTTACACTATCCAGAAATCTTTGGTAAAAGTTAATGAAAATATTTCCCCTATTAGTTAGAAGAAGTTCAAGAAAACATACATTAAAATACCTTCAATATGTGTTTGTTTTACTCCAAGATGTGATGTTGATCTGTGAGAAATTAATTTTGAGCGTTTTGCCTCCACTGCCTTGAAATAATGCAAAATAAGCAACTGAGCTGGGGGCAGTGGCTCATCCCTATAATCCCAGTGCTTTGGGAGGCCAAGGAGGGAGGATCGCTGGAGCCTGGGTGACAGAATAAGACTCTCTCTCTCTCTCTGTGTATATATATATATATTTGCAACTGAAGCACAGATGGGACACAGGTAAGTGGGAGAACTCACCAAGCTCTTTGTTAGTATTTAGAGTGTTTCATAGAAAGTTAATATTTCTTAACTTTTTTTTTTTTTTTTTTTTTTTTTTACAAATTTAGAATATCCTAGCTCTGAGACAAAAATTGGGAACCTCAGCATGAGTTTGTCACCTGAATGAAATAAAAAAAATCACGTTGAAGGCTGGTGCAGTAACATGTGCCTGTAGTCCCAGCTACTCTGGAGGCTGAGTCAGGAGGATCACTTGAGACCAGAAGTTCAGGAATTCAAGACTGGCTTGAGCAACATAGCAAGACTTCATTTCAAAACAAACAGAAAAAAGCCACCACCTTCAGTATTTCTTGCCAAAGCAAAGGAGCCATTTGTTCTTTACGATGGTCAGGAAAGGAAGCATCAAGGTCATCAAATGAAAAATTTTCAGCATTTCAGCCTCTCTGCTCAGGGAAATATCTGAATCTAGAATATCACAACATGAGCCAAAACCGCCCCATTTCTCATGCCACATGTCACTCTTAACACAAGGTTACTCAACCTCGAGCATGGTTGGCATTTGGGGCTGAATAATTCTTTTTTGTAGGGGGCTGTCCTGGGCATTGTAGGATGCTCATGAGCTACCTCAGTCTCTACCACCCACTAGATGCCAGTAGCATTGACCCCTGATCTCTCTACCCAAGTTGTGACAACTAAAACCATCTCTGGATAATGGAGGAACCTTAAATGCATATTGCTAAGGAAAAGCCAATCTGAAAGGATTACATATTGTATGAGTCCAACTATATGGTAATCTGGAAAAGGCAAAACCATGGAGACAGTGAAAAGGTAGTGGTTACCAGTGGTCCATGGGAAGGGTTGGATGAATAGGTGGAGCACAGAGGATTTTTAAGGCAGTGAAACTATTCTGAATGATACTGTAATGGTGGATACATGTCATACCTTTGTCAAAACCAATAAAATATAACAACCAATAAAACTGCACAAAGAGTGAACCCTAATGTAAACTATGGACTTAATAATGTATCAATATTGGCTCACCAATTTTAACAAATGTACCACACTAATGCAAGATGTTACTAATAGTGGAAACTGGAGGGAAGAGGGCTTGAGGGGACATACGGGAACTCTCTGTAATTCCTGTTCAGTTTTTCTGTAACTGTTAAACTGTCCAAAAAAAGTCTGTTTTTATAAATGGAGGCATGGTTTTATATGGACTAAAATACTATGATTGCCTTTTTATTTTACACATGGTGAAATTAGAGCAGGACATATTTTAAACTCAAAATTCACAAAATTAATTTATGAAAATGTTTACCCAGATCAAGAATATTAAAGAAACTTAGATTAATATTGTTACCTTGAATTTATTTTACTGAGTAATCCTCTAAGACTCCTCTACACATTATTAATCTAGAAGGATTTTTAAAGTCTTTATGACAATTAATTATTGGTCTACAGTCAAATTGCATATCCCCATTAACTAGAGTTATATTTTTCCATTTTCTGATCCAAAAACTTTAGGAACAGGAAATGTTTATTTTAGAAAACAAGAACACTTCTTAAGCATTTGCTGTTAACAGTTATTTTCACATGTGCTTGTACTTATTTTACACTTGTCAGAACATAGTATTTACCTTTGAACCAAGGTTTTATAATAAGCAAGCACTTTTTTTATTTAGAAGTCACATTTTCCAAGTAGAAAAATCATTAAAAATTCAGTCCTCTGAAGGCTAATTTCTTTAAATCATTTAACCTAATTGTTTAAGGTATAGATTGGAATTTTTCTCAGCACTCTCTTGAAAACAGGTGACAGTGGAACCCTGTTAGGTTCACAAATCCTAGACTTTGATTATATAGCCCAGGCTCAAATTTTTCTCGAATGTTACGAACATTCAAAGCATTAGGAGTCTTGGTTTCATTTCTTAATTTTTTTTCTTCTGGGTATATTTGAGACTCATCTTGGATTCAAATAAATTAATAATAGTCTCATGAAACCGATAAAAATGGGAGCTCCATTGAACATGAGAGACATTGATTCGTAGTTTCTAACATCCTCCAAATGAGGAGCCCATCCCTAATTTAGATGCTTCTTTCAAAGGAGGCTCCTTTCCTTCGTTATCCATAATATAGTCACACCAGTCCTGAAAAAACATGGAACAGACTCCAGATCTTTATATTTCATACTCTAAAGTCGTACAAGCCAATCTGCATTTCCTCTAGTGGAAACTGTATAGCTGGTCATCTTTCCAGGACCCTTTTATCAAGAAACAATGCAGCTTCTACATTTGTGCTGCTTCTACACCAAAACAGCTGGAATGTATATAGTATGGTTCTGGATGCTCTTGTATACCTCACTCTTCATTTCTCACCTAACCCATGTGCTATGATTTGAATGTTTCTCCCCTGCAAAACTCATGTTGAAATGTAATTGCCATGATAACAGTATTAATAGGTGGAATATTTAAGAGGTGATTAGGGTGGGATTGGTGATGTTATAAAAGGGTAAGTTCAGCCCCTTCTTGCTCTCTCTGTCACCCTTCCACCTTCCTCTGTGTGATGATGCAACAAAAAAGCCCTTCCCAGATGCCAGCATCTTGATTTTGGACTTCTCAGCCTACAGAACTATAAGCCAATAAATTTCTGTTATTTGTTATTAGTCTGTGATATTCTGTTACAGTAGCACAAAATGGACTATGACACCATGTGTTTACACAGAAAGAAAAAAATATCATACGGTAATTGCTCCTAAATATGCAGAGAATATGTTCTGATATCCTTAGTGGATGCCTGAAACTGCAGATAGTACCAAACCTTATATATACTATGTTTTTTTTCCCATACATATGCATGTTAAAGTTTATAAGTTAGGCAGAGTAAGATATGAACAATAACTAATAATGAAATAGAAACGTAACGATGTGCTGTAATAAAAGTTATGTGACTGACGCCTCTTTTTCTTCCTCTTTCTTTCAAAATATCTTAATATTTTCAAGCCATGGATAACTGAAACTGCAGAAAGTGAAACTGTAGATAAACTATTAACTCTATTTAAACAATAAAAGAATTATAATTATATTCTTGGGAAAATTAACAATTATCCAAAGTCCCTTTGCAAAGGGAAAAAAAATGCATGTATTGGAAAAAATCTCAACCACAGGGTTCCCTAAGCTTTGCAAACAACAAATAGCATCCACCTATCCATCCTCAGAGAGCAACAGTTTTACTGTTATTTAGAAAAAGCAACTATTTCAGGCTGCAGGTTGTGCACATCAGCACTTCCCAGCTCTCTACTAATATGGGAAAACTGACTATCCCTGACTTCAGTTTTTGTGAAGCTAAATGCCTGACTAGAGTTTAAACTGAGGCTAATTGGAGATCATAAAATTTTACAGCTTGCTAGAGGTGGACCACAATTTTGATTGGAAACTTTCCACCAACCAATTCTAAAAGGTGTTAATGGTGACTATTTTCTAAAACAAATCTGAAGAGTAACTAATATGATAAGACCAGAAATATATTTCTCTGGCAAGTCCCTATAAAAAGAAAGCTAGGTAATTAAATAATCTCTCAACAATATTGTTTTAGGAAACCCAATAGAGAGTTTCACAGGCCTGTTTCTTATGGGATTGCTCAATGTAGGTAAATATTATCAAACCAAAAAGTAATTTTGTAACAGAAATTCTACAGAGCCCCAATACCTTACAGAATGATGAGTACAACAGTAGAAACAAATAGAAGATAACCTAGAAAAATAAAGCGAATAACTTAATGGCGTGAGTTAGGTTAAGAAAAGCTTCCTGGAAAAAGACATCTGAATAGAATTTTAGTAGATATAGCTAGGAATTCCCAAGCAGGTAGAAGAAGGGGGACATTCCAGGCAAAGGAATCATGTGAATGCAAAGGTAGGGAGTCATGAATCAATATGTTCGGTTTTTTTGTTGTTTTTGTTTTATAAAGAGCTATAATAGGCTGGGCACAGTGGCTGTAATCCCAGCACTTTGGGAGGCTGAAGCAGGTGGATCACTTGAGCCCAGGAGTTCGAGACCAGCCTGGGCAACATGGCAAAACACTGTCTCTACAAAAACAAAAAAAATTATCCCTGTTCAGTGGTGTGCGCCTGTGGTCCCGGCTACCTGGGAGGCTGAGGCGAGAGGAGTGCTCAAGGTGGGAGGTGG
Organism: Homo sapiens; assembly: GCF_000001405.40. NCBI lineage: Eukaryota > Metazoa > Chordata > Mammalia > Primates > Hominidae > Homo > Homo sapiens. The sequence continues at coordinate 4,099,271 of NT_167248.2, forward strand.
AGATTACAGTGAGCAGAGATCACACCACTGCACTCCAGCCTGAGCGACAGAGAGACTCTGTCTAAAAAAAAAAAAAAAAAGCTATAATAAGATCAGCTTACTAGACAATACAGTGAAATGGGGGAAGCTAGAGAAGAGAGGTGGGCAGTGGCCTCTTATGCTACGTAAGAGATTTGACATCATAAAGTAAGTTGCCAGAGTTCTGAATGAGGGCATTAGAAATAGTAATGAACAGGAAAGCATACACTTAAGAGCTGTCTGCTGTCTGGGAGGTGGAATTTACACTGAGTACTGAGTAATAGAATGAAGGGGTTGAGGGAAAGGTAAGAATCTAGGGTGAGTGTAAATCTTCTGGTTCAGGGGATAAACAACAGGAAGTCATTGAAATCTATTGGCCTATCCGCATTTTGAAATTATTTTTACTCATGTAAGATTCTGTAACATTATATGGTCATTAGGAAATATCTGTTTACTGAATTATGGAGGTATTCGAAATGTTCAAACATTTCATGCAATATCAAAAACTCAAACTGGCTGCAGTGGCTTATGCCTGTAATCCCAGCACATTGGGAGACCAAGGCAGGAGTACTGTCTGAGCCCAGGAGTTCAAGACCAGCCTGGGCAACATGGCAAGACCCCATCTCTACAAAATTTTTTTAAATTTGCCAAGAGTGGAGTGCACATCTGTGGTCTCAGCTACTTGGAAAGCTGAGGCAGGAGGATCACTTGAGCCCATAAGGTTGAGAGCTGCATTCAGTGAGCCCTGTTCATGCCACTGCAATCCAGCCTTAACAACAGAGCAAGACCCTGTCTCAAAAAAATATTATATTCATTAATGTTGCTGCTGATATCAGAAAAAATTCTAAGTATCCCACAGTAGCAGATACAAGCTTTTCAAAATTCCAACTTCTACTTTTAAAAGCTTAAATTTTAGCACTGGCAACAAATACAACTAGTTGTTTTCCCTAAAGTGATAGTATCACTGTTTATTTTCAAGAAAATGTCTGCCAAATTCCCAAGTCTGAATAATCAATTTTCTGTCACTTTTTTTTTCCAAGTGAAAAGATGGTGTTTCCATGAAAGAAAAGAAAAAGTGGCTAATTCAGCTTGCAACTCAAACAAGTGTTTTTCCAAAAGACAACTATATTTCAGCATGCAGTAGAAGTGTTTTATGGGTACATCACATTGTGTCACAAAGAATTTTTTTAAATGTGCTTAAGGGTTGAGATTTAGTAGAAAATAATTTTTACAACTTCATCAAGGACATTATTTTAGTAAAACTGTTTTTTTTTTACTACGAATGTGTGGTGGTGAAGAATACAATGACTACTAATAAAATTTGGTGCCATTGCCTTAATTCGTGCTAAGACACCAGTCATTTTACCCACCATTGGATAAAATCCACCATTTTTGCACCATCAGTGCAAATGTTAACACAGTTAACACAGTTGTTGAGGATAAACCACCAGATTCAAAAAAGTCATATAACACTTTTAATGTTTCAGAACCCCTGTTGCCCAGAATTCACATAAAAGAAGATCATCAATGGTCAATTGATGCTGATACCTGATGAATGAAAGCAAAACAGGATGTATAGCCATCTGTAGATCAGTCCCTTTGTAAGGCTAAGGTACAATTCTTTAGATGATATATTAACTCAGTCTTTATGTTTGCAGTTAAATCTTTAATTTGACAAGTTATTGCATCATTGGAAAATGCCAGCACTATGCATTCTTGTGGTGATTTTTCATCCAGCAGGTATTCAGCAATGTCAACTGTTCAAGCCTTTATTAGTCTCTCTGTGATTGTGTGTGCTCCTCTAGCCAATACAATATGATGGCTTATCCTGTAAGAAGCTTTTAAAGAGTGTATTACATCTACATTTCGGTTATTTAATTCCTTTTTTTAATAAATTCTGAATGATTGGTCCCAAAATGATACTGCAACTTTGTTGGAACCATATAAGTGTTTGAAAATGTTTTACTGCACAAGACACAATATGATAAATTATTAACATCTATAAAGCTGAACAAAAGATCACTTTCAACATATTTTTGTTGTGTATAGTTGTGCTCAGTTTCTTTGGAATAGATTTCTCCTTTTTATGAGGAATCAGATAACTTGCTGATATGTCAATGTCATCCTTTTCAGCATCTCTAGACATAGGCAATCTAGACACCAGAAAATGTGTTTTCTCTTCTCCCTTTTTAAAGCCAACCATCCACCCTATTCAGATAAAATTTTTTAATTAAAAACATTTTTGAAAAATATATTATTGCAAAACAACAAAGTAAACATAATTTTTGTTATGTTTCTGTGTAAAAGGAAAAACTTTAGGATTTAAAAATGATTTCTTGGAAGATAATGAGATTACAGAGATTATAACAGGTATAACTGAAGATAGCTGGTAAGAGCATGGTAGAAAAGAAATAATTTCTGAAAACTACATACTTATACCGTAAACTCACTACCTTTGAAAACTCTAGAAAATACAATACACAGGCACACAATCTGTTAGGTATCAGAGAAATAGTCATCACTATTCATCACATGCCATTGTTGTCTTTGGCGAACCCTTCTGTACACTTATGAGAGTGAGAGTAAAAAAAAGGCAAATAACATCTTAATTTTATGAATATTTTTGACCTTGTTGACCCTCTAAAAGGATCCAAGGGATCTCTCCCTCCCAACATCCCCAGGAATCCTCTGATCACATTTTGAGAACTGTTGGATAAGTCAGTTAATATTGCAGGAACATAGGCTATCACCATGGGGAATAAATGAAACCAGATCTCTACCTCACACCATTACAAAAATAAATTTTAAATGAAATAAAAGGCTAAATGTGAAAAGGTAAAGGTTTAAAGCTTTGGGGGGGAAATGTAGAATAACTTTATTATCTCAAGGTAGATAGCCTAACAATACCACGTGCTGAAGCAGAAATGTGAAGAAATGGGAATTTGCATAGAATCTTGGTGGAAGGGTTAGTTTTCCCACTTATTTCAACTACTTATTTCACATATGCAGTGTTGTACAAATTTAAAGAGACAAGAATCCTACAGACAAGCAATTCTATGTTTATATGCCCTAGAGACCTGAAGACATTCTCAAATACAAAAACAAAGAAGTATGCATAAGGATGTTCATTGCAGGTTTGCTTATAATTGGTGGAAAGTCAGGGGATGCCCATCAGTGCATAAAAAAGTAAATAAAATTGTGTTGCCTTTCTACAATAAATTGTGCAACCATTAAAATAAACTAAATGTCCATATTTCACAAGGACAATTCTCACAACATAATAACAAATGATATGCACTAACTTTAAACTAGTAATTGCATCTGGTGAGGGAAAAGAAAGGTGGACCTGAAGTCAGGTGCAAACAGCACAACTGTATTTGAGTAGTGGTTGCATGACTGTTGTTCCATGTATTTTCTGTATGTTACAAATATTTACTATTAATTATAACAACATAAGATGTACTCTAACTCCTTCATGCTGCTAATTATAGAATATCTACTTTGTTGACTAAACCCTTTAGCATATATATATATATATATATATATATATATATATATATATATAGCCTATTTCTGTTAATGGTTCTTTGGATAAATAACAGTTGACTTTGTTCCTCTGCTTGGTATTTTAAAAAACCTATTAGTTTACAAATCTCTTACTAATTTTAGTTTTAATATTTGTATTGTTAAGTATTTTAAACACACAGAAAGGCAAATAAACCCCCATTACCCAAACACCCAGCTTTATTAAATCTTAGTATTTTGTCCTATTTGTTTCAATGGTTTTTTTAATAAATCAGTGACTACAATAAAATTGATACCTCTGAATCCTTCCATTTTCTTTTCACTGCCCCCAGATATAACCACCAATGTGAAGTCAGTTTTATCATTGCTATGCATGTTTTTAATATTTTTACTAAATGTTTATGAATTCTTAAACATTATGAAGCATTATGTTATAGAGTTTTTAAGTTTTATAAAATATTATCTAATACTGTTACTTTAAGAAAACCTGCAGTAACCCCTTCTGAAAAAGATTAATCACACGTAATTTGTTACATATTAAAATAACTGCTCCTAAATAGTGATGTGGCCTTGGGCAAGCTCTTTCAAGTTTCTGTGAGCTCCAGCTTTTCCTTATCTGTGTGGTAAAAGAATATGAGACTATGTCTGCGCTCTCTTTCAGATTATAAGTCTCTATAAATTATTCAACTCAAATGTCCCCATGGGTTTACTTAAAGGATAGTTTTGTCCACTTATGAACAACTGTGTTTCATCAAAATCAGAATTTACTGAATGTTCATTCATTTTAACTTTTTTAAGTGGTTTGTCACAGAATTCCTTTCAATGCTGAGATTTTCAAATATATTGCAACCATCGAGAGGACATTCTTGAATATTCACTATAAGCCTGATGCTATGCGAGGTGCCAGAGATACAAGAGGGAACTTGACAGGTACAGTCTGTCTCCCACAAAGCTTATGGCTGAGTTTTTAAAATGTAATTCAAGCTTTTCAGGAATACAGTCAATCCATAAAGCAATAGGGAGAAACATTTCCAATATCAAGAGGCACTGATGAATGAATGTGTGAATAACTAAATTTTGTAACTTTTTTTGTAGACATAAAAATAAGCATTCACTGTGTCATCCTTAAATAAAATCATTGGCAGAGTGTAGCCTATAAATGTCTGGAAATACCTCACCAAAGGCTAGAAGACATTTTGCCAGAAGGAAGTAATGTTTACATTTCTATATTTTGTTTCTTTTTCCTCTACATATGCATTTTGTCCTATGTCTATGTCTCCTTCTTAATAGGCTTTGACATGAACCCAAAGCAAATGTTTCCTATTATTTTATCTATTTATTGAATATACATTGTTTTCTGAATGCTATTCCTTTCATTTACCAGTTCTAGTAGTCTGGGTTTGCTCTTATTTCTCTTTACTCTAAAATGGTTTTTTTAATCTGTAACACAGAACTTAGTGCTTGGTTATATATAGGTAGGCATTGTTTTCTAAAAACACTGGTTTACAAAATGGAATGTGCACACTACAGGGAATGTGCAAATGATCCTTGAGGATACAGGAAGGAAGTGTTAAAGTTTCTATTTATTTTGGTAACTTATAAACTTTCTATTTGTTACAGTGTGAGTTCTGGTGTATATAGTCAAGCCATATGCTAGTACATGGGATAATGTATAAATAAACATGTAAGTGTCGATAAGTACTCAACTCTTTTTTACTGAGAGGGCTTTAGGCTTTTTTTTTTTTTAAGTTTCAATACCACAGTTCAAATGTGTGTGTTGGTCTTATCTATGTAATTGTTTTGTGTGCTCTTTCAGGGAGTGGTGGTGTCTTGTGTCTCTTACTCTGTCCAAAGGACCTTGTATGTATAAATGCGAATAAATATTTATTGAACTCCACTAATAAATGATTCCATTCTTCAGACCATCAAACTAAGGACTACGCTTTGAACATGCTTTGGAAACATTTTCATTAAAGCCAAAATGTCTCAGAAATGTTTAATTAAAAAATAAAATTGGCCGGGCGCAGTGGCTCACGCCTGTAATCCCAGCACTTTGGGAGACCGAGGCTGGCAGATCACAAGGTCAGGAGTTTGGGACCAGCCTGGCCAATATGGTGAAACCCCGTCTCTACTAAAAATACAAAAATTAGCCAGGCATAGTGGCAGGCGCCTGTAGTCCCAGCTACTCGAGAGGCTGAGGCAGGAGAATCGCTTGAACCCAGGAGGTGGAGGTTGCAGTGAGCCGAGATCACACCACTGCACTCCAGCCTGGGAAACAGAGTGAGGCTCTGTCTCAAACAAAATAAATAAATAAAATTAAAAGGGAAGACAAAGATATTTTTCTTTGTACCAGTAGAAGGAAGATTTAATGAAAAATAAACTGCAATAGTAAATTTAGAAGTAATACTGAAAGAGCAACTGGGAAGTCTTAGATGAAGTTGTCACCAGCTTCTTCAAAGCAATGAAATATCCAGTTGTCCCATTTAATTCTCATTTGGTATAATTTTTCATTGATAAGAATAATTCATAATTAACCAGCTTACATATGCTTCTTAAATTTTAGTGTACATAAGAATTGCTAAGAAGTAGGCTTAAATGCAAATTCTCAGGCTCCAGCCCAGGGATCCTAATTCAGCAGTTCTAGAGGTTATTCAGAAATCTGCATTTTCATGAAGTACCCTGGATGATTCTAATGGATGTTGTCTGTAACACAACTTTCAGATAAATGTCCTGTATAAGCATATTCTATCTTGCCATTAGCCATGAGAATTTGATTAAAGAAACAAATCTAAGAACCCAACTACTAGTCTATTACTCCAACCATTCCTTCTTGCCAACTGTGATCAGAAGTATGAAAAAAACAGCCCATGTTCTTCCTTAGAGGAAGACCATATCCCAACTGTGAAATGGTCCAGACATCTTGGAACTGAATATGGATTGTGATCCTGATACCCCCAACCCTCACTGCTCTTCATATACCAGCTGAGCATTTCATAATATTTATTCGATAAACCTTTCCTTGGTCCTGAGCCTCCTTGCTTCCCGACCTACTCCATGTAGCCTGGCTACTCTTATTTCCATGAGGTGGGCTGTCTTCTGGCCCTCCCATCATCCCCAACAGATGTGAACATGAGGGACCTTGGAGCAGGGGTAGATACTCCAGTGCAAAAATAGTGGACACTCACCTCTTCTAAGACCTTTTATCAATCATTCTCTAAACACCTCTCAAACATGTCCTTCCCTTGTATTTCCTCTTTCAGTGGATTAAACCACTGTCCACTCAACTGTCTGAGTGAGAAGATTGGATTCAGTGAGTTTTCAGGTCCTACCAAGTCTATTTCAAAGTGTCATTTCAATGATTTTATTTCCTTTGCTTCTAAATAGTGGCATACATGGATATCAAGTACTGTAGTGGGTTCAAAATTGGAGAAATGGATTTTGAAGTCATCTTTTTGCAGGTACAAGAGAAGCCATATTGAGTCAGTCAGAGAAGAGAAGACAGGAAAAGTAGAATAAAATCTTTAGAATATTCAAAGCATTACACAAATGTAATGTTTTATTATTAACTGTGACTTCATTTTGGTTCCAATTCTGTCCAGAGAAATTTGAATGCTGGAGTTTTGGGAATTTTAAGGCTTTGAGCAAGGAACATTTTATGATCCTCTGCTTACCACTTGTTTATTTACAACAGAATTTCAGCAATGAAGAGAAAGTTATTTTTGTAGGAAAAAAAATCCTACAATGCTTACTTCATACAAATTAGTTGTGCCTTGGGTTCAGATTAACATACACACTCAAAAGACTTGGTGGGCTGTTATACGGCAACTTATTTATTTAGCTTTGTAGAGGAATATTGGATATGGAAACATAGCTTGTCAGCCTGACAGCATTAGACATCTTCATCAGGAGTCTTTATGTATTCTAGATGCTGATTCTTAACCCTCTCATCTCATGGGAATATGCATGGTCATAGTAGACAAGACCACAGGAGTAGGGGAGAGGCACGGGGGAGCCATTCTAGGATGGAAGAATCTCTCACATGACAGGAACCACATCTTATACCAACCCATGAGTGAGGATTCCAAGAAAACAGGCATATTCGGATTCAAGAAACACACCATAACAGAGTCCAGGGCCTACATTTCCCAACAGGTTTTCATACGGGTCTGGTCATATAGGTCCACCAAGTCTAAATGCCTGCCCGCAGTCTGCCCAGCATAGATGTAGTTCACCAACCAGGGGTCATTTCCACACTTATAAATAAATAAATAAATAAATAAATGTGATTTTTTAAAATACAGCTGACATTTCACATTTATCCAAACAGTACATTTCAAAGAAACAGTAAGTATAAGGTAAACTGGAGTTCATCTTCCCATGGGAAAAAAGAGCTTAAAACTGTTGTTAACCCTTTGACCTACCAACAAACATTGCTTACTCCCACTCAAGAGCTCATTCCAGTTAGGACACAACCTGGTGACAGCCCTTCCTGGTAGCAACTACTGAGCATTGCAAGGAGAAGAAATTGGGATGGGTGCCTATAAAGAGAAAAACTCTCTTTTTAACCTTCAAATCTAAAGAAAATCAATCCAACAAGCATTTGCTGCAAACCTAGTGCCAAGCACTGCCACATAGGAAGATGCATCTGCCATCTGTCAAGACAGACTGAGGGAGGAATGGGGGTAGAGACCAATTAGAAAACAGGAAAAAACGAGACCAGCTGGGGACAGCTGCAGCAAAGCACCCTGAGGATACTAAACACCCTCAGTATTTAGCTAGGATGGCCTAAAAGAGCTAATCTGAAAGAATTCATAAATCATATGGATGCTTCTATTATAAATTAGAGGAAAGGCAGATTTATACATCATGAAGCCTATAAGGTAAATATTATCTAGTAGTATGAACATAGCTTCACCACACAGCCTCCTAAAAATCTATGGATACTTTCCTGAAAGTACCCCTGAAGGCATTCCTCCTGGATTCTGTGAAGTAAATTAGCCCTCAAGGTGTACCCAGCAAGGGCTCAATAGAGTGCACAATAAATGCTCAACACACATCTATCTTCCTCCCCTCCCACTATCCAAGCTTCATGCCTACCTCATGAATCTCCAAGTTCCTTTCTCTCCTGTCCCTGGAGCATAGATGAATCAGAATCCCTGCTTGCCACCCCATTGGACACCTTGAAAAGAGACCCTTGGAATGGCTATGACAACACATCAGTCCTGGCTACGAGTGTAAGACCCTGGGCATCAGGAAGCCTCAGGCCATGAGCTATTGAATGTCGCTTGTCACTTTGCCCTTTGAGGACCAGAAATAAAGCTTCCAGTTCCTGTGAAATGGCAAATAGGTAGGTTCAGGCTTCCAGCTCCCTCACCCAAAATTAATTTTTGTAAAGGTAGAGAAGCAAAAGGAAGCAAGGATCTGGGGAGCTGGCAACACCAGAAATAAGTATAAAGTGTTTTTATATTTGCCAGGAGAGACAGAACTGCTGTCTTGAGCTGGTGTGCGTAGAGAATGGGCAGGGCTGCATCCTGGGAGATAAGCCACAGTGGGAGAACAGGCTGCAGGAAGACTTTTTAATTTCTGCACTATGTCCTTCCCAATCGGCTTGGGACAATTGTTGCCTCCCCTTCATACATAAACAGGCTGCAACAGGCCAGGCTACTTGTATCTTCAAGGTAAATCAGTAGGGAACAGATGAAACTAGGGGTGAGCTTTTGGGTATTCTCTTCTCCACTACTCACGACCACTGCCCCAACTCCCAGCGCTGGTGAATCCCAACGTGGAGCACCTGCCTACTCCCAACTGTGCTTTTCCTAGGAGTTGCCTGAAAGAGTAGTGGCAAATGGGGAGATCCACAGTGTTTCTGGGCTCTCTACCAGGGCTGGATCTGGAGGGACACAGACCAGTATTTGACTTTATCTCTTCCCCATTACACATTACCCCACAGACTAGCTGGTGCCCTCCTGGAGACGTGAGCTCACAGATCAACATAATGATATGGCTAAGGAACAAAAAAATTGCAAAACATAGACAACAAATTAACACCATATACTATCTAATGCAGAATTGTGAAGAAGATGAACCAAGAACTTGAAACAAAATGGCAAATATACTTAAGATAATAGAAGATACCAGCAACATAAAGCAAAACCAGTAACTCACAAAAACAAAGACAGAATATTAGATGTTAAAACTATAACAGTAGAAGTTGTAAATACTATAGATTAGACAAGTACCAGGATAAATATAGCTGAAGAATAATTTGTGAGGTAAAAGATAAGATGAAAGATAATCCCAGAAGACAGTAGGAAAGAATAAAGACATCAAAAATATAAAAGAAAGTTCAGCAAAATGTATGCTAGAAATAGAAGTATCAACATCTGAATCATAAGAGAACTCACAGTGAGAGGAAAAAAATATATACGTGAGAAAATAATGACTAATAAATTTACAATTTTTTTTTAATTATGAAAGACCTCAGAGAAAAGGGTTCAAAGGATACTTAACAGGAGCTTCAGAAAAATCCACACCTATGCTCGTTATATTGAGACAAATAAATATTTTTAAAACTTAGAAAGAAGAGTTTATCAACTGGGCACAGTGGCTCACGCCTATAATCCCAGCACTTTGGGACTTTGGGAGGTAGAGGCGGGTGGATCACTTGCGGACAGGAGTTCGAGACCAGCCTGGCCAATATGGTGAAACCCTGTGTCTACTAAAAATACAAAAATTAGCCCCGCCTGGTGGCGTGTGCCTGTAGTCCCAGCTACTCGGGAGGCTGAGGCAAACCCGGGAGGTGGAGGTTCCAGTGGGTGACAGAGTGATACCCTATCAGAAAAAAAAAAAAAAAAAAGAACAGTTTACAAAGGAGTAAGATCAGATTGATGTCAGACTTTTCAACAGCAATGAATGCAAGAATAAAATAAAATAATATTTTTATAGTAGTGAAGGAAAATAAACTGGAGTTTAGAACTTTATATGTATCAAAATTGCTATTCAAGTGAGATGGCATAACAAATTTATTATCATGCAAAGAATCCAAAGGCTCATATTTAAAACACTCTTGGACGTGGTAAAAAAAAAAAAAAAAAAACACTCTTAGAGGAAGTACACAAAAAGAGAATCAAATCAAGAAATTTACAACAAATATAAGGGTGATTTGTCAACAAATCCAGGACCATATTTTTAAAAGAGGGTAAATGAATGTGTGTGTGTGTAATATCTACTTGGTAGGAGAATTGGCATTAGAGGGAGGGAAGTAGAAAATCAAAAGAACATAAGAGTATGCTAAAGAACTTAGGAGGCAAGATATAAATATTAAGGTAGTTAAGACATTTTAAAAGGTAAATGCTCACTGTGTTAAATTAAAGGCAACCACCATAAGAACAGAATCAGTATGTATAACTTTTAATACAGCAGAAAAAAATCAGTCTATCAAATGGAAAGCAAGAAAAGGGAAGAAACATTGTACAATAAAAACAGAATGTGAAATGAGTTGCAAAAGTAAATCTTTACTTCAGCAGTTACCAATAAAAGAACAAAGGCTCTAATAATGGAGGAAAAAGGGAACCAAATCATGTGTGATTTATAACAAATACTCTTTTTTAACTTTTAAGTTCAGGGGTAAATGTGCAGGTTTGTTTCATAGGTAAACTTGTGTCAGGGAGGTTTGTTGTACAGATTATTTCATTACCCAGGTATTAAGCCTAGTATACATTAGTTATTTTTCCTGATCCTCTCCCTCCTCCCACCTCCACCCTCCAATAGGCCCATGTGTGCAGTTCCCCTCTGTGTGTCCATGTGTTTTCACAATTTACCTCCCACTTATAAGTCAAAACATCTGGCATTTGATTTTCTCTTCCTACATTATTTTGCCAAGGATAATGGCCTCCAGCTCCATCCATGTCCCTGCAGAGGACATGATCTCATTCTTATTTATATCTGCATAGTATTCCATGGTGTATGTGTATCACGTTTTCTTTATCCAGTCTATCATTAGTGGGCATTTAGGTTGATTCCAAGTCTTTGATATTGTGAATAGTGCTACAGTGAACATATGTGTTCATGTGTCTTTATAATAGAATGATTTATATTCCTTTGTGTATGTTCCCAGTAATGGGATTGCTGGGTCAAATGGTATTTCTGTCTTTGGGTCTTTGAGGAATTGCCACACTGTCTTCCACAATGGTTGAACTAATTTACACTCCCACCAACGGTGTAAAAACGTTCATTTTTCTCCATAACCTAGCCAGCATCTGTTATTTTTTGACTTTGTAATAGTAGCCATTCTGACTGATGTGAGATGGTATCTCATTGTGGTTTTGACTTTCATTTCTCTAATGATCAGTGATGTTGAGCTTTTTTTCATATACGTGTTGGCTGCATGTATGTCTTCTTCTGAAAAGTGTTCATGTCCTTTGCCCACTTTTTAATGGTTTTTTTTTCTTGTAAATTTATTTAAGGTCCTTATAGATGCTGGATATTATACCTTTGTTGGATGCATAGTTTGCAAAATTTTCTCCCATTCTGTAGGTTGTCTGTCCACTCTGTTGATAGTTTCCTTTTTAGTGCAGAAGCTCTTTAGTTTAACTAGATCCTGTTGGTCAGTTTTGCTTTTGTTGCAATTGTTTTTGGCATCTTTGTCATGAAATCTTTGCCAGTATATCCTGAATGGTATTGCCTAGGTTGTCTTCCAGGATTTTTATAATTTTGAGTTTTATATTTAAGTCTTTAATCCATCTTGAGTTAAGGTGGATGGTGTAAGGAAGGGATGCAGTTTCAATCTTCTGCATATGGCTACCCAGTTTTCCCAGCACCATTTATTGAATAGAAAATACTTTCCCCATTGCTTGTTTTTGTCAGATTTGTTGAAGATCAGACAGTCATAGGTGTAGTTTTATTTCTGTGTTCTTTATTCTGTTCCATTGGTCTATGTGTCTGTTCTTGTACCAGTGCCATGTTGTTTTGGTTACTATAGCCCTGTATAGTTTGAAGTTGGGTAGTGTGATACTGCTAACGTTGTTCTTTTTGCTTCAGATTGCCTTGGCTATTCTGGCCCTTTTTTGTTTCACATGCATTTTTAAATAGTTTTTCTAGCTCTGGCCGGGCACGGTGCCTCAGGCCTGTAATCCCACCACTTTGGGAGGCCGAGGCAGGGGGAATCACTTGAGGCCAGGAGTTTGAGACCAGCCTGGCCAACATGGCGAAACCATGTCTCTACTAAAAATACAAAATTAGCTGGGCATGGTGGCGCATGCCTGTAATATCCCAGCTACTCGGGAGACTGAGGCAGGAGAATCGCTTGAACCTGGGAGACAGAGGTTGTGGTAAGCCGAGATCGCACCATTGCACACTAGCCTGGGCAACAAGAGCAAAAACTCCGTCTCAAAAAAATAATAATAATAATAATAGTTTTTCTAGCTCTGTGAAGTATCTCAATGGTAGTTTAATAAGAAGAGTATTGAATCTATAAATTGTTTTGGGCAGTATGGCCATTTTAATGATATTGATTCCTCTTATCCATGAGCATGAGATGTTTTTCCATTTGTTTGTGTCATCTCTGATTTCTTTGAACGGTGGTTTGTAGTTCTCCTTGTAGATATCTTTCACCTCCCCAGTTAGCTATATTCCTAGGTATTTTATTTTTTTTGTGACAATTGTGAACGGGAGTTCATTCCTGATTTGGCTCTCAGCTTGACTGTTGTTTGGTGTATAGGAATACTAGTAATTTTTGCACATTCATTTTGTATTCTGATATTTTGCTGAAGTTGTTTATCAGCTTAAGAAGCTTTTGGGCTGAGACAATGGGGTTTTCTAGATATAGGATCATGTCATCTACAAACAGGGATAGTTTATCTTTCTCTCTTCCTATTTGGACGTCTTTATTTGTTTCTTTTGCCCAATTGCCCCAGCCAGGACTTCCAACGCTATGTTGAGTAGGAGTGGTGAGAGAGGGCATCCTTGTCTTGTGCTGGTTTTTAAGGGGAATGCTTCCACCTTTTGCTCATTCAGCAAGATGTTGGCTGTGGGTTTGTCATATATGGCTCTTATTATTTTTGAGGTATATTCCTTCAATACCTAGTTTATTGAAAGTTTTTAATATGAATGCATATGGCAAATCCTCTTAAAGCAGAAAGATATGTAAAGATTGAAATTTAAAAACAGGGAAAAAAGATTTACCTGGTGGCAAATATGACACAAAAGAAAGTTGGGCAACAGTCTCAATATGTAACAAAATAGAATTGATTTTTTTTTGGGAGGGGGACAGAGTCTTCCTCTGTCTCCCAGGCTGGAGTGCAATGGCACAATCTCGGCTCACTGCAACCTCTGCCTCCTGGGTTCAAGTGATTCGCCTGTCTCAGCCTCCCGAGTAGCTGGGATTACAGGTGTGCCACCATGCCCAGCTAATTTTTTGTATTTTTAGTAGAAACAGGGTTTCACCATGCTAGCCAGGCTGGTCTTGAACTTCTGACCTCAGGTGATATACCCGCCTCAGCCTCCCAAAGTGCTAGGATTACAGGCATGAGCTACCGTGCCCGGCCTATGCACTTTATTTATTTATTTATTTATTTATTTATTTATTTATTTATTTATTTTTGAGACAGAGTTTCACTCTTGTTGCCCAGGCTGGAGTGCAATGGTGCGATCCCGGTACACTGCAGCCTCTGCCTCCTGGATTCAACCGATTCTCCCTACTCAGCCTCCCGAGTAGCTGGGATTACAGGCATGTGCCACCATGCTCGGCTACTTTTGTATTTTTAGTAGAGTTGGGGTTTCATCATGTTGGTTAGGCTGGTCTTGAACTCCTGACCTCAGGTGATCCACCTGCCTCAGCCTCCCAAAGTGCTAAGATTACAAGCGTGAGCCACGACGTCCAGCCTGCACTTTATTTTTAACCTTAAATTCTATTTTGGGCCAGGTGCAGTGGTTCATGCCTGTAATCCCAGCATTTCGGGAGGCTGAGGAGGACGGATTACCTGAGGTCAGGAGTTCGAGATCAGCCTGGCTAACATGGTGAAACGCCATCTCTACTAAAAATACAAAAAGATTAGCCGGTCATGGTGGCACGCACCTGTAATCCCAGCTACTCGGGAGGCTGAGGCAGAAGAATCGCTTGAACCTGGGAGATGGAGGTTGCAGTGAGCCAAGACTGTGCCACTGCACTCCAGCCTGGGCAATAAGAACGAAACTCCATCTCAAAAAAAAATAAAAATAAAAAAAATAAAGTGCATAAAGGACAAAAGAAAAGATGTTCATATAACTTTTAAAGAAACAAGAAGATATAGTAATCATAAATATATATAAACTCAACAATACAGCCTCACAATTTATAAAGCAACAAGTGAAAGAACTACAGTTAGAAGTTGAGTTTTTTAAAAATACATTTGATGATTTTTACAAACCCTCTCTCAAAAACTGGTAGATAAACTAGACCAAAAAGAAAAAAAAAAAAAAAGCAGAGTTCTTGAAGGGCAAAATAATAAAATTATATAAGTTCAAGCTAATTAATAAAACCTGAATAAATAAGAAACTGATAGACTCTCTCACATTAAAAATGACCAAAGAGACATGAAAACTTACTGAAATGCTTGATTCTGGATTGCAGGACAAGAGACTGGGAGTGGCTGGAGTTATAAGGTTCTTTATTGGGAAAACTGGTAAAATTTGAATATGTACTGTGGATTAGCTAATATTATATCCAAGTTAAATTTTCTTAATATGACTGTTTTTCTGTGTTTATGTAAGAGAACAGCCTTGTTCTTAGGAAATACATTGAAATATTTAGCAGGAAAGGGGCATGTGTGTATGTAACTCCAGACTTCCTAACCATTTTAGAGTAAACCATTTTTTCTCTCTAATGTTTTTTCATAACCATTTTAGAGTAAGTCCCTAAAATGGACTTAGGAATATTAATGTTTTTTAGGAAAAAAACAGAGAGGGAAGCAGAGACAGAGAGAAAAAGAAAGCAAATATGACAAAATGTTGCAAATCATTGAATTTGGACAAGTGTACGTAAGAATTCTTTGTACTACTCTTCTAAAATTACTTCAAAATAAAAAGTTTTTAAATGTCACAAGTAACCTGTGAGTTAAAAGAAAAATATAAAGAATATGTAGAATTAAATAAAAATTAAAACACTGCATATCAAAATGTGTTAGATATGATTAAAGCAGAACTTAGAAGGAAATTTTTTACCTTTAAATACACTTACTAGGAAACACAAAAAAAGACCAAAATCAATAAGCTGAGTGTTCAACTCAAACGCTAGGTAAAGAGGAAGAGAATACACCCAAAGGAGGAAGGAAATAGTAAAGATAGTCATAAATGAAATAGAGAACTAAAAACAATAAAATAGATGAACAAAAACAAAAGCTGCCCTTTGAAAAGACATTTCTATTTATTATTCCAGGAAACAGAATGAAGAACAAAATCTGCCTAGGTTATTGTTTAGAGAAATTTTTATTACAAAAACAAACAAGGAAATACAAGAAAGGCAAGTTTTACGTCCATGCTTTATAAAAGTAAATACAACAACCCAAGTAAAATATTAACTAAATAACACCAACAGTAAATGTGTAACTATAGGATGAACAAATAGGGTTTATCCCAGGAATGCAAAGATGTTTCACATTTTAAAAATCTCTCAATATAATTCACTATATTAGGAGATTAAGAAGGAAAATACAATGAAATGAGTCAATTCTGATAAACTATTTTTTAAATGTAAAAAACCATTTATGTTTAAAAAATAAACTTTTAGAAAACCAGGAATAAAAGGAAACCTACTAATTTAGTAAAGGTTGACAGCAAAGACTTCTGGAAAAATTGAGTAGACATACTTTTTCCTATTCATCTCACTAAGTACAACTAAAAACTCTGGACATTATATATATATAAAACAAACATAAGAAGACTCTAAAAGGTGGAAATGAGAAGGCAGAACAGCTAGAATCTCAGGATCTGAGGAATGACATACTAGTGAGTTCCCTGGGCTTTCTTTTTGCCACATATATGCTGGGCTTGGAGCTGAAGAAAGTGACAATTTGGAAAGACCAACTGGCACAAACAAACAAACAAACAGAAAAAGCCCCAACAACACTTACAACAAAAGCCCTGATATCACTAGCCAAAAGACCAAGACAGAGGCAGGCAAGCCTGTCAAGCCTTAGAAAGTAACTGTTCAGTTCTAGGCAAATACCATAGCAATAACTGTGACTCTACTGCCATTCACACCAGAAAGACCAAGTGGGAGACCTAAACTTTCACCCTCTTGAAGCTGTAACAAGGTGCTCCAACATCACTCTGCAGTGGTATCCAAGAAGACCAATTAGGAAGCTAAGAATTTCATTTCTGCAAGCCAGTAATGGGGCCCCCTCTCTAAGATGTCAATGGAGATGGGGGCGGGGGGAGAACACCTGCCCAGAAATAATGAAAATGGCTAAAAGAAGTTATCTAAACAGAATGGAAATGATAAAATAGGAACCTTGGAACATCAAGGAAGAAGATAGAACAAGGTAAGCAAATAGATGGGTAAATACAATAAATTTTTCTTCTCCTCTTAAGTTTTCTAAAGTATGTTTGATGGTTGAAGCCAAAATTATAACACTGATGTGGTTCTAAATGTATGTAGAGGAAACATTTAAGACAATCGTATTTTCAGTGAGGAGGATAAAGGGATGGGACATAAATTAGGAAGGTAAGATTTTTATTATTTACTCAAAATGGTAAATGATGACTCCAGCAGACTGTGACAAGTTACATGTATATGTAATACTTAAAGCAACCACTTAAAAGTTATGCATCAATACACTCAAAAACACTGTAGATAAATAAAACTGGCGTTCTAAAAAATGCCCAAGTAAGCCACAGAAAGTCAGAAAAGAGTAAACAGAGATGAAAACTGGAGAGAACAAACAAAATAAATGAAAAACAATTAAGCCCTTCATGTTACTACAGGTTGGATTGTGTCCCACAGAATCCCATGTTGAAGCCCTAACCACCAATGGGACTATATTTGGAGATAGGGCCTTTTACAGAAGTAATTCAGGTTAAATGAATTCATAAGGGTAGGGCCATGATTCAATAGGATTAATTCAATAGGAAGAGAAACCAGGGTATGCTCTCTTGCTCTTTCTCCCTCCCAGCCTTCCTCTCTCTTTCTCTCTCACTCTGCCCCCAGAAGATGGCAACTCTCTCTATAAGCCAGGAAGAGCCCTTACCAGAAGCTGACCATGCTGGCGCCTTGATCTCAGACTTCCAACCTCCAGAACTGTGAGAGAATATATTTCTGTTGTTTAAGCCACCTAGTTTTATTTTGTTATGGCACCCCAAGCTAATACATATATCAATAATTACATTATTCCTAATACAAAGAAATGATAAATTCTTGAGGTGGTAGATGCCCCAATTACTCTGATTTGGTCATTGCACATTGTATGCCTGTAACTAACATCACATGTACCTCACTAATATATACAACGGTTGTGTACCCATAATAATTAAACATAAAAATTAAGAAAAAAAATTACACTAAATGCAAATGATCTAAATACCTCAATTAAGAAACCCAGTTCAGGCCAGGCATGGTGGCTTACACCTGTAAACCCAGCACTCTACAAAAAAAAACAAACAAACAAAAAACAAAAACAAAAACAAAAAAAAACCCAGTTCAAATATAACAATATAGGCCAGGCTCAGTGGCTCTCAGCACTTTGGGAGGCTAAGCCAGGTGGATAATTTGAGGTAGGTCAGGAGTTCGAGACCAGCCTGGCCTACATGGTGAAACCCCGTCTCTACTAAAATACAAAAATTAGCCAGGCATGGTGGTGTGCACCTGTGGTCCCAGCTACTCAGGAGGCTGAGGCAGGAGAATCGCTTGACCCTGGAAGACAGAGGTTGCCGTGAGCAGAGATTGTGCCGCTGCACTCCAGCCTAGGTGACAAGATGAGACTTTGTCTCAAAAAAAACACAAAACAAACAAAAACAACAATAAAACCACACAAATATAACAACATAGGCAGGTTAAAAGTAAAAGGATGGAAAAAGACACAACATGTTTTCCTTAATTAGAGGAATACAGGAGTGAGTGTACTACTCTCAGATAAGGTAAACTTCAGAGCCAAAACAAAAAAAATTACCAGAGAAAGATAAGGACGTTTTATAATAATAGAAGGGTCAGTCTATCAAGAAGACATTGCAGTCAGAAATGTTTATGCCCAAAACACCAGAGCTGTAAAATATGTGAAGCAAAAACTGACGGAACTGAAAGAAAAAATAGAAAATCCACAATTATAATTGGAGACATCAACACAACTCTCACAACTATTAATAAAACTAGAAAGAAGGCAGGGAGTGGTGGCTCAGGCCTGTAATCCCAGCACTTTGGGAGGCCGAGGGGGTGGATCACGAGGTCAGGAGATCGAGACCATCCTGGCTAACACGGTGAAACCCCGACTCTACTAAAAATACAAAAAATTAGCTGGGCGTGGTGGCGGGCGCCTGTAGTCCCAGATACTCGGGAGGCTGAGGCAGGAGAATGGCGTGAACCTGGGGACGGAGCTTTCAGTGAGCTGAGATCCTGCCACTGCACTCCAGCAGCCTGGGGGACAGAGCAAGACTCTGTCTCAAAAAAAATAAAAATAAAAAAATAAAAACTAGAAAGAAAATCAGCAAAGATGTAGAAGAGCTCAATAACACCATCAACCAACAGGATCAAATCCACATTTACAGGACACTCCACCCATCAATAGCAGAATACACATTGGCTCTTTTTTGTTGTTTTTCTTTTCCGGTTTTACTAGGTGCAAGGGGTACATATGCAGGTTTGTTACATGGGTAAATTGCGTGTCACAAGGGTTTGGTGTACAGATAATTTTAAAAGAATTTAAATTATACAAACTTTTCTCTGACTACAATGGAATCAAATTAGAAATCAATAACGGAAAGACAGCAGAGGAAAAATCATCAGCATAATACCCGATAGGTGCTTTTTCAATCATCACTGTCCTCCCACCCTCCACCCTCAAATAGGCCCCAGTGTCTATTTTTCCCATCTTTGTGTCCATGTGTATGCAATTAGCTGGTTTTTTGCTCCTGCGGTAATTTGTTTAGGATTATGGCCTCCAGTTCCATCTATGTTGCTGCAAAGGCCATGATCCCATTTTTTATAGCTGTGTAGTATTTCATGGTGTATATGTACCACATCTTCTTTATCCAGTGCACTGTTGATGAGCACTGGATAAAGAAATCTAGGTTCATTCCATGTCTTTGCTAACGTGAATAGCAGTGTGATGAACATGCATGTGCATGTGTCTTTATGACAGAACAATTTATATTCTTTTAGGTATATACCCAACAATGGAATTGCTGGGTTGTATGGGAATTTTGCTTTAAGTTCTTTGGGAAATCTCCAGACTGCTTTCCACAGTGCCTGAACTAATTTACATTACCCCCAATAGTGTACAAGTGTTCCTTTTTCTCCACAACCTTGTTAGCACCTGTTGTTTTTGACTTTTTAACAATAGCCATTCTGACTGGGGTGAGATGGTGTCTCATCATTGTTTTGATTTGCATTTCCCTAATGATTAGTTATACTGAGCATTTTTTTCACATGCTTGTTGGCCGCACAGAATATACATTCTTTTGAAGTGTCCATGCAACATATACCAAGTTGGACTATATCCAGGGCCATAAAACAAATATTGATAAATTTAAAAGAATATAAATTATACAGAATGTGTTCTCTGACTACATTGGAATCAAACTAGAAATAAATAACAGAAAGATGACAGAGGAAAGTCAAGAAACTAAGCGAAAACTTTTAAATACTCTACGAGTCAAAAAATAAATCTCAAAGGAAATTTAAAAATACACTGAATTGAAAGAAAATAAGAATACAACATATCAAAAATTTCTAGGAGAGACAACCCACAGAATGAGAGAAGATATTTGCAAACTACCCCTCTAACAAAGGATTAATAACTAGAATATATAAGGAGTTCAGACAACTCTATAGGAAAAAAGAGTTCAATAGTCCAAACAAAAAATGAGCTGATCTGAATAGACATTTCTCAAAAGAAGACATACAAATGGCAATCAGGCTTATGAAAGGTGCTCAACATTATGAATCATCAGAGAAATGCAAATCAGAAGTTCAATGAGATATTATCTCACTTCAGTTAAAATAGCTTGTATGCAGGCTGGACACGGTGGCTCACACCTGTAATCCCAGCACTGAGGGAGGCCGAGGCGGGCAGATCACCTGAGGTCAGGAGTTCAAGACCAGCCTGGCCAATATGGTGAAACCCTGTCTCTACTAAAAATACAAAAATTAGCTGGGCATGGTGGGCCATGCCTGTAGTCCCAACTACTTGGGAGGCTGAGGCAGAAGAATCGCTTGAACCTGGGAGATGGAGGTTGCAGTGAGCAGAGATTGGGCCACTGCACTCCAGCCTGGGCAACTGAGTAAGACTCCATCTCAAAAAAAAATGGCTTGTATCCAAAAGACAGGCAATAACAAGTACTGGTGAGTATGTGGAGAAGGCTTTGTACACTGTTGGCAGGAATATAAATTAGTACAACCACCATGGAGAACAGCTTGGAAGTTCCTCCAAAAAAATTAAAATTGAGCTACCATATGATCCAGCAATCCCACTGCTGGGAATATACCCGAAAGAAAGAAAATTAGTATTTCAAAGAGATATCTGCACTCCTATGTTAATTGCAGCATTGTTTACAATAGCTAAGACTTCGGAGCAACCTAAGTGTCTATCGACAGATGAATGGATAAAGAAAATGTGGTACATACATACAATGGAGTACTATTTAGCTAGAAAAAAGAATGATATCCAGTTATTTGCAACAACATAGATGGAACTGGAGATCATTATGTTAAGTGAAATAAGCCAGGTACAGAAAGACAAACATGACATGTTCTCATTTATTTGTGGGATCTAAAAATCAAAACAATTGAACTAATGGACATAGTGAGTAGAAGGATGGTTACCAGAGCCTGAGAAAAGTAGTGGATAGCTGAGCGGGGAGGTGGGGATGGTTAATGGGTACAAAAAAAGTAGAAAGAATGAATATGACCTACTATTTGATAGCACAATAGAGTGACTATAGTCAAAAATAACTTAATTGTATATTTTTAAGTTACTTAAAGAATGTAATTGAATTGTTTGTAACTCAAAGGATAAATGCTTGAGGGAATGGCTACCCCATTCTCCATGATTTGGTTATTTCACATTCCAGGCGTGTATCAAAACATCTCATGTACCCCATAAACATATACACCTACCATGAACCCACGAAATATTTTCAAAATAATAAAAAAAATTATAGGACACAGCTAAACCAGTGCTGAAAGGGAAATTTATAGCATTAAATGCATACATTAAAAAGAAGAAAAACTGGGTGCTACTTGGGAGGCTGAGGCAGGAAAGGATCACTTGAGCCCAGTAGTTCGAGGCCAGCCTGGGCAACATAAGGAGACCTTGTCTCTTTAAAAAAAAAAAAAAGTACACAAATTAATAATTCAAACTCTCATCTCAAGAGCCCAGAAAAAGAAGATCAAAATACATCCAAAGAAGAAAGGAAGGCCGAGCACTGTGGCTCACGCCTGTAATCCCAATAGTTTGGGAGGCCAAGGCAGGTGGATCACTTGAGCTCAGGAGTTAGAGACCAGCCTGCCCAACATGGTGAATCTCTGCTTCTACTAAAATTACAAAAAATTAGCCAAATGTGGTGGCAGGCGCTTGTAGTCCCAGCTACCTGGAAGGTTGAGGCAGGAGAATCACTTGAGCCCAGGAGGCGGAGGTTGTAGTGAGGTGAGATTGCACCACTGCACTCCAGCCTGGGCCACAGAGTGAGACACAAAAAGTTGCTTCTTTGAAAAGATCAGTCAACTGATGAACCTCTAGCAGACTACACTGACAAAGAAGAAAGAAAGAATATAGAAATGTCCACAGGGAATATCCCTACACACCCTGCAGACATCGGAAAAACATAAATGGTGCTGGAACAATTGAACATTCAAGGGCCATAGGAGGAGAGAAAGACAACAAGGAGGAAGAGAAGGAGGAGCAGCAGTTTAATCTAAGACTCATACCTTCTGCAAAAATTGACTCAATATGGATTACAAACTTCTATGCAAAATGTAAAACTATAAAACTTTTAGAATAAGATAGGGGAAAATCTTCTGAATCTAGATCTGGGCAACAAGTTCTTAGATTTGACACCAAAAACATGATCTGTAAAATGAAAAAATGGATATATTAGACCTGATTAAAACTAAAAACTGTTGCTCTGTGAAAGACTTGTAAAGGAATGAAAAGGCAAGCTACATAATGGAAGAAAATATTTGCAAATCATGTATCCAAAAAAGGACTAGTATCTAGAATATATAACAACTTATCAAAACTCAGGCCAGGCCCCCTGGCTCATGCCTGTAATCCCAGCACTTTGGGAGGCTGAGGCGAGTGGATGACTTGAGGTCAGGAGTTTGAGACCAGCCTAGCCAACATGGTGAAACTCTGTCTCTACTAAAAATACTAAAAATTAGCTGGGCGTTGTGGCACACGCCTGTAATCCCAGGAGGTAGAGGTTGGGGTGAGCCGAGGTCATGCCACTGCACTCTAGCCTGAGTGACAGAGTAAGACTCCATCTCAGAAAAAAAAAGAAAAAAAATCAACAGTTTGAAAAAAATTAATTAGAAAATGGGAAAAATTCATGAAGAGACATTTCATTAAAAGGATATACAGATGGCAAATAAGCACATGAAAAGATGTTCGATATCATTAGCCATTAAGGAAACGCAAATTAAAACCACAATAAGATCTCACTACACACATATTAGAATGGCTGAAATAAAAAATAGTGACAATAAGCCAGGCGCAGTGGCTCATGCCTGTAATCCCAGAACTTTGGGAGGCTGAGGCAGGCGGATCATGAGGACAGGAGATTGAGACCATCCTGGCTAACATGGTGAAACCCCATCTCTACTAAAAATACAAAAAATTAGCCGGGCGTGGTGGCGGGCGCCTATAGTCCCAGCTACTTGGGAGGCTGAGGCAGGAGAATGGCGCGAACCCGGGAGGTGGAGCTTGCAGTGAGCCAAGATCGCACCACTGCACTCCAGCCTGGGCAACAGTGCAAGACTCCATCTCAAAAAAAATAAAAAAAATAGTGACAATACCAAATGCCTGTGAGGATGCAGTAAAACAATCACTCGCACATTGCTGGTGCAACCACTCTGGAAAACACTTTGACAGTTTATTTAAAAAACTAAAAATGCAACCACCATACAATTCAGCAGGTACACTCCTGGGCATTTGCTCCAGAGACATTAAGACTTATGTCCACACAAAAACTTATATTCATATCAGCCAAATCTGGAAACAACCCAGATGTGATGGACAGATGGCTAAACTAACTGTGCTATACCCATACCATATAATACAACTAGGCAATAATAAATTATTGATATATGCAACAACCTTGTATGATCTCCAGAGAAATACATTGAGAGAAAAAAAAGTCAATCCCAAAAGTGTATATACTATATGTTTCCATTTATTAATCATTTGTTTTAAAATGACAAAAAAAAATTTGTCTTGAAGTGACAAAGTCATAGAAATGGATAAGAGATTAGTGATTGCTAGACATTAAGGAGGGTATGGGATGGTAGGGAAGTGGGTGTGTCTAGAAAAGGGCAAGGTGAAGAATCCTTGTGATCATAGAAGTGTTCTGTATTGTGGCTGTATCCATGTATCCTAATTGTGATATTGTACCATAGTTTTGCAAAATGTTACCATCAAGGGAAACTGGGTAAAGGATACACAGGATTGTTTTTATTATTTCTTACCACTGCATGTGAATCTACAATATACAGCAAAATTTATACTTAATGGAGAATATTTAGGTTTATTTCCTTTAAGAGTAATGCTCATTATCACCCTACTGTTTGACACAGCATTGAAGATCCTAGTCAACAACATGAAAAATAAAACACTAAGGATTAAGAGGGAAAACACAAAACAATGCTCGCAGATGATACTATTATCTACCTGGAAAAAGAGAGAGACAGAGAGAATATCAATAACAACAATGACAACAACAACAACAAAAACCCCACTAAAACCAATAAGAGGATCGAGCAAGGTTGTCCCATATAAGATCAACTTACAAAAATTATTAATTTCTAATATTTGAAAATCATATATCAGTATTTGAATATCATATATCCAATAAAGGGTTAATATTCAGAATATGTAAAGAACTCATAAAACCCAACAATAATTGTTTATACAAACAGTTAAAAAGGGGGCAACAAACTTCAACAGACATTTTTCCAAAGATGATATACAAGTGGCAAACACACATATGAAAAGATGCTCAGCATTACTTATTATTAGAGAAGTGCAAATTAAAACCATAACATCATCTAATTCTCATTAGCATGGCTACTATAAAAATGAAAGGAAAAAGGAAAGAAGGGAGGGAATGAAGGAGGGAGCAAATGAAGGAGGAAAGGAAAGAAGGAAGGAAGGAAGGAAGGGAGAGAGGGAGGGAAGAAATAAGTGTTGGTGAGGATGTAGAGACATTAGAACCTTTATATGCAATGTTCGTGGGATTGTAAAATGTGTAACTGCTATGGGAAACAGTACGGCAGTTCCTCAAAAAATCAGTAGTAAAACTACTATATGACCCAAGAGTCCACTTCTGGGTATAAATGCAAAAGAATTGAAAGCAGGGACTTAAGCAGATATTTTCCCCCATATTCATAGCAGCACTATTCTCGATAGCCAAGAGGTGGAAGCAACAAAGATGTCCATAGACAGATGAATGGGCAAACAAAATATGGCATATACATACAGTAGCTTATTATTCAGCCTAAAAAGGAAGAAAGCACTCTTACATGCTGCAACAAGTATGAATTTTAAGGACATTAAGCTAAGTGAAATAAGCCAATCGCCAAAAGACAAAAACTCCATGATTGCACTTGTACAGGGTATCTGAAGTAGTCAGATTCATAGAAACAGAATGTAGAGTGATAGTAGCCAGGGGCTAGAGGAAGAGAGAAATGAGGAGTTGTTGTTTAATGGGTGTAGAGTTCTGGTTTTGCAAGGTGAAAAGGAGTTCTGGAGATTGGTTGCACAAAAATGTGAATATACTTAACACTGCTGAGCTGTACACTTCAAAGTGGTTAAGACGGTAAATGTTATTTTTTTAACCACAATTTTTTAAATTAGATACATTCTTCTACATCAGAAATTACTGATTCAAAAGTAGAATTGCAATAAGATACCAATCACAATAGCAGCAAAAGCTACAACATGCCTAAGAATTAACTGAGCATACTCAGGACTACTATGAAAAAGTAAAGTTTAAAAACCATAATAAAGAGCAAACAAAATGATTTCAATAAATGAGAAAACATCCTGTTTTTGCATGGTATGATTTAGTAATAAAAACAAGTCAGTTAACCCCAAATTTCTATAAATTCAGTATAACCACAATCAAAATTCAAGTGGGGAAGACAGAACTAGAAGTGAGTGTCCTCCCAAACTCCCCAGTAGGAAACTACAAACTTAGTTTCTGTTGCTACTATGCGCTTGTCATTGTCCAAGGCCAAAAGAAGCCCAGATTTTGCACCTCTCTCTCCACCCCACAACATTGACGTTTTTCCTTCTTGTTGTGAATGTACTTCCTGTCCTCCATCTGTCCTTCTGGACCCACTCTCAATACTTCTGCACCTGGGGTCTGCCTCAGGTGCTGACCTGCATGACATTGAATGGCTCCCATGCTCCCTGGCTTCTTCTTGCTTCCAGCATCAGCCTAAGAGCAGAGGGAAGAGGGGAGTGAGGTCAGTGTTTCTAATCCCTTGGCTTCCTCCCTACAAGGTCACCTTAAGCTGTTGTGTCCCTTGACTGAAGGGCACTGCCCTTGGCAAGGTGGTGACTGTACAGGGCTTGCTGTCCTTCTGAGTCCTGATAACCCCTTCTGTCCCCGGCCTCTTTGGACCTTGGGGTAGTAACAGCTATCCTCCACCCAGTTCTTTGTAAATACTTTGCTAATAAATAAACTTTCCTTGAAATGTCCTATTTCGAGTATGCCATCTGTTTTCTGTTGAGACTCTGATACAATAAAAGCCATTTCTTTATTCCCTGCCCCAGACCAGCACGGCCAGGGGCCTCTTGGAAGCCTCATATGAAATGGAAGAGGAAGGGTCTGGAGAAACAAGGAGCCCCCCATCTGGGAGTAGTCTCTATAGGTTTGGGGCCTCTCCACTCTCTGAAACCCCTGGAGACTGGTCTGGCCAAGTAGTGGCAGGAAGCACCACGGAGAAATCCCCCATGCCTTGCTTCAAGGCAGTTGGAGGGCTCTTGGGAATGACAGACACTCAAGCCAAAAAAAAAAAAGGATTTGAGGATGGGGTTGAACTCCACCCTCGTTTTTCATCTGATTTGCCCAATTTTACTTTGGAAAGAGAAAAACTTGAGAAAATGGCCTAAAGATAATTTTCATAAATAGACATTGGGATTAAATGTCAATCTTGTCTGTTTCTTTCACATGCATGTGTTCGTGGGTAGGGAGGCAAAGAGAACCTGGAACCTAGGAACATGCTCTCCCTCAGGGAAAAAAAAAATGCCAAGGATACCACCTCCCGTGGTGTATTTGAGATTTATTCTCATTGTCTTTAATGGTCAAAAGAAGAAGCTCAAATGTGGGGTCAACGCGTTTCTCTAAAATATTGTTATCTGCCCCAAGTGTTGAAGGAACTCCCTGCACTGTGTGTGCCCTTGTTAACACAGGCCCAGTTCTTTCATGGGAGGGGAGGTGGACTAGATGACCTTTAAAACCAATTCTAGCTCCAAGTTCAGCTTTTAAAACAACAAGACATTGAAGGGCGAAAACAATTCTTTGTGCAGCTTGGATTATGTATAACCCGAAAGTCCAGCTCTCTCTCTCTTCCCCCGCTCCCCTCCCTCCCTCTCTCTATGTCCCTCTCCTTCTTTCTCCCACTCCACTTCTCTCCTCTCACCCTTTTGCTCCCTCTCTCTTACTCTCTTCCACTCCTTCTCTTTTTTTCCTCTCTTTCTCTCACATGTGCTCAAGTGCACACACACACACACACACACACGCACTCCTTTTTTGGCAATCCATTATGTTTACATTCCATTCTCCTCATGCAGCATCCATTCTCTTCTCCTCATCCTCCTACAATTGGTGCACCATCACCCTTCTTCCACCTTCCTTTCAAGTACCACTCATTCCCCTGTGTAAGAACTCCCCTTTCTACCTATAGTATTCTGACTTTCTGGATCCTAGCAGACCTACATATACTTTTCCCTATTTCTTACCTGGAAGGGGACAGCCTTTCCTATAAAACAAAAAACCTACAAAGTTAGGGCAGAGAAAAGCCTGCACTGGAAATCTCTAGAAAAGGAACTGGAAGCCGTCCCATTAGCTAACTCTCTACTTCCTTTCTCTGGGATCCTGTCACTTTGATTCCCACTGCTGTGACTAGAACTAGACCCTTCAGATCTGCAGCTTCTCCTTTAAAACTGTCCAGATAGGCCTAGTGCGGTGGCTCACGCCTGTAATCCCAGCACTTTGGGAGGCTGAGGCAGGTGGATCACTTGAGGTCAGGAGATCGAGACCAGCCTGACCAACATGGTGAAACCGCATCCCTACTAAGAAAATACAAAATTAGCCAGGCGTGGTGGTGCACGCCTGTAATCTCAGCTACTTGGGAGGCTGAGGCAGGAGAATCGCTTGAACATGGGAGGCAGAAGTTGCAATAAGCCGAGATCACGCCATTGCACTCCAGCCTGGGCAACAAGAGCAAAACTCTGTCTCGAAAAAAAATAAATAAATAAAATAAAAATAATAAATAAAACTGCCCAGATATAGACAAGGCCCAAAGCCCCCCATTCCTAGACTAAACTAGAATTTCAAAAGGAATTTGCTTTGTCAAACAAACAAAAATAAAAACAAAAACAGTGAATAGAAAAAAATGAAAATGAAACATAAAAATGGTAAAATGTAGAGATTAAGTTCCTTCCACTGACTTCTTCTGTTAACCCCTTCCAGAAGAGATGCTCTAATTCCAAGGATGCTTCTGAAGAAATTATGGAGGTGTTCCAAATCAACTCATTTCTTGGTTTCTTTTTCTTACCCATATTCTAGTATCTAGCTCTAATTCCAAAAACAATTCCACACCCTAGGTTTCTGTGTCCAGCAGGTGTCGCCCTTCGTGGGACAACAAACCACCAGCCAGCATCCTCTCTTCCTTAGGGTGGAGTCCATTCCCCCAAAGGGCTCTCCTTGGTCTTGGGGTAGAAGGGAATGGAACGGTGGCTCTGAAGAGATGTGTGCTCACCAGCATGAGGGTCTTCAGAATAAAGTAATCTGCTACTTCCAGCTCAGGTAGACAAACATCCTACAGAAATCTGTTCTTTGACCTTGGACAAGTCACTTAAATGTCTCTGAGCCTCACATCTTTTGTCTGTAACATAGAGGGAAACAATCTGTCCCTTGTGTGGTTATTGTGAGAAGAGAATGAGCTACAAATATAAAGGTCTGAGACCAGTGCCTAAGACATAATAATCACTCAAGCTATGTTCCCTTCTGCATTCAGGGTATGGAAGAAATAACTGTCTAGAACTCAATCTGGAGTTAAGCTCTGTCCCCTGAATCCTGAGGGGTATGAGGGGTCTGCCTTACGGTTGTGATGAGGATCAAAGCACCTGGTACAATGCCTGGCCAGAAAGTTGAATAATCGAATATAGCTAACGTCACTATTGCAGGCTGGCTATGTGCCTGGCGGTGTTCTTAGCCATTTACAAGTATGAACTCATTTAATCCTCATAAGATCCTGTATGAGGTGAGTAAGCTGTTAATTCCCTTCCTTGCCCATACTCTGTGACTCCAACCCACCACAGTTGAATTTCTCCTTATGAATTATAAATCAGAAAACGGCCCCAAATTCTGTCATGTCTAAGTGGGAAAATGGAAGAAGGCATTGATTTCTCCCCTACTCAAGCAGAAGAGAATTAACCTCAGTCCCTGCTTTGCCCATATTCCTTCCCCAGGGCCCCAGGAAGAAGACATGGAAAAACAATATTTCCACCAAAGTTTATTTCTCTGAAACAATCACCAGTTGCTGTCCTCTATGGCACACTGAGAGCCCCAGGAGGGTCTTTAACTCCCTTCCTCAGATTATATTCATCCCAGAAATATAGCCTTGGACAATAATTTGGTTACAGCATAGTCCCAGGAATGAGGTCCCCCAAGTTGCTAAGTTTTACATAGGGGAGACTGGGAAATTCAAAGAATTGGATGGAGAAACCATAGGATCCAAGATAATGTCAGGGGGTTGAAGATGTTGGAGAGGCATGGTAGCATCATTGAGTTTGAATCTCCTTCTCACTTGGAGTGGAAGTTGTAGGATTCTGCCTCTAGGAAATGTGCCATCCTACAGAATAAATAAAAGGGAGATAATGAGGCTTCAACCCAACTTGCCCCCATCGTTTGTCACTGTAACCATCCCATGCCTTAATACAGTGATACTGAAAACTCCAGGGCACCAACAACTAATACAAAGGAAGCACCTTCAGCCTCCTCTCCACAGACATCCCACTTGGTAGAAGAGGAGGATGCTCCTTCCTGCTCTTAATCCTAGCAATGGCAGCTTAAATCATGCCCTTGCCTAGATCCTCATGGAAGCTCACCCATATAATAATCAAGATTAGTTGAACCCAACACTGACCCCTCTAACCCGCACCCCTACCAAAGGGCAAGTAGGGAAACAGACCAACAGAGATGTTACCTTCTGAATAATTGGACCCAGGAAGAGGAGTGTAACCTAAGAGAGGAAGATACTTGATTATACCAGTCTTTGTGGATGAAAATATCTAGCAGTATTCATAGCAAATGCAGTAGGAAGGAGAGAGTTAATCACAAACAGAAAGTAAGCAGAGAGTGGGACCAAGAGTGGGGATGGGAGTTCAGCGAGTCACTCACTAGAGTGGCCAGCTCTCCGCCAGCTGATCACACCAAGAGAGAAGATGATGAGGCCCAGGCCCAGAGTCACTGCAGACACAGAAACCTTCAGGGTCTGCATGGGGGACAGCCCAGGTGCTGCAAAAAATAGAAACTTACTTGACCCAGTTTCTGTTGCTCACCCCCAGGGCAATTCCATTTATTGCAGCCACCTCTCAGTGGGTTAAAAGGTCCTTTATCCCAGCTCCAAGGGTCTAGCTCACACCACCCACTCCCAAGAAAATGATCTTTCTCAAATCAAACCCTCGTCCCATGGACCTCTACTCCTAGAGTAAGCCTGGGGAACCCATCTCCCCAGAATTAGCATCCTGGCTTCCAGGTCCTCTCTAATACAGTGGGGCCTCTCAAGGCATCCTCTTTCCTTCCTTTACCCCAAAGCCACCCTTATCAGGATAAAGGGCTCCTCACTGTCCTCTCCATTGCCCCCACGGTAACAATGTTTGCTTCCTTACTTTCTCCAACTGAGCAGCTTCCTATTACACTGTCTTACCACATGTCTTAACCTCCAGTGGATCCATCCTGTGAGTTATCCTACTACTTGTGTACCTTCTACATCTAGATCTCCCATGTGTCCTTTCAGAGCTTGTCTCCATCCCACTCCACAGCCCCTGCACTTCCTTGGGCCGGTCCTGTTCTGAATCATGTCCCACTCAGATTCTTTTCCCATGATAAAATGAACACTCCATTTCTAAAGGGAGGCTCTTGTGCACGCTGTGAGGAGACGTTCCCCAGGAAAGTTCAAGTGAGCATGTGATTTCCACTCTCTTCTCTGTTCTCCATTCCCTTCCCAACTGCCCAGCAAGAAACAACACTTCCCACAAGGGGAAACCTGGTTACAGCAGCTGATCTGAGATCCTGTTCTCTGGCCCTTTGTAGACACCCTTCCTCTTCCTCATTTCTTCCTCTTTCTTTTCCAAGAGTCCCCAAAGCTGTGTGCAACTTCTCACGATACCTTTAACTACTCCCGACACTGAGTTCAAACAGTGTTTGAACTGTAAGTAATTCTTTATCCACTGGCCCCTGAGCATGCATGCCAAATGGTCTGCCAGCCGTGGCTTTACTACTCCCGTATGCTTGGTAGAGCAGGCCAAATGCAGTACTGCCCCACACCAAGAAAAGCCCCCCTTCTTCAACCTTCATCATTCCTTCAGCTCCCATCTGCTTCTGGCACCAGAATAGTTGAAATCTAAGGAGGCTAGAATAGTGTATTACAATTTGGGGTTCTGAAAATATGATTGCCAAATTTACATCCTCATTTCAAAGCAAGCACGCTCCCCTCTCACCCTCAAACATAGACGCAGCAACATCAGCCACACCACCAGAGCAGCAATAGCACAGACTAAATATTAAACTGGTGCAAAAGTAATTGCGGTTTTTGCCACTGAAAGTAATGGCAAAAACTGCAATTACTTTTGCACCAACCTAAATATTTCCATTTCTTTATCCCATTTCCCCATTCTGGTCCTAAGCCCCCCGTAAGTTCCTCCAGACTCAGTCCCCATTTTCAGCACTTCGCTGTCTACCATGTACCATGTATCGATCCACATCTCATTTTCTCTGCTTTGACCCTAATTCCATCCATCTGCCATACACTTACTCCAGTCCCGAAGGATGGGCTCAGGAGCCCCAATGTGCTCTACCACACAGGTGTAAGTGTCCCCGTAAGAGGGGGTTAAGGCTAAATGGGAGAGGGTCTGGTATGTCCAGTCTCCATTGGGCTGGGCAGTCTTGTGCGCACTGCTGTGAGGCATGACAAGCTTCCCGTTCTTCCTCCACGTGATAGTCACTTCTGCTGGATAGAAGCCCCACACATAGCAGGCCAGCATCACAGGCTCCCTCGTGTTAAAAGGAGTGGTTTTGGCTACTTGCACAGATGGTGGCCCTGCATAGGAGAAAAAAACATGTTTAGGAAGGAGGGTGACATTCTGGCTGCTTCCTCAACCTGGTTTCTTCCCTATCGCAACTCTTCGTAGATTTTGCAACCCACTTTCCACCCCAGCCCCCTCTGCCATGCTGCCCCTTGAAGGGGAACCGTTAGAATGTATTCCTGCATTACTCTTTCTTCTCTCCCATTCCTTCATTGCCCCTTTCTTTCTTTCCTCCTCCAGAATTATGTTTGATTACAATTAGTAAAAGCCAGATCTGAACTGCAAGCTGTTCTAGAAGTTGTTGTATTTATTTCAAGTACATAAACTGGAAAGTATTTGAAATAAGGAAGCTAAGAGTAATCCAGAGTTGTACATTGGGTTTTTTTAAGGTGGAAAAGGAATTTTTCTCCAAATCTTGTTTAATACGTTCTTTTGCTAGTTAAAGCTTTTTCTCCTCACATAGTTCAAGGAAACAAGCCTAACTTAGGACTCACTCTTAAATTTGGAATGAATGTAGTCAAACTAATGAGATTGCTAATACTGCCATCTTTTACTAATTTACTCTCCTAGGTGATCCTCTTGCTTGCCTCTATCTTGACATTTTTCAAACACAATCTTAAATAAAAATCCAAGGAATTATGTTAAAATGCAGATTTCCTAGGCTGTATCCCCAGATACTTTCTTTCAACAGATCTGGAGTGGTACTAAGGGGCTTGCATCTTTAACAAGCACCTCCTCCAGGCAATTCTGAGAAAGGTGGTTCAGAAACCACCCTTGAGACACACTGTTCTGTACTGTGGAGATCTTCAAGTTTACTTTCACAAACTTCAAGCCATTGTCAATGCAAGAGTTTAAGGGTGAGAAAAAGCATGTGTCAGAATCCCCTGGGATTCCAAATATTCCCATGCCTGGGCCCACATCAGATCTGGAACATCAAAATCTGGGATAACAAGGCAAGAACATCTTGGGTATGCATCCTGAGATGCCCCAGCCTCTGCATAAGCTCCCCACATGGCACCTCGCGGTTCAAGCCTCACCTCCCCTTCTTTACTCCTGTTCCACTCACGTCAGCCACCTTGTTCCCCTTGAGGTTCAATCCTCCGTCTTTCTACATTTCAGATCCACACATTTTCTCTTATTTGCTGCTCAAATCTCAAACCCCTGGGCCACTGTGGGATCCTCCCTGGCCTGCCCTCCTAACTGCACTTCCTGGTAGCCCCTCTGCACCCCTCTCTCCTCACGTGTCCTGTTGGTCAGTGATCCCCAGAAGGGCTGGGTGTGTGTGGCACAATTCTGAAGCCCATTGCGCAAGCGCTGCATCAGGGTGTCTTTTTGGTTGAGGTGCTGTGAGAGGACATTCGCCAAGCTATTCAGCACCCCAAATTCGCAAGGGGCCATCTTATTCTCCTCTGGATCCCAGCAGGTCAGCAGATCCTTGTTGAAGGAGATGCAGTATGTGAAATCCTTTGGAGTCCCAGCATCATCCAACAGACAGGTGCTTTCCACATGGGCCACGAAGCCACCTAGAGGAGCCAGGGAAGGGAGAACAGGTCAATGTCTTCTACTGGCCTGGCAATAAATAAATAAATATATAAATAATAAATATACACAAATAATAAATATATAAAACATACAGACGTATATTTAGGAGCTCTGCACAGAGCTTTGTCTTTGACCCTGGTTCCTGACATAGAGTGCCTAATCGCTTAGAATTTCCTAGATAACAGGAGTGTCTTTTGTTCTAATGAGGTACTCTTGGTGGGCTCCTGCAGGAGGGGCTGGTCACCAGAAAGACCAAGTCATGATTAGAAGTCTGGAACTTTTAGTCCCATCCCCCATACTCCCTGAAGGGGAAGGGGCTGGAGATTGAGTTAATAATCAGTCATGCCTACATGATGAAGCCTCCATAAAAATCCCGGAACTATGGAGTTCAGAGAACTTCTCAGTTGGTAAACACATCCACATGCCAGGAGGTGAAGTACCCCAATTCTGTGGGGACAGAGCTCCTGTGATTGGGACCCTTCCAGATCTGGTATCTCTTCATCTGGATGTTCCTTTCTATGCTTTAAAATATCCTTTGTTAAAGGATGCAAAATTATGATCTAGTGTTCTATACCACTGTGGGATGACTGTCATTAACAATAATACTTTATATCATTTCAAATCGCTAGAAGAAGGATATGGAATGTTTCCAACACAAAGAAATGATAAATGAGATGATGATCTGATCTGATCACTGTACATTACATGTACTAAAACATCATTATCCACCCCATGAATATTTATAATTATTATTATCAATTAAAATATCCTTTGTAAAAAATCTACAATAATAAGTAAACTTTTCCTGAGTTCCATAAGCCACTTTAGCAAATTACCAACCCCAAGGAGGGGGTCATGGGAACCTCTGATTTGTAGGCAAGTTGGACAGAAGATGTGGGTAATTTGGGAACCTACTACTTGTGATTGGTGTCTGAAATGGAGGCAGTCTTATGGGACTGAGTCTTTAACCTTTGGTGTCTATGTTAACTCTAGTTAATGTCACAATGGAATTGAATTATAGGATATCCAGCTAATATAGGAGAATTGGTTGGTATGAGTAAAAAAAAAAAAAAACCTCACACAGTTGGTCAAAGAAGTGTTGAGTGTGAGCATATAGAAGAAAAAAAGTTGATTTTTCCTATATTCAGCTCAGAACCTAAGCCTTGGTGACATCCAGCTAGTCTGGCACAGATTTCCTGCTCAGGGAACATCTACTGACCAAGCTCATACACTGAAGTTTCTGAAAGTCTGATTTGAGGGAGTCAGTAGAAGTAGTAGATAAGTTTTTAGATCCAGTCTCCTCTTTATGCAAGACTAAGCACAGGGATAGGAGTAGCCCCCCGAGATTATTTGCATGTTTAAACATGACAATTTGCCCAGAACACAGACCTTCAGTAAGGCAAATTATTGAGAGAGAAAAAGGGTCAAGAGAAAGAGTCAGCCTTGTATTGTGCTGGAAATATTAAATATTCACTTCGCACATATTTATGAAGCACTTGCTGCATGCAAGGCACTGTGCTAGGAGCTGAGGAGGCAGCAATAAATAAGATGAACATTGTCCTTGCCTATATTCCAGCAGGGAATATACACTGCACAGATAATTATACAGATTAATTACATTAAAATTGCTACAAAGTACAAAGTGCTATAGGAATGTATACCAGGGAGACAAACTATCTGGGGTGTCAAATGCAATTACAAAACGGAACACCCTTACCCTGAAACAGGAGCAGGGGAAGGGAGAGTCCCCAGAAGAAGTGTCCTTACCTGCTCCTGTGCAGCCCAGGCTGAGCCCCAGCAGCAGCGGCAGGAATGTGATCATGCTCTGCTCTGTAAAGATGCCGGGAGTTCAGTCCCCTGGACCAGCTCTTCCAGGGTCCGTGGGTCCTCGCCTGTCCCAGAAGCCCCAGCCTGGGTAGATGATCTCCAGACACTGAGCAGAATACTATATTGCCCGGGTCCCTTGACCCCCCAAATGAGTGATGTGGGGATACCCAGCCCCTAGATATTAAATCTGTTCCTTCCAGCTCACGGGAGTCCAGTGTCCCAAACAGGGACAGATTGGCTAGGTAGGCAGGGACAAATGTAGAGACAAATCACTGAGTGCCTCAGCCTAGCATCATCAGTTACTAGGTAAACGTCATCCTGCCTTAGTCTTAGACAACAGGTCTCCTTGTCTCTCTTAATTCTTTTTCTGCAGAACAACCAGTAGATTTCCGTAGATTACTGGAGAGAATAATCGCAATATTCCCAGGATGTATGCAGCCTGGGCTGCCCACTGGTTTAACTTTTTCTTCTCAATGCTCTCCCAAAAGACCAGGACCAGATAACCTCTCCTATTCCTTACAGGGAGGTTACCCAAGAAGATAATTACAAAAACCCTTGTCTGTCCTGAGATGAGAGGACCCAGAGCCCTTCTGGGGCAGGTGGCAGAGGCAGGGCTGCTGAGAAGGAAGAAGGCACAGACAGAGTACAGAATTGTCTGGTCTCAAAGCAAGACTGCAGAATAAGGGAAGCAGCGCCACCATGGAGATCAGGAATAGGGGCCTGGAAAATCCCTCCATGGGCCTCCATTGTTGCTTCTGTTCTAGCCAGTCAAGCTTCATTTCCTCCTCAGTTATAATAGCTGCTTTCCGGAGCTAGTAAACCATATCCTCCTACACTCTGAGCAATCTCACGGGGTAGACCGCAGGTTAACACCTCTCAGACTCCTTGAAAAATAGCTGGTGACGGGTCAGTGCCCAGAGCTCACCTGCCTTTCGCCAAACTCTAAACACCCCTGTGTGTTTCCCCTACTATACCCTGTTCCCTGGGGGCAGGTCCCTGCATTATGAAGCCACTAGGAAAATGAGATAAAGCTTTCCTACTTTTCTTCCCCTGAAAAGACAGATTTTGTTTTTTATTTTTTGAGAATACCAAGTAAGATTTTATTTTTTATTTATTTTAAATTATTTTAACCTTTGTTTTAGGTTCAAGGGTACACATGCAGGTTTGTTATATAGGTAAATTGTGTGTCATCGGGATTTGGCGTAAAAATTTATTTCATCACCCAGGTAATAAGTATAGTATCTGATAGGTAGTGTTTTGATCCTCTCCCTCCTCCCATCCTCCACCCTCAAGTAGGGCCCAGTGTCTATTATTCCCTTTTTTGTGTCCATGTGTACTCAATGTTTAGCTCCCACTTATAAAAGTGAGAACATGCAGTATTTCATTTTCTGCTCCTGTGTTAGTTTGCCTAGGATAACAGCCCCCAGCTCCATCCATGATGCTGCAAAAGACGTGATCTCGTCCTTTTTTGTCTGTGGAGTATTCCATGGTGTATATGTACCACATTTTCTTTATACAGTCTACTGTTGGTGGGCATTTAGGCTGATTCCATGTCTTTGCTATTATGAATACTGCTGCAGTGAGCATTCATGTGCATGTGTCCTTATGGTAGAACAATGTATACTCCTTTGGGTATATGCCTAATAATGGGATTCCTGGGACGAATGGTAGCTCTGTTTTAAGGTTCTTGAGAAATTGCCAAACTGCTTTCCTCAATGGCTGAACTAATTTATGTTCCCACCAGCAGTGTATAAGCCTTCCGTTTTCTCTGCAACCTCTCCAACATTTGTTATTTTTTGACTTTTTAATAATAGCCATTCTGACTGGTGTGAGACGGTATCTCATTATGATTTTGATTTGCATTTTTCTAATCATTAGTAATGTTGAACATTTTTTCATATGCTTCTTGGTCACGTGTGTGTCTTGAAAAGGCAGATTTTATGTATTTGCGTATTTATTTTTTTCACAGGTTTTTTTTTTGAAAGTCTCACTCTGTCGCCTAGGCTGGAGTACAGTGGGATAATCTCGGCTCACTGCAATCTTCGCCTCCTGGGTTCAAATGACTCTCATGCCTCAGCCACTTGAGTAGCTGGGGTTACAGTCATGTGCCACCACTCCTGGTTAGTTTTTGTCTTTTTTTTTTTTTTGGTAGAGACAGGGTTTCATCATGTTGGCCAGGCTGTTCTTGAACTCCTGACCTCAAGTGATCCACCCACCTCAGCCTCCTAAAGTGCTAGGATTACAGGCATGAGCCATCGTGCCTGGCCTGAAAAAGCAGATTTTAAACGGCAATTCATTCTTCTATCCCATTGTGAACTATACAGTTGATGGATTTTCCATCACTAACTTGAAACTCTAAATTGGCTTCCTTCTGCTCCCCAGTAGGTTTCAGGGCTGCCTCTTCACATCTTAGTTTCTGAGAACTCTTGGATTTTATTAAATAGTGAGCTAAACAAAAGAGGATTGTGGAAGGGGCCCCTTGACACCACACTTACCTGCCCTCCCTCAAAGTCCCTGATCTCAGGAAAATCTAACACCTATGAAGAAAATGGGGATAAAAAATGCATACAAAGATTATTACCAAAAACGAAAGATTCGTTGTGTAACTAATTGAGATTAACTGAAGCTCTGCCATAGCTCCCAGCCACTGCCCCCACTCACCTTGCTTATATACTCTAACTCTGCTAACGAACTGTCAAGTGTGTTGGAATGGGCAGAATATGGGGTGGGGAGTGCATAATCTGTAGAGCTTCTACAGATACAGTGCTAGGTAGGTCCTTTCTATAATATCTCATCTCATCTTAAAAGACTTGTTGGCCGGGCATGGTGGCTCACGCTTGTAATCCCAGCACTTTGGGAGGCTGAGGAAGGCATATCACCTGAGGTCAGGAGTTTGAGACCAGCCTGGCAAACATGGTGAAACCCCGTCTCTACAAAAAATACAAAAATTAGCTGGGTGTGGTGGCGCGTGCCTGTAATCCCAGCTACTCTGGAGGCTGAGGCAGGAGAATCGATTGAACCTGGGAGGTGGAGGTTGCAGTGAGCCGAGATCGTGCCACTGCACTCCAGCCTGGGTGACAGAATGAGACTGTCTCAAAAAAAAAAAAAAAAAAAAAAAACTTGTTAATTGTCCTCATTTCCCAGGTTGGAAAACAGGTCCAAAGATTCACACCCAAGGTCTAAAGGCTGTAACTCCTCTTCTTATACAGCTGTTACACATGCACGTGTGTACACACACACACACATACACACTCTCTTGAGCATGCCCACACACTCACTACATCTTGGAACTGGGATGGCTCAAATAAAGGGAGTTAGTGAGGCCTCCGCTGAGAAAGAGAGAAAGAGAAGAGTCACAATCCATAACCCAATTCACCCAAGTCTTATCTTTCCTGTCCTCAGAGTTCCTTCTGCTCTGAGAACCACCGTCCCTTCCACTTTCTCTTTTGACAAGTTTCAAAACTGAATTTTCCCCCACACCCCCCCAATACATTTCCCCCTCACATTCCTCCCCATCCTGCCCAGGTAAGCTGTTAGCCTAACCTTATAGGAACCAAGTCCTGGGATCCTTTTCAATGTCTACAAAGCCTAGCCCTGGCAAGGGAGCACTGGCTGTGTGGTCCTGTGCCAGCACTGAACATGGCCCTAGCCAGTAACAGTGGGGCTGAATGTAGTTCCCTCTTATGTCTAGATCTCTGCTCCGGCAGTCAAAGGAGATGTGAAACCTTCTGTGAGGCCACAACAGGAAATGGTAGGAGAGGATTTCACTTCTCTATTAATTCAAACACTGAGGGAGCTTTTTAGAATAAAGAAGGACAGAAAACCCAGACACCTGTGCTCAGCAGTGTTTTCCTTCCTCTCCTCCTCCCAACCCTTCCATTTTTACAGATATAGCTCTGTCTTTCCACCTCTAGCCAATTCAAAATAACATTTCAGTTGCTCTGTCCATTGTTACTTATTTGTTAATTATTGATATAGCACCGGGACCGAAGAGGTATGGAGCCCCAACCAGGTTCCCACATGTTGCCTTTCTTTTATTGCCTCTACACAACCACCCAAAGAGTGAGTCCTCTCCTTTCCCATTGCCTCTGCCCTTAGCCTGACCACCACATGCCTGCAGTAAACTAGTCCCAGGGTTTGTGTGCAAAGCATTACTGGGAAAATACAGAGTGAGAAGATATGGATTCTGCCCCCATATCGCTTTGCTTGTACGTCAATTGGGGAGTGAGAACAAACACTTTAAATAGTTTATATTAAAGTAAGTAAGCAATAAGGCCAGTGGTCTTAAAAGAGAAGAGAGAAATCACCATGGACATGGTAGACAGGGAGTACTCTCAGTCGAGAGGGCCTGGAATGAGCCTTGAATACTGGGCTGGATTTGTGTTGGAGAGGAGGAAGGCAGTTGGCATTGTAGGTCTGGTGTATAGCTCCACAAGCTTGACAATGCTGTGAGGTGCCATCAGGGAGGAGGTGTCCTACGAGAGCCTGGGTTAGCTAAAACAAAGACAAGCTACAATAACGTCACTGGCACTGCACGTTGGAGGAAGTCACAAATGTGATTTCTTGTTTTTTTCTGAGAGTATGGCCATAATAATAAATCTCTTCTAGGCACTTCCTAAAGTTGCTCCATGTCAGTTCGCAGGTTCTTGGGGCAGATGGTTTTAACTGAAGTCTCCATTTTATAAACACAAAATTGCTCAACCAGTTAATCACGCCTCATAGCATAAGACCACATTCGTGACTTCAGTGTCTTTTCAAAACTACACACACCTACATCCTGCCAAGATTATATTACTTGCCCAATCTGTCCAATCCCCACCCCACCCCTGCCATCT
Source organism: Homo sapiens (assembly GCF_000001405.40). Lineage (NCBI taxonomy): Eukaryota > Metazoa > Chordata > Mammalia > Primates > Hominidae > Homo > Homo sapiens. The sequence goes on from NT_167248.2 coordinate 4,139,955, forward strand.
ACCCCTTACCTCACCTCCGCCCACACACACACCCTCCTACCCTGTCAGGATTCACTGCTCTAGACCCTGACCTTTGGATTATAGTTTCTGTAGTCAGTTCACCATCCTTCCAACCTACAGTCAAATTATTTGAACTACTAGGGATAGTCTATCTGATTTGCCACAACTATTTTTCCTTTTTTAATTTTATTTTTTGCCACCACAACTATTGAAGAATGCTATCTTCATCTTACCCACGAGAAAATGGAGGCAGAGGGAGGTTAAGTGGTTGCCCAGATTTACCCAGATACTAAGTAATAAAACCATTACTTGAACTCAGGATTTATTACTTTAAATCCTGTATTGCCAATAATCAATTGGAAAATAACTGAAAATTGCCTACTATTTATAATAACAATAAAAACCATAGCATATTTATGAATTAACATATCAAATATAAGAATTTTAAGAAAAAAGAAAACTTTATTGAAGTGCACAAAGACCTGAGAGGTGTAGAGATATACCATATTCATGGATAGGCCATGCTAACATAATGACAACCTCTCCCCACATCTCTAACCTAAATGCTACCCCAATTAAAGTAACAGTAGGATTTCAGGAGAATTTAACAAACTGATTATAGAATGTACATGGAAATAAAGTCCAAGAGTATCTTAGAATATTTTGATAAAGAAAAGGAAAATAAATTTTTTGGGAAGGTGGTGAAGGAATGGAGACTAGTTCTACTAAATAGTAACACATATTAAAAAGCCAAAATAATCAAACAATATGATACTGATTAGTAATGAGAGAAAAGCAAATTAAAACAACAAAATACCACTCTACACCCACCATGTTGCCAACATTTGAAAGTCAAATAATTACAAGCATTAGTGAGCATAAAGGGAAATGTGAACTATCTTGCTCTGTTGATGGGAGTGTAAACTGTTTATGATCCCTGAATTATAGAAATTATAAACTAGTTGGGCGAAAAAATTAACATAGGAAATAAAGCGGCATATCCCAATCCTTAGGTTGAGTGCTTTAAGTCTTGGAAGATTTCAATAAAGAGAAATTAGGGGCAGGTTCATGGAATAAGTTGAACTGGAGTTGGACCTATGGAGTGGGTTAAGACAGGAACAAGATGAGCAGAATAAAGAAAGCATTCTTGTGAGAGGAAAGAGCCTGGGCAAATGCCCTAAACCAAAACCAGATATAATACCTCAAGGAAGAGTGAGGAAAAAAGATTTATTCAAGAATAGCATTCCTGCTGGGAATAGTGAGTAATATTTTTTATTAGAAAAGGGGCACCAGACTAGAGAGGATACTGAGTGCTTCTAGAGTACTTAAGTAACAGTATCATAGAAGGTTTCATCAGAGAGCATCTAATCTAAGCCCATCATTTTACAGATGAAGACTTTGAGGCCCAGAGAGGGGAAGTGACTTGTCTAAAGTCACACAGCATAATAAAGCACTTTTAAGTCTTGCCTGACAGGAAATATCTAGATAAGTTGGAAAACAGAGAGACAGAGAAATTAGGAAGAACTAGAAAGCACCACATCTAGAATTACTAACATGAGAATAAAAAGAAAAACATCTAAAATGGAGAAAATACAATACTTGAAGCTAGTATTGAGGTATATTTCAGAAAAGAGAAAGAAGTCTACGAGGCAACTAAGTTCTCCTCTGAAGATCAAGACCAATAATGATAAGGTTAGGTTATTCAGCACATTTTCTATGTGCCAAACACTATTTTAAGCATTCTGTAGGTATTAACTTATTTAAGCTTCACAGCATGAGGATATGCTGCCTTATTTCCTATATTAACTTTTTCACTCAACTAGTTCATAATTTCTGTAATTCGGGCATCATAAACAGTTTACATTCCCACCAACAGACCAAGATATTACAGTTCACATTTTCCTTTATCCTCGCTAATACTTATTTGACTTTCAAATGTTGGCAACATGGTGGGTGTAGAGTGGTAAGGGGGACACCATTGTTATCATCATCCTTTTACAGAAAATGACACCAAAGCACAAGTTAAGTAACTTGCCCAAGGGCTCACAGCTAAACGCTGACAGTTACGATTGAATCCCCAGCAGTCAGGTTCCAGAGCCCATGCTTCTTAACCGGTACACATGATGCTGTTAGAAATGAGATGGTTCAGAGACAGTGCAACTTCTCTTAGGGAGAATTTAATATTTTCTTTTAGATTAGACTCTAGTACAATGCCAAGAACAGAAACTCCCTCACCAAATAATTGCCCTCTCAACTTTATTGCCACCCTGTCATCCAAAGCAACTCCCAGACCCTAAGGAATGCAAGAAAGAAAGCATATGCAAAGCAATTTACCACCAGTGGTCATGTGCTGCCACCTTTCGTTATCTTCCCAGGACAGCACCTGTGCAGTTCTCCTTGGACAGTTCACTCAGGCCAAGGAACAGATTGTCAGGAAAGACATGTGAATTCTTTGCCCTTCCAGGCTGTTTTCACTTCATGTTAGGGGCTTCATGATACTGTTTTCCCAGAACTGACATAACTGATTGGTATAGCACTTGGGAGCTTATTCTTCCCATCCCTGAGCTTCTGTTTCTCAGTTACGGTGAGGGTTGAAGGGAGTTATATGTTCCTCAGGGCAGCCTATACGAGACATAAACATTTTCACAAACAGTAAAATACACAACACACACACACACGCACAAAACACACAAGCAGCTTCCTTAACCATTTTGTAAGCAGATTATTAGAAAATAACTCTGCCTTCGTTTCTCACATATTTTGCACAAACCGATAGATGGAAAAACATCATGTACCGCCAAGACCAGGGAATAAGAGCTCAGCTGGCAAATTAGGGGTTTTCCCTATTTCCCTCCCTAACGAGGTCAAGCTGTGTTCAGGTTAAGGCATGCTGAATTTGAAACGACAACCCACTCAAGTTGAGATATCCAGAAACAAATACCATGAGTTAAGAAAGAAGCCACACTGATATAAAGAAATGAGATTTATTGCCTTGTGGGGGGAAGGGATGTGGTTGTGATAGGCAGGCCACTCTGGGATCCCTGGGATGCAAGCCCAGGGACAGCAGAGTCCCCAGGTGGGAAATCTACACACACACCCCAGGGATGTCCCAGAGACTTCTTCTACCCTAAGAGGAGATCCTGGGCAGGATGTGAGAAATCTGAGCATCCTCTGTTTGGATGGCCGAAGCTGCTGGCATCAAACTCTGGTCTGGAAGAATCAGTCTGGGGGAGAGACAGGGATGGAGGAAAGGCATCAGGGGATCCATCCTCCTCCTCCTTCTCCTCCTCCTCCTCCCCCACAAAGGCCTTGCTCGCCCTGCCTGCACCACACCCTGCAGAAGTTGATCTCTCCTTGTTCCCAAATCATCTCCAAGCACCCTTCCTACAGCACCCCATGATTCCTTTTTTCACTCAAAGCAATTCTTGTGACCCATAACTGTGTGTGTGTAACTGGGTCCCCAACTGGGAAGATGTGCCCCCATGGTGCTGGATACAGGCCCCCACACCCAAGGGCCTGAGGATCGCTATATGTCCCCCCATGCCACAAAATAATCCTGACACATGCACGCATGCACCACTGTATCTGGCTCCCACAGGCTCACCCGCCCCCTCCAGATGACATACCACCTGAGCAAGGCTTCCGGAAGTAGATGATGAGAACAATGCCCACGATGATGCCCAGCACACCCAGGCCAAAGGCCACGCCACACAGCACATTCTCCAGCAGATCTGAGGGCAGTGCGTTCCGGGGTACTGGAGGAAATGAGTGGCTCAGCCTGGGGACCTAGTTAGGGAGCCTCCCACCCAGGGAAATGACGTGGGTGTCTGGGATGACATGGGAGACTGGGATGGGCTTAGGGTAGGAATGGACTAAACAAGGTACCAGTGGAGAAAGAAGCCTCCTCCCATGGATCTATCCCTTTTTGCCCCCAAAAGGACCAGAATTCCAGGGAGAAAGCCTCACCCCAATAGGCAATTGCTGTGTAGCGGTCAATTTCGTGAGTCACAATGCAGGAGAAAATGTCAGAAGGTTCTGGTGTGAAGTTTAAGTAAGAAAAGGCCTGGAAGCTGAGTCCATCGACAGCTGAGACAAAAGTAGGCCCAAATCCTTCCACAGGGACGGAATGATGCTGCCAGTTCACTGTCAGCATGGGTGGGAAGAGATTACTGACAAAACAGACCAAAGTGTTGGGCTTGCCAAACTCCAGGGGCTTCAGCGTGAACACTTCAGCGATAGGAAACCCTGGTGGGGGGATTGAAGTGTAGGGGGAAAAAGAGACTAGTTTAGATGGTATCTCTGTGTTTGGAGGGGCCATGGCATATGGAGGGGAGGGCAGAGAAGAACACAGTGGGTCAGGCTTTGGGAGACAGAGATGAGCGAGGAGCTGGGCTCTGAAGGGAGGTCTTCTTCCAGGCAAGGACTGCAGCTAGACGTAGAAGCAGAGCCAGATCCAGGCTACTCTGGACCCCTCCACCATGACTTCCTTCAGCACTTCCTGTCTAGAGCTCACATTGATGTCTAACCATGCACTGTCTTCTCACTAAGACATAGTCACGTCATCAGATATTTCCACTCTTCCCATCCATCTTGCTGGGCATAGTAGCACAAGTGTTAATATTCAGTAGGTATCAGTTGGTACCTGTTGAATTCATCACATTCAATACATAGTTCTGAATGCCTACTACATGCTAGGTACTTCGGCCCACCAAAAGAACACAGGGTGCAGACCAAGGCTGGTGGAAAAATTAAGGTGATGAAGAGAACCAGAAAGTATTTGAGATGGGGAGCTGGTATCAAGGGGAATTATTCAGTGTACAGATCAATGAGGTTAATGCAGCCCTCCTCCCTTCACTCCCCAGAAAACTCCTGACCTCTGGACACCGGGATTTTCCCATCAAGTTTTGGCCCTATTTGCTGGATCATCCACTCGCAGAACTCTTTGTCAAATAAAATGGCAGGAGCATCTCCCTGTTCCTGAGCCCAGTCAGCAAATTCGGGCAGGCGAGGCACCCGAGTGTTCTGGGAAAAGTCGAAGAAGAAAAGCTGGTCCTCGTCGTAGGCCTCAGAGAGTCCCACACTGGGACTCCCATCCTGGCAGTACACTGTGTGCAGGAATGTGTGGTTTTGCAGGTCATCTGGCCACATTGGAGTAGGAGCTGCAAAGGACACAGGGTGAGGTTCAGGGAGGTGGGAGCCTTCTCCTCCAACTTAAAAAACAGCAAGGTGGGGCTAGGCGCAGTGGCTCATGCCTGTAATCCCAGCACTTTGGGAGGCCAAGGTGGGTGGATCATGAGGTCAGGAGTTTGAGACCAGCCTGGCCAGCATGGTGAAACTCCATCTCTACTAAAAATACAAAAAAGTAGCTGGGCATGTTGGCATGCGCCTGTAGCTACTCGGGAGGCTGAGGGAGGAGAATTGCTTGAACCAGGGAGGCAGAGGTTGCCGGGAGCTAAGATTAAGCCACTGCACTCCAGCCTGGGTGACAGAGTGAGACTCTGTCTCAAAACAAAACAACAAAAACAAGCAAGGCCTGCTTAAGGAGCGTGGGCTGAGGTGAGACCCTTTCCTGTGTCTGTTATTTAGACTCCCCCTCCCAAAGGGGGTGAAGAACAAATTATGGCATCTCTCCAAGCTTCCCCTGCCTATAAAAAGGCCAGTTGGCAAAAGTAAAGAGTTCTACTTTCTAAAGTGACAGATTCAGGCCAGGCATGGTGGCTCATGCCTGTAATCCCAGCACTTTGGGAGGCTGAGGCAGGCAGATTGCTTGAGCCCAGGAGTTCAAGACCAACCTGGGCAACACAGCGAGACCCTGTCTCTACAAAAAATACAAAAACTTAGCCAGGTGTGGTGGCAAACACCTGTGGTCTCAGCTACTCTGGAGGCTGAGGCAGGAGGATTGCTTGTGCCTAGGAAGTTGGGGCTGCAGTGAGCCATGATTGTGCCACTGGACTCCAGCCCAGGTGACAGAATGAGCCCGTCTCAAAAAATATATATATAAAGGCCGGGCGCGGTGGCTCAAGCTTGTAATCCCAGCACTTTGGGAGGCCAAGGCGGGTGGATCACCTGAGGTCAGGAGTTTGAGACCAGCCTGGCAAACATGATGAAACCCCATCTCTACTAAAAATACAAAAATCAGCTGGGTGTGGTGGCATGCGCCTGTAATCCCAGCTACTTGGGAGGCTGAGGCAGGAGAGTCTCTTGAACCCCAGAGGCAGGGGTTGCAGGGAGCCGAGATCACGTCACTGCACTCTAGCCTGGGTGACAGAGCGAGATGCCGTGTCAAAAAAAATAAATTAAATCAAATAAAAAATTTAAAAATGTATATATATAAAATAAAGTGACAGATTCAGAGTCACTGTTCATTGTGTGTTTGGGGGCTGCACAAAGACACCTAGCCAAAGAAGCAAGTGAAAGCCTGCATTCTGCTCACCATGCCATACATCCTGGCATAGGGCTGTATCCTCCCAAAGGGGATTCCTTTGTCTAATTCATACCAGGCCACTGTATTGACTAGAGAAGGCCATGGATGGGTTTCTCACTCTTAGAAGGGAAAGAGGAGGAATGGCTACAGCCTCCCCAAGCCATAGATGGGACTGCCTCCCACTATCCCCAGACACAAATGGTAAATTGGAAAACCTGTATCCAGACATTTCTTCAGCCACTTCATTGGCACCAAGCGTCTCTCAAAATGTCTTCTGTTCCTTAACCTACCAGGCCTCCCAAAGACAGCAATGGGAGAAGTGACCCCATAACTGCATAAAATAATCCCTCTTCTTTGAAGCTCTTGGCAGGAATCGCTCAGCCAGCAGGAAACCTTTAACCCAATACCCAGAAAAACAGACATTTGGAGGAAGAGGGATCTTCCAGATTATTCTTCCATTCTGCCCCATCCTCTACAGAGAAGGAAACTAAGACACTTTTCAAGAATCACAAGATAAGTTAATGATAGAAAGCAGAGTAGAATCTTGAGTGGAGGAGTGAAAATAACATTCACTTTGTTCAAATCCCAGCTCTACCACTTTCCAATGGTGTGAACTTGCACAAATAACTCTGAGTCTCATTTTCTTCATTTGTAAAATGGAGAGAACAATCTCCGCTTCAAGAGATTGTCTTAAATGGAACATGCAAAGCATCACTGATATCGTTTACCAACCACACATAGCAGCTGTCTTTCCCCACTCCCCTGTTGTTTCCACTGCCTCATAAGACTTCCCACCACTCACAAAGCACAGCGCTTTTCCTCACAAAGCTGAGTGGGCTCCCTAGGTTCAGGATGGAAGTAAATAGGAGTACCATCTTACCTTCAGGGACGGCCCAGGAGTGGGGTAGCAGCCACAGAAGTGGTAACATCTGTAGCAGCGCAGCTCCTTGGTTCTGTTCATGACCCATACCTTCTTGCCACACAGTAGGTAGGAGCTACCAACCCAGCCAACCCAGCTTCCCCAACTCCCTCCCCGAGAGGGTGGCCTTAGATCATGTTTTGCCAGATCATTTCCAATAGGTGCCCTTGTCATTTTGTCTAAACCAATCAGAGAAGCGTAGGGTTTAACATCATCAGTCACTGGGGAGACGCCTGGGGCCAGTAACCTCCTGAAGACTTGGCTGTTTGACCAGGGCAGAGTATGGCATGTAACTGGGCTGGGAAGCCCAGTGGAGGAATGTTGCTTCCTGGTGGAGTTCCCTCTTTGGTTTCAAGCTGTCAGCCTCAGTCTGTAAGCGACCAGCTGGCTCTTCAGAGCAGTGCCACCTCCTGGCAGAATGCTGCAATGGGGAACCGCATCTTCCCCAAGTAAACCCCCAGGGCTCTTCGGACCCTGCCTTCTCCTCCCTCCTGGCTCTTCCTCTTTCTCAAAAAAACTTATTCTCCTTCAGGCATTAGCTCTAATTCATTTGGCAGACATATATTGAAAATACAAGAAATTCTGGGTGTTGGGCCCAGGGCTAGAAATACAAAGATGAATAGGCATAGTCTGCCTTCAAAGAGCTTAGAGTCTAGTGCTGGGGGAGGGGGCCAAGGGATAATTACACAACAATGTAATGTATTCAAATAAGAATGTGCCAAGTGTTTTGGAAGTCGCAGTAATTTTATGAGGATGCGGAATAGGAGGAACATAATCAGGCAGGCTCCTAAGACTTGAAGGAAAAACAATTTGGCCAGCAGAACATGAAGGAAGAGAAAAACACGCCAGGGCAAAGGGTAGGCAGAAGTACAAAGATCACAGGCATCCAGAGGTCCTCTTTGGAGACCCTGTGTACTAGTTGATATGAATGTTGTGAAGGTCGCTTGGGTGTTCCTGTATAATAGGAGGTAATGGGGGGTAGAAGGATGTTGTGATAAGCTACAAATTCGGGCAAGGGCCAGATCACGTGGGCCCTGCTACGCCACAAGGAGGAGCTTGCTTTTACTTAGCAGATGATAGAGATATTAAAACTGGGGAATGACAATCATTTTAGCATTTTGGAAAAAATGTTCTGATTGATATTTCAAACAATGAACTGGAGCTTTTAAAGAATTGAGGCAAAACTGCTGGGCAAGAGTCTATAGCATACCAAGATGAACAGTTGCACATATACACACCACTCCTGTAGCAATACAGCAATAATTTAAATGACAGATAATAAGAGCCTGAATTAAGTCATAATTAGAGGAGGCGGAGGAGATAGAATATCAAGATAATTAGGAAGTAGAATCTAAAGGGTTTGGCTACTGATTAGCTGTGGGAGTGGGAAGGTGGAGGAGTCAAAGATATCTCAGATTTCCAGCATGGGTGGCTGGGTGGGTGGTCAGGGATGGACTGAATTGAAGCAGAAAAGAATGCCATGGGAGCAGGTTTACAGAGAGAAAGAGCTTGATTTTGTACATGTTGAATTTGAAATGCCAGTGGAACAGCCAGCTGAAACTGCATGGGAGCGCAGTGAGGCGTGTGGGTATGGACCCCAGGTATGGTCTGAAGACCCTGATTTGAGAGTCATCAGCACAAATGTCGAAGCAGAGGCCATGAATAAGATCACCCAAGTAAACTGTGCAGAAGGAGTGGGAAGTGAAACAAGGACAAAAGCATGCATGGGCTCAAACCCCAAACCTCATACCAGTTATCCAGGATCCAGTCAGGAGCATTTAACTACTTTATGTGCTTCAGACTGAAAGAATTTAATATAGAGAATTGGTTACAAAGGTGTTAAAAGGGCAAGAAGTACAAAAAAAAAAAAAAAAGGAGAGTCCTAGAAATGTACATTTTAAAAAAAGATTGCTATCTGGAAATCAGAAGCTGCCATCATCCCTGAGCTGGAATCTGTAAATCTACTCATTGCCTTGTGAGAGACACTGTCATAGTCAGTTCCAATCTACTAGAAAGGTGCCACCTCCTTCAAGGCTAGAATCCTTGAGAAGGTACTTCTGCTCAGGAGGCTGGAGTCCTGAGTCTCCCATTCTTCCTGCTGCTACAGCTACAGCCAATAGCTACCAGCTATTGCCAGCCACCGCCACTGTTTAGAGGCTGAAGCAGGATGCTTCTCAGTTTCTCTTGCCTTCTGATCTCCCATCAGTGCCTCCTACTGGCAGAATCAAAAAGGAAGCCAGATGTCCAGGAAGGCTGGGAAATACACACCTGGCTGACTCCTAAGCTAAGCAGTTCAAAACACAGTAGAGGAGGGTGTGTGTGTCACTGAGACAAAGATAATAACGAGTACACTGAAATACCCTGGTTTGTAAGAATCTGGTGGCACGAGGACCATCCAGAGCACTAAGAAAAGACCAAGGTAGAAGCAGATCAGAGAAATAAAAAAGAGGTGTGCCATGAAGGAGGGCAAGGTCAGCATTTTTAAATGCTACTCAAAAGTCAAGAAAGGATTGAAAAGTGTCCTTAGATTTGGTGATTATGAGATGGCTGACAAATTTATTGAGAGCAGTTTCAGTGTTGTAGTGGGAGTCAACTCCAGATTGTGGTGGGCTGAGAAGTAAGTGGGAGGTGAGGAAGAAACTGTCAGTGTACATGCTTCAAGTTTGTTAGACAAAAGAAAGAGAAAGACAGAAGGGGTGGGGGAAGAGGCAGTGAGAAAGCTCTAATGTGGCAATCAAGTAATCTGAGAAATTAATATATGTGAATATTGTCCAACAGTGTTTCTGAGGCTTTCAAAATTCATACCTTCCACCTTTTTTTTTTTTTTTTTTTAAGACAAAGTTTCCCCTGTTGCCCAGACTGGAGTGCAGTGGCTACTTACAGGTGCAATCATAACTCACTCCAGTCTTGAACCCCCGAGTTCAAGCGATCCTCCCGCCTCAGTAGCTGGGGACTATAGGCACATGCCACTGTGCCTGGCTTCATATCCTCTTTTGATAAACAAGTAATAGCAGCAGTAATAGCCAAAAACAAAAACAACTCTATGACCTCCTAGATATTCTGGAACAGCAATGTGTATATATGTGTGTGTGTCTGTGTGGTGGAGGCAGGGTGCCAGGGAAGGACTAGGGTTTGGAAATCATGGTAACCCTCCAGAAAACAAAAGAACATTTCCCAGTATCCCAACATTTATGCACTAACCCATCAGCGGTTCTGGCAGTGGGGAGATTCAGGCCCCTGGACAGTAGAAAAGAAGTTTATGAGACTACCAGTGGGGAGACATATGGGACACAGCCACCTAGAGTCCTAAACCAGGGGTTAGCAAACTTTTTCTGTAAAGGGCCAGATGGCAAATATTTTAGACATTGTGGGCTATCAGATCTCTGTCATGAGTACTCAACTGTGGCACGAAAGCCTCCATGCACAATATGTAAATGAAGGAGAGTGGCTGTGTTCCTAGTTTCCTCCTAGCTTTTCCTCCCACTTCTTGAGCATCTCCTTCTCAGTCTCCTTCATAGACTCCTTCCTTTCAGCTCTCTTTAAATACTGGTGTTCCCTGGAGTTTTTGTCCTCAACCCTCTTTTTATTTATGGACACTAAAATTCAAATTTCATGTAATTTTCATGTGTCACGAAATATTCTTCATTTGCTTTTTTTTTCCCTAACCATTTAAAAATGTGAAGACCATTCTTAGCTTTTAGGCCATTTAAAAACAGGTGGTAGGCAAGATTGTGCTCACAGCCCATAGTGTGCTGAATGATGCTCTACACGTGGTCAGAATTGGTACGAAAGCCCCAAATTAAACCCACCCTTCAAAGAAGAACCTCAGTCCCCTTATTATTGGATTGGCAATCAGTTAACAAACACTTTGTGCCAGTTACACCAGTCTATTTGGAAGGAGATCTGGGGAAGAACAGGAGAAACTAGACTGGGTGGAAGGGCATAGGAATAGGTACAGCAGACACTGCAATTTCTCTGGGTGAGAGGAACAAGGCAGAGGGGTCCAAGTTCTCCATAGGGAGCACAGTGTAGACAAGACCAAGGTGAGGACAAACATAACCATCCCTCACCAAGACTGTGGTGAGGGGTGGTTAACTCCATTCTCCCCTTCTATAATCTCAGTTTAAATGGTAACAAGTTCAAACACTTATAACTACTCTTCCCTCCATGTAATCCTTCCCCACCAGGACCTCCCAACTACCTCCATCATAAGTATCTCAGGAATAGTCTCTCATCAGTTTGGAAAGTAATAATTGTGGGCAAGAGATGAGCAAGGCAGCCAGTTCTGCTTTGCAGTAGTTCACTGTCTACTTTGTCATTAGCTATGAATGCCTCTGAAAATAATGGCACAGCACCGGTAAATCCAGGAGGCTCTGGCTTTCTAACACTCAGCTCTGCCATCCCTTTCTAGCATTTAAAAATGGACTCTATTTGGCCAGGCGCAGTGATTCACGCCTGTAATCCCAGCACTTTGGGAGGCCGAGGGGGGTGGATCACGAGGTCAGGAGATCAAGGCCATCCTGGTTAATGGTGAAATCCCATCTCTACTAAAAATACAAAAAAAAAAAAAAATTAGCCAGGCGTGATGGCGGGTGCCTGTAATCCAAGCTACTCAGGAGGCTGAGGCAGGAGAATCACTTGAATTCGGGAGGTGGAGGTTGCAGTGAGCTGAGATCGTGCCATTGCACTCCAGCCTGGGTGACAGAGCAAGACTCCATCTCAAAAAATAAATAAATAAATATATAAAAAGGACTCTATTTTTTTTCCCCTAGCAGAGTCAGATTTCTTGGAAAAGTCATGGGCAACTGTGGCCCCGCTCCCATTCTTGCCATTTAATCTTTTAACTCTCAACAATGCAATTGTTCACCAATACTTTTGTGTTGCCAAATCAAATGAACTAGTCTCTGCAACATCTGACACTGTTGGCCATACCCTATCTCCTAAATTGGTCAAATTTCTGGCATCCCTGATGGCACTCTCTCCTAGTTTTCCCTCCTACTTTTCTGGCGTCCCCTTTTCAGTCCCTTTGGGACTCCTTTCTTTCAGCAACCCTTTAAGTATTGGTGTTCCCTGGAGTTTTGTCCTCAACCTTTACTCTTCTTAGACTATACACTTGCCCTGGATGGTCCTCTCATTTACTCCCACATGCCTTCTGTTACCACCCATTTGCTAATGTCTTCCAAGCTTACCTCTTCAGCTCAGATCTTGCTCTGAGTTCCACACTACCCATATCTGAACCACTTCTGGTCAAATCCACTTGGATGCTATGCAATAGCAGTTTTTTGTTTTTGTTTTTTTTTTAAATATGGAACGCTTCATGAATTTGCATGTTCTTAAACTGTATTCTTCACAATAGCGTTCCTCAAGAAATAAAAAAAGTAAGTTTGATGATAGCAATCATTTATTTTTGAATTTATTTCCACATAGACATAATGCAACATCAAACACATTTATATAATATTTTTTATTATGTAACAATTTATTATATTTAATAAGTCTGTTTATTGCAAGCAATAGAAACCAATTCTGGCTAACTTACATTTTAAAAATGAGGATTTATTGGAAAGATACTGATCTAACTCATGAAATGAAAGTAATAGTTGAATAAGCTAGCCTCAGGTAGAATAGCCACAGGGACCTTAGAAGCAGGGGTTGAGTTGCCATTAATATGCTCACCTGCAAAGGCCTCCTGCCTCTTTATCTTTCAAGTTTTGCTTTGCTGGGAGAGCCTCTCTCACTGGCTCAGCTTGTATTAGGTGTGTACCACTGGATTCATTGGTTGTGGCCAGGTACAGTATTACCTCTATGGATTAGAGCTATTCCTAGAGAAGGGAGAATCATATGAAAAGTAACCACCTCAATACAGCTATTTTCAACATATGGCATCTCAGACAATTGTATGAGATCATCTGAGGCATAAACATAAGGTTAAATCTGTGTATTAATGCTCAAACAGCATTTCCTAACTACTCAGGTGACATATGTCATCTGCTTGATGATCTCTGGTCGGTCACTTGTCTTATCACATATTCAAATTACATTTATCATGTGATTCAATATTGATTTATTAATTTAAAATTATATATTCCACGAATTTCCTTTGAATCTCTGACTAAAAAGGTTTTTTTAATTTTACTTTGAAAAGCTCCAAGCACACACAGAAGAGAAGAATCTAATAAACTCCAATGTACTCTCATGAATGTCAACAATTTTCAACATTTAACATTCTTCCATTCTTGTTTCATCTATTGTTCTGCATTTTTTGGAGTATTTTAAACAAATTCTGTCATTACATTTCACCAGTAAATACTTTTAGGCATATCTATAATAGATAATAACCTTTCCCTTAACATAACTATAATGCCATCACCACAACCAACAAAATTAAAAATTACTTAACTTCATTTGACCCAATCTGTTCATTTCTCCTAGTTATCTCAAAAATGTGTAAGAGAATGAAGTTTTAAATGAAAAGCAGTGTCTTATAATTTTCAAACCGTGCCATTAGTTTAAAAAAATTGGTGAGTTTTCTATTTTATGTTTCATAAGCTATTGATGGTTCAATAATGAATTCTAATTAGGTATTCCATAGGCAAATAAAGTTAGCAATTGTTACTCTGAATGTATCTCCATCTCAAGATTACAAGAGTACACTCATCACTTTCCCTTCCCAATATATTCCAACTCCTCTCTTATATTTAAGACTTCAGTGAATAACAAGATGTCCACCCGAGCTACAAATGTGGGTCATCGTTGATGACCCCATCTTCCTCAAACCTTCCCATTCAATTGTCCTAACAATTCTACCTTTCTAATAGCTCTTGAATCTTCCTTTCTTTTCCTTCCATTCCTACTGGTCCAGGCCTTCAATGGTTGGTTTTCACTGATTATTGCAACTTTCTTTATAATTGGTCTCTCTCTCTCCAATCTTATTATTTTCCACAGTGCTGCCAGAAGGATATTTTTATTATGCTTAGTTGATCATATTATACTTCTGCATGAAAACCTTCCATGATTGTTAATGATCTACTTTCCTTGTCATGACCCATAATGACCTGAAGTCTACTTACCTACTTCTATATGTCTTTTCAGGTGAAATCTCACTCCTCTCAGGAAGCCTTCCTTGAACCCAGAGTTGAGATTAATAGCCTCTTCAGTACGTTTCCAAAGCACCCTGTGTTGGCCATTATCACTGTTTTAATTGTATTATTCTCTTCCATTTATATGTCTGTTTCATAGTCACCTCATCTCTACTGCAAGGTCCTTAGGGGAGGGTGTACTATATATATATATATCTCCACCAAGAGGCCCACTAAGTGACCTTTCACTCGATGAACAAATGGGCTACCAGTCTCTGAAGGTGCTGAACTGAGAATGGAAGAGCCTTCAGGTATTAGATGATGATGGATTGTCCCTTCTAACAGATGTTTCAAAGGTAAATCTTATCAGGTTTATCTATAAGCCATTCTTTTTTTTTTTTTTTTGAGATGGAGTTTCACTCTGTTGCCAAGGCTGGAGTGCAGTGGTACGGTGTCCGCTCACTGCAACCTCCGCCTCCCAGGTTCAAGTGATTCTCCTGCCTCAGCCTCTGGAGTATCTGGGACTACGGGCACGTGCCACCATACCCGGCTAATTTTTTTTTTTTTTTTTTTTTGTATTTTTAGTAGAGATGGGGTTTCACTGTGTTAGCCAGGATAATCTTGATCTCCTGACCTCGTGATCCACCTGGCTCGGCCTCCCTAAGTGCTTTGATTACAGGCATGAGCAACCACACCCAGTCTCTATGAGCCATTTTACACCTCCACAGCCTTCCCTATATACTCTACTACCCTTCCAATTCCATTCTAGGCCCTTCCCAAGCTCCTTGCCAACTACCATTTTCTTCCTACTCCCTGCCACCTCCTGTTTCAGAGAGCAAACCTAGCCATCCAGCTCCCACATTTACTCTTATTTCTACCTCAGTACATTTCTCCATACCCATATTCATCCTCCCTTTTAGTGACATTACTATGATGCAGCAATCCTTACAACTACTCTACAAGGTTATAATTTATTATCCCCATTATATAAACAAGAAAACTGGGACTCAGAAAGGTTCATTTATTTAGCAAATATTTATTGGCCACCTTCTGTGTCTAGCAGTATGCTCTGTATCAGATACCTGCCATCATCACACTTAAAGTCTAATGAAAATAAAGAGACATTAAACAAGAAAACATACAAATTTATAAGCTAAAAGGTCCACACACACACACACACACAAAATCTCTTAGAATTGATAAATTCAGTACAGTTGCAGGATACAAAATTATCATATAAAAATTAATGGTGCTTCTGGATACAAACAGTAAACTAGTGGGAAAAGAAATCAAAGAAAGTAATCCCATTTACAATAGCTACAACCCCTCCCCCCACCAAAAAAACAAAATAGAATACCTAGAATAAACCAAGGAGGTGAAAGATCTCTACAAGGAAAACTATGAGACACTGAGGAAAAAAACTGAAGAGGTCACAAAAAAATAGAAAGACATCCTATGTCTTCGGAAGAATTCGTATCGTGAAAATGACTGTACTACCAAAAGCAATCTACAGATTTGTTGCAATTCCTATCAAAATACAAAGATATTCCTTGCAGAAACAGAAAAAACAAACCTAAAATTAATATGGAACCACAGAAAACACAAATAGTCAAGGTAATTCTGAACAAAAAGAACAAAGCTGTAGACATCATACCACCCAACTTCAAAATATACTACAAAGCTACAGTAACTAAAAGAGCACGGTACTGGCATAAAAACAGATACACAGACCAATAGAACCGAATAAAGGACCCAGAAATAATAGATCCACATCTTAACAGCCAACTGATTTTCAACAAAGGTACCAAGATATTCAATGGGAAAAGGACACACTCTTCATTAAATGGTGCTGGGAACACTGAATAACAATATGCAGAAAAATACAACTACACCCCCATCTCTCATCAAATACAAAAATTAAATCAAAATGGATTAAAAACTTAAATGTAAGACCTGAAACTATAAAAGTTACTGTAAGAAAATACTGGGGAAATGCTCAAGACTTTGAGCAAACATTTTTTGGTTTAAGACTTCAAAAGGAGAGGCAATGAAAGCAAAAATACACAAATGGGATTACATCAAGCTAAAAGGCTTCTGCCACAGCAAAGGAAACAATCAACAGAGTGAAGAGACAACCTTCAGAATGGGAAAAAATATGTGCAAACTATCCATCTGATAAGGGATTAATAACCAGAATATATAAGGAACTCAAACTCAACAGCAAAAATCCTCCAAATAATCCCATTTGAAAATGGGCAAATGATCTGAATAGACATTTCTCAAAAGACATACAAATGGCCAACAGGCATATGAAAAAATTCTCAACGTTACTAACCATCAGGGATATGCAAATCAAAACCACAATGAGATATCATCTGAATCTAATTAAAATGGCTATTATCAAAAAGACACAGATAAGAGATACTGGTGAGGATGCAAAGAAAGGGGAATGCTCATATACTGATGGTAGAAATGTAAATTAACATAGCCACTATGGAAAACAGCATAAAGGTTCCTCAAACAACTAAAAATAGATCTACTAGATGATTCAGCAATCCCACTGCTGGGTATATATCCAAAAGAAAGGAAATCAGTGTATCAAAGAGATGTGTACATGCCCATGTTTATTTCAGCACTACCCACAGTAGCCAAGACATGGAATCAATCTAAGTGTCTATCAAGTGACTGGATAAAGAAAATGTGGTGTATATATATACAATGGATACTAGTCAGCCATAAAAAAGAATGAAATCCTGTCATTTCCAGCAACATGGATGGAACTGGAAGTCATTATGTTAATGAAATAAGTCAGACACAGAAAAAAAAATATCACGTTCTCATAAGTGGGAGCTAAAAAAGTTGATCTTATGGAGGTAGAGGGTAGAATGATGGTTACCAGAGACTGGGAAAGGGAGGGGGTGGAGGGGGGATGAAGAGAGATTCATTAATGGTTACAAAAATATAGCTAAATTGAAGGAATAAATTCTATAGTGTTTGATAGCACAGCTGGGTGACTACAGTTAACATTAATTTACTGTATATTCCAAAATAGCTAGTAGATTTGAAGTGCTCCCAACAGAAGGAAATAATAAATGTTTGAGGTGATGGATATCCTAATTATCCTGATTTGATCATTACACATCGTATGCATGTATCAAAATATCATATGTACCCCATAAATATGTACAATTATTATGTATCAATAAAAAATAAAAAAAAACAATTCAGAAGTCCATAAACTTGGATGGAATAAAAAAAAGTCAACTTTATTTTCAAAAAACTCTCACTGAAATCTAATTTTATGAATGTAGAAAATAAATCTTTGTAGTACCAGCCAGCAGCTGTAACACTGTCATCAATAGAAAACACCATCAATTAATATTTTCATATCACATTATAGTTGTTACAGACATCTTAAAATATCACTTACAATTATGGGAGCTGTTAAACTTGCCAAAAAATCATGCTTTTTAATGTATTAGTAAAGAAACACTGTATTGTATTAATACAGAAACACATACTACTAGATCATCACACGTTTCTTTGAATATAGTAGTGTCCCCCACACAGCACCAAATGTGATTATACAGTTTATTCCTATCCATAGATATACCTATGATAAAGTTTAATTTATAAATTTGCACAGGAAGAGATTAACAACAAAATAGGACAATTATATTGTAATAAAAGTTATGTGAATATGGTCTTTCTGTCTCATACACAAAGTATCTTATTGTACTTATTTTCAGACCAGGTTGACCTTGGGTAACTGAAATCACAGAAATTGAAACTGCAGTTAAGGGGGGACCACTGTATTTTGATAACTATAGTTTATATTTTATTTTATGCATTTACAAATATTATCAGACAAGATCCAAAGGCTTCACCAAACTGCCAAAAAAGCTAATGGCACATAAAAAGCTTAAGGAGTCCTGATTTAATCAGTCATTCAATGAACATGACATCCTTCCTGGAACCATCTCCTGTTCTAGCTTCCTCACATTATGTTGCTCTGCTTCTCCTTGAGATCTTCCATTGGTTCCACTTCCTATTCTTGCTTCCTGTATGAAGATGTAACCCAAAGCTCAATCCTTCACCCTAAATTGTTTTTATACCCCCTCTTTTACAAACCTCAGCTACCTTCGTGGCTGATTCAAACATCACCTCAAAGGTGACTCTCAAATCTGCTTTTCCTAATCTTTTTTCTCTAACTTCAATCTTGGATCTTAAACTCCCTGCTGTGCCTAGTAAACAGAATAATATGCCACCCAGAGTCAGCTGGGTTCAAATCCCAGTTCTGCTACTTACTAAAGGTGTGACCTTAGGTAAATATTACCTGCTATGGTTTGAATCTCTCCTCCAAAACTCTTGTTGAAAATAATTGCCATTTTGACAGTTTTAAGAAGTGGGACCTTTAAGAGTTAATTAGGTCATGAGGGCTCTGCTCTCATGAATGGATTAATGCTACTAATGTAGGTATGGGTTCCCATTTAAAAGGGGACATTCTGAGGCCGGGCACAGTGGCTCACACCTGTAATCCCAGCACTTTGGGAGGCCGAGGCAGGTGGATCATGAGGTCAGGAGATGGAGACCATCCTGGCTAACACGGTGAAACCCCGTCCCTACTAAAAATACAAAAAATTAGCCAGGCTTGGTGGCGGGCACCTGTAGTCCTAGCTACTTGGGAGGCTGAGGCAGGAGAATGGTGTGAACCCGGGAGGAGGAGCTTGCAGTGAGCCAAGATTGCACTACTGCACTCCAGTCTGGGCGACAGAGCGAGACTCCGCCTCAAAACAAACAAACAAACAAAGGGTACATTCTGGCCTCTATTCTCTCTCCATCTCATGTGCTTGTTTGCCTTTCTGCCGTGGGATGATGCAGCACAAGGCTCTCACCAGATGCCAATGCCATGCTCTTGGACTTCCAAGCAACTGGAACTGAGCCAAATAAACTACTGTTTATAAATTACCCAGTCTGTGGTATTCTGTGATAGCATCAGAAAACAGACTAAGACGTCCTTTGCTTCTGTTGTTTCATTTGAAAACTGAGGGTGATAATATTAGTATTGACTTTATAGGGTTATAAGGATTAAAAGAGTTACTACATGTACTCATTGCAGTACCTGACACATTTTAACTACTCAATAAATGTTTTGTATCACCAATCACATCTCCTTCCAACCCCGACATTTTAATTTGATGTTTATTAACATGGACGGTGCCAGCCACTGGAAGACAGAGTTTCTATCTAACAACATAATTCTGATCAAGTCATTAGTCAAAAAATTTCAGTGGTTCCCCACTGATTCCAAACTTAACAGCACTGGAAACCTTCTATAATGTGTTCTCTAATATAAATTTACCTCCCATTTTCTCTTCTCCTGCTCTACTTCCTGTAGCTTATGTTCTGGCCAGACTGGACTAGACTACTCTCTGTGACAATAACCTGTGCTGTTCTATGTCTGTCTTTCCTCACATAATTCTAATGTCTCAGGTTTGAAGGCAATAATTTTGTCTATGATTATTCCCCTATACATGGCACCCCATAAAACATACACATTTCAATCTTACCTAAGTCACATACTTACTTACACATCAATTCACCTCCATATTTGCTCAATTTGTGAGAACCTAATATTGGCCAGATACTGTGCTAGGACCTAGGGATATTAAAAAAAAAAAAAAAAAGCAAAGCAAGAAAAAGAATGCATAATGGCCCTGCTCTCAAAATCAAGGTCTAGTACTAGAGAGAAACATGTAATCACATAAATGCCATTCACTGTGGAAAGTAAAATCATAAGGGGAAGGGACACCAAAGAATGAGCAGTTAGCTCAACTTGAACAGTAACATTAAGCTTTTCAGAGATGTTATTTGGGCGTACATAGATTGGGGAAAAGTCTACTCCATATAGAAAGTGCACATGTGTAAAACACAGAGGCATGAAACAAAATGATGTGTCTGGGAAACAGTTCAATACAGCTGGAATATAGGGCCCAAGAGGAAGTGGTTAGACATGAGGCTGGAAAGCTAGGCAGACTGTTTTGGCAAACATAGGAATTTGGACTTTATCACATAGCCAATAAGGAATAACACAGAGTTTTAAAAAGAGCTATGGCCAGGGCTATATTTTGGAAAGCTCTCTCCTGGCAGTATTGTGGCAGAGGCAGAGAGGAAAGTCTAAAGCAGCACTGTCCAACAGAACTTCTTGTAATGAGGCCGCGCGCAGTGGCTCACGCCTGTAATCCCAGCACTTTGGGAGGCTGAGGCGGGCGGATCACGAGGTCAGGAATTCGAGACTAATTTGGCCAACATGGTGAAACCCCGTGTCTACTAAAAATACAGACACTAGCCGGGTGTGGTGGCAGGCGCCTGTAATCCCAGCTACTCGGGAGGCTGAGGCAGAATTGCTTGAACCCGGGAGGCAGAGGTTGCAGTAAGCCAAGACTGCGCCACTGCACTCCATCCTAGGCCACAGAGCAAGACTCCGTATCAGGGAAAGAAAAAAACAACTTCTTGCAATGACACAAATGTTCAATAATCTGTGCTTTCCCATATGACAGCCACTAGTCACATGTGGCTATTGAGAACTTAAAATGTGGCTAGTGTATTGAGGCACTAAATTTAAAATTGTATTAATTTAAATCCAAATAGCCATGTGTCTAGCAAATAATTTAGGAGACTGTTGGTATAGCTCAGGTGATAGAATTAGGACAGAAGGGTGAGTTGATGGATAGTTAAGAGGCAAAATTATGAGTCTGTAAGGGTGTGAGAAAAGGAAATCAAGAACAGGCTCCCAGATTACAGACTTTGTGGTTAAACAGCCACCATTACTCAGGACAACAGAAGAGAAAGAGCAGGTCTAGAGTGTATAGTGATTTCATCAATTTTGAACATACTGGTGTCTGAGAGTTATCCCAGTGGGAATATTTAGTAGAAAGTTTAGCTTAGAGAGCTGTCTGAACTAAAGATTCAGACTTCAGAGGCTTTGAGCCATGGAGTCAGATTACCTAGAGAAGTTGAACAAAATTAGAAGCAAACAAGAATCACAGCAAATATCAACACATAAAAAGGGGCTAAGGAAGAAAAATCTACTGAGACTGGAGAGGAACAGTTACACAAATAGGAAAAGAAACAAGTGAGAGTGGTATAGAAGTCAAGGGTAGAGAGAATGTCAGGAAGGAAACATGATCAAATGTCGAATGCCTCAGAGGTCAAATAAAGTGAGAACTGTAAAGTGCTTCCTGACTTTGCCAGTTAGGAGGTTCTTGGTGACATCTGCCAGAAAAGTTTTGGTGGTAGCAGCCTGACAGAGGTAGCTTGAAGAGTGGGGATGGGGAAAGAGAATGTGACAAAGAATTGAGATAGTAAGGATAATTTCAATTTCAGGTCTTGGCTGTGCAAGGAAGCCGAGAGACATGAGTCTCTAAGAGGGCACGATATTGAGAGGGTTGTTATCTTTCTGTCAGCGGGGAAACCAAGAGAAAAGTTTAAAAAGGTCAAAAGGGGGAGAAGGGAAGACAGCTTCCGGGTAACAGAGAAGGTTGACCAGGTCAATAGTAAAGGATTTCCTCAAACCGAAGGGAGGACCTCTAGTGAAATGAGAAAGGAATACACAATTGACCCAGTTTGCAGGTGGGAAATGGGAAGCCAGTTCTGCAAATTGGCCTTTCTGTTCTGTGAAGTGCCATCTGTCGGTGAGGAGAGATTAGGGTCTGCAGCGTGAAAATCTGGACCATACTCTGGGTAATCAAGGGAGAGGTTATCGGCTAATGACAAATTAAAGGCTTACTTTTTAGCTGGCAACTGAATCACCATAACATTTTATGTTACCAGTTCCAAAATTTTGGGGGGAATTCACTCAAGCTTGGGAGAGGAGAGATCATAACTTTAAGAGTATAAGAGGTTTAAACGGTCCACTACGAAATAAATAGAGAAGGAAAAGTTATCAGCTGGTAAATATCGTAGAAGGTAGAGCGGTCCAGGGACTCACAGGTCTCACTAAAGAAAAGTCTAGCGTAGGTTCACGGCACGGAGAGATTTTAAGGCTGCCTAAGACTAAAGCCAAATACGAAGTCCACATCTGCGGTCCGCACCTTATCTCTCCGCGCGGCAGGCGCGACGAGGGCGAGAAACTCCCTCTCCAGTGGTCGCACCACACGACACCAGGGAAGGGGCCCCTCTCTCCAGACCCTCATATCTCCAGGTCCAGGCCCCATTTTCCTCCGCTGACAGCTCAGCAGCGTGCGCTTCCGCTGGATTCAGGCCAGGACCAGCGAAGCCGCACCTTACACCCACCGAGGAGGAAACAAGCCTGGCCACCCGAGGCTACCCCGCTAGGCCGCGGGTAGTGGGGGAGGGGGCGCTGAGGCAGGAGGTCAGCACCCGGGCGCGGGCTCCCGCCCCACGAAATGCGCGCGCTCCAAGCCCCGCCGCCGGAGATGCGGTTCCGGTCCGGACGCCTGCGCACTACGGCTCTCCCCGCAGCCTCTGGCCCTCCTTCCCCCTCCCCCAGTCAGGGCGCACCCTTGCGCCTGCGCTGTGTGTGTTCCTGGTCTGCGGCAGCCATGCTGAACTCGTATGGAGAGGCGAGTGGGGGGGACAGAGTCCAGGACTGCGGGATAGGAAGCTGGGGATATGGACAAGCAGCAGCGTTATAGCGCTCTGGGTTTCGGGACATAGGCCTGGGCCATGCGGCCCCCTTGGCCCCTTGGCGCGACCCCCAGGAACGTTCGGAAAGCTGGTCCTCGTGGCTGGGGGAAAGGCGGGGGGTGGGGGGGAAGCGGGCACGTGACCCCGGTCAGCCAATCTGGGTGCTGCTGACGTGGCCGCGCGGCCCCGATGCTCTCCCCACCCCCCCAGCCCGTTCGGGAAGGGAGGGGCTGGGGGCTACGCCCCCTCCCCCAGCACGGCTTCGTTTTCTGGGGGGGGGTTGACACCCCGGATTACATACCCCGTACCAAGCCGAGGGCAACTTTGGAGGCCCCCTGGAAGGCTTTAGGATCCAGGTGAGAAGGGGCCCTTGTGGGGCGGAGATGTCAGTCAAGTGCTTAACCAATGGTGGGGAGTCCGGGAGGGGGATTCTTGGGGTTCAGGAAAGAATCCTGAGAGTGGGAAGATTTGTCCTTCAAACCTTTTACAGCCAATGGGAGCGTGGAGGGGGGGCGAGCGGGAGAGGGCCATGGGGGGGGAGGGGAATGGCCAGCCTCATGCCTCCGTACCCATTGGAGGGCAAAGGGGTTAGGGGGCGGTGTGGCCCCCCCTATTCCATTCGTCCCCTGGGGGTACAGCAGCCGGGAGCCAGGTGAGAAGGGATCCATCGGCGGCCGAGGGAGGGGTGACCTGGCGGTGGGCTGAGGAGTGGTGGCTGTGGCCCCTACCCGTGGATGTGAATGCTTTAGGAGTTGGCCACCCATGTTGTGAACTGAGGTTGTTCCCAGGCGCCAACTTCCTTTCTCCCCAGAGCCTCTGGAGGGAGCATTGCTGTGCGCCCTTTGTGTCCGCGGTAGGGGAGCTCCAGTCGTCACACCGCAGGCTGGAGGTTACGCTTCGAGTCGCTTACCGAATTTGTGTGCATTCACGTGGACACGGCCTGTGGGGCCTTTTGCCCCTGTAGGGTCTTTACTGAGCACGTGTCTACTCCAGGCTGGGGTGCTTACAAGCTGAAAGCTTGAGGTCTGCTTAGGAACAGAAACCAGGCCCAAGGTGGGTGCTGGCAGTAGGGGGTCTAGACAGCATGGTCTGAGATGCGAGGGAGGCTCGGGACCTGGAATGATTTCACAGCTCCCAAGGTTTCGGGTTTCTCCAGGGTGGCCTCTTCCATCGCCTCCCTCATCCCCTCCCCCAGTCCTGAACAGTTCTCTCCTTGTGTACTGCGGGGGAGGGAACGGAAAGGAGGAAAGAGTTACTTTCCCAAATTACTGAGTAGCAGTAGCCTCCCTGGTGACTCATGTGGGGGAAGGGAGGATAGA
Source organism: Homo sapiens (assembly GCF_000001405.40). Lineage (NCBI taxonomy): Eukaryota > Metazoa > Chordata > Mammalia > Primates > Hominidae > Homo > Homo sapiens. The sequence continues at coordinate 4,164,345 of NT_167248.2, forward strand.
GGATCGGGAGGCAGTGATTTTCCGGAATGCAGGGAATAAACGAGAGCAATGTCTGGCTGCCCTTTTCCTAAGGCCTAGTATTTTCTCAGCCTCCTAAGTTTTTATTCCATGGCCGGCCCCCTGATGGGCCTCTGTCCTGGCCTGCAGAGCCCCGGTGGAGAAAAGCAGATTTGGGAGGTTGGGCCGCTAGGGGGAGGGGAAAAGGCCTCTGCAAAGTTGCTGTGTCATTGCCCTCCATGCTGCAGCCACCCAAACGGGGCCGCTTGTACTTTTGGGGGCCAGGGCCTGATCCCTGGCTGGGGGAAGGGGACTCTGCTCTCCTGACGCTCATTTTCCCCCGCCCTCCCGGGGTTTGCCCTACTCGGGGGGTCAGAAGACAGGAGATTGGCGGCCATTTTAGACGCAGTAACCGAGGTTGGAGTTGAAGGGCTACTGCAGAGGAGGGAGGGTGGCGTGGTTGCAGCTCAAGGACCTAGGCCCTTACGAGCCCTTCCCGGGCGAGGGGGAATCTTACCGTATATTTGTTCACCTACGTTGATTATTTTTCCCAGATACGTACACAAGTTTGTTTTCTCCCTGGTAGCGAAGAAAGGGGAAACGGGGGAGGGGACGCCCCACCAAAGCCCAGGTTTTCTCGGGTGGGGGAGATCCTTTCACTCTCTTGTAAGGGGGCGGGGACGGCCCCAGAGATGCTCTGGAGATCCTGACTCTGGGCTCTGGTTGATTCACAGAGTCTGCACCCTTATTTAGATAACCAAGTTAGGAGGAAGACTTAAGAGTAAGTTGGGGGGAGGGGGCGAAACTGAGCTCCCAAAATGGCTCCTGCCCCTCCTCGGAGGCGGACGGCCGGGGGGAGGGGAGGAGGGGAGGAGGGGGAGGGCTAGTCTGAGCCGCAGCCGCCGCCTCCTCCGCTCGCCCTCCTCCCTGGCGCTGACCGATGGACCAGCCGCTCCGTGGGGAGGACTCCGGACCCTGGTGGGGGGGCGGGGGGGTTCTTTCGCCCCCGTGGCGGAGGGCCCCTGAGAGGCGGATACGGGTGTGCCTTTGGGGGTGATGTGGCGTGTGGGGGGAAAGGTCCGAGCTCGCCTGGAGGGGGAGGGTTTTTCCCTTAAGTCATCCCTCCCAGGACTTGCTTTTTCTGCTCTGAGCCGGACGCCGGAATGGAGTTTGAGGAAGAGGTGAGGTGTGTTGCATTGTATAGGGTAGATGGATGCGTTTGGAGATTTTAATCCCACTTTTAGGGTTGCCGAGGATTTTTCGAACGAGCAGAAATGTATTGGTAACTGTAGGTGTGAGTGGGGAGGGATTAGAAAGGTGCTTGGACGTGCAAATTTGGGAGACGTATTTTAGCTTTTGTGGTCTTTGGGACTAAACAGTAGTAAATAATGTTTTGCTCGTCTTTCCATCGTTTGGCTTGAGGGAGGGAGTGGAGTATTATAAGACTCTGGCAACACTGTTTTAGACTGTGGGGCATGGGAACGTTAGATCCCCTCATCGCCGTTCTGAAGCCCGTAGCTGTTCGCCATAGAGGAGCAGGCCGCGGCTTCTAAGATGGCGTCTTTTTCCTCGTTTCAGATTCTTCGCTGCTGCTGCCTTACCGCCGAGAACCACCACCCGCCAGGCGTCTTGCGGCCACACCCCTGGCGGGTTCAGGCAGGCTACGCCCACGCGACCCCTCCCGTTTCCCTGCTTTGGCCAATGGAGGAGCTACGAATGGCACGACCTGCTCGAGCTTGGCAGTCTCCAGTTGGGCTGTGCATGGAAGCTTGGGAAGACTTTGTTGGAAGGGGAGGCGGGGAGAGAGTGCTGGAGGCTCTGGGGCGATGGCTTCCGCACCTCTTCCAACCACCCTCTTTCCCTGGAGTCGGCGGACCACAGCTCAGCCAATTGGCTTGGAGATGTGGCGGGTTGCCACTTCCCTGTGGGTCTCTGCGGCACTCTTCTGCCTGGTGACTGACACCTTGGAAATGAAGTTTATGACGTCATCGTTGCGGCTGGCCAATAGAAAAAGCTCCCGCGGAGAGGTGTTCCTTCCCCTTCGACTCAGCTTCTTCACCCGCGTGAGCGAGCGCGCGCGCGCGGAGGGGGTGGGGAAAATCTCAAGCAGGGTGGCGCGCATGAGCGGCGAAGCTCCTCCTCCCCGCCTATATATAAAGGGCTGGCGCGGGGCTCGGCGGCGCCATTTCGTGCTGGAGTGGAGCAGCCTCTAGAACGAGCTGGAGGATTCTGCCTACCGATACAGAGCCTTCGAGTCGTCCGGGGCCGCCATTACAATCCACCTCCATCCGCTTGGAAATGGCCTTCGTCCCGGCCTATGACTGGTCCCAGCGGGCAGTACAGACCCCCTAGAAGCCCCTGGAGCTCCCCTTTTTCGGGCCCCGCCCAATCCTCGGAGTCTGTCCACCCCCTCTACTCCGCCCTCAAGAGGATTTCAAAGATGGAGGCGGCGGCTCCCTAAACCACTTTTCGTGTTCATCCGCCTCCATCCGAGATCGAAACGGGACCTCGTCGGCCCCGTAGGGGCCCGACAAGAAGAGGGAATCCCTGCAGACCAACAGCGGGCTATATTGACGACGGTGTCTGAGATCGGGGACCGTCTTTTGAAGAGTCAGTCCCTCCTTAGTTGCCCGCCTCAGCTGAGGCCGCCGCCATTTTCTTGCTGTCCGCCGTCTGCAGAGCGCGCCAAGCTGCCCGGAGCTCTCCGAGAGGCCCCAAAGAGACTGCTTTCGTGCCGGCCAGGCAGGGGGTTTGTCGCCTGGAGGCCCAAGAGGAACGGCCTCCCCCCAACTTAGCGGGTTATGCTGGACCGGGCGGTGAGGGGAACCGAGGCCACCCGGACTTTCCGCGGCTGAGGGCAGCGCCGGTTCCTTGCGGTCAAGATGCTGCAAAACGTGACTCCCCACAATAAGTACGTTTCCGCGAGCCGCGTGTGGGAAGGGGATGTTGCAGGGCGGCGGCACAGGGGTGTGGGGCGCCGTGTTGGGAGTACTGAGCGGCCCCGGCGCGCTGCTGTTGCGGCGCAGCTGTCGACTCGGTCGCGCGGAGGGAATTGAGCGACGGTTTTGGAACGGTGGTGGCGGCTCGGCTACTGCTCGTGGAGGGGAATACAGGTTGTCAATTTATACGCTATTAATGCCGCCGTGGCCCAGTCTTAACCGAGTCAGGCAGAGCTAGTTTGACGGTGGAGTGGAGTGAGGTTGAACAGCAGGTTTGGCGTTTGGTGGGTCTGGTATCTAGCGGCGGTCTGTTAGCCTTTTAGGGGGGATTCACGGACACCTCTAGCGCCCTGTAGGGTTGCCATGGTGACGGAGCGCTTAAGGGACTGGCAACGGGGATTCCCAGAGAAGGGTAAAGGGATCACTCTCCCGTGTGTGCAGGTTCCTAATGCCCAGGGCATGTCATTAAATCTTTTGCTTTCTTTGGGTGGGTGGGTTGTGTGTGGTGTTTGTTGGTGCAGGGATTGTTTTTTCCTAACATTAAAAGTTTGATTCAGGGCAGGAGGGTAGAGCTAAGGTTCCTAGTTCAGCTCTGCGATGTAAACAATGAGATTCCCATATGATGTTTTAATTCTTAGGTGGTAGGAAAGACTGATCGGAGGAGCACCAGAGGGACTGTAAATGAACCACTGTTAGCGTTTGGTGTCCGGAGTTGGTGCTACAGGGGGAACTGGTAGTGGAATCGTGTTGTGTAGTGGGTGGGTGGAAGGGGGCTATCACTTGGTGACCTTGACTGTTTTGTACGGCTTTTTGACTTCCTTGGAGTGAGGAGACTCTGATTTGGTGCGAATAATTTTGAGGGCCTGGAAGTTACGGGCTGTGAAGTCTGACAAATTCTTCCTTGTCTGAATTTGTTTTTAAGTTGATATGGTTCTTCCTCTGGGTTTCTAGTCTATGTTCTGTTGTGGCGTGAACTACCCAGACCTTGTGGAAGATGGTGCTCTCTCTTCTATCTAGGTGGATTATTCTGTGTCTTATCAGCATTTTATGGAATTTTTTATAGCCATAATTTGTTCTTTTCCTCCTTACCGGCGCTCAACCACCATGGCAACCACCAAACCCCTAGTGAGGAGGAAGCTTGGGGTTTGAGTTTCTTAACTCCACCCATTTTGCTTAAGCCCCATCCCCATAGGGCTGTAGTTCTGAGATGTCGTGCCTTGTCAGAAACAATTTGGGAGTTTTTTAAAATATGAAAAAGAACAGATAGAGCCTATCAGACTTAAGAAGGTGGGATCTAGATAGTATACTAAAAATATTAATAAAAGGAAGGCGGGGCCAGCAATAAAAGCTCCACAGATTGTTTGGATATTGTTTCTGCTTAAGAAGCACTTGGCATAAGCTTAACCACCTCACTAGGGCCAGCACCTGGATTCATCAGACTATTGTGCAGATGCACTTTTTCCTCATTTGGACGATATTGCCCTAATTTTGTTCCCATCTTTACAGGCTCCCTGGGGAAGGGAATGCAGGGTTGCTGGGGCTGGGCCCAGAAGCAGCAGCACCAGGGAAAAGGATTCGAAAACCCTCTCTCTTGTATGAGGGCTTTGAGAGCCCCACAATGGCTTCGGTGCCTGCTTTGCAACTTACCCCTGCCAACCCACCACCCCCGGAGGTGTCCAATCCCAAAAAGCCAGGACGAGTTACCAACCAGCTGCAATACCTACACAAGGTAGTGATGAAGGCTCTGTGGAAACATCAGTTCGCATGGCCATTCCGGCAGCCTGTGGATGCTGTCAAACTGGGTCTACCGGTGAGTAGAGACATTGGAGCCGGGGAGGTGTGGGATGAGCAAGAATGCGTGTGAATGGGGGTGGTCTGCCTAGTGTAGATGCTGCGGCCCCTAGGGAGTTCCCATTTCTCCCCTGTAGGGCAGTTAGCTACCAGATTTCTGGGTATCTTGGTCCTTTGTGATTGATCCGACCGCTTGCTGTAACTATCTTGGCATCTTTCCTTGTGCCCTCCATGTGTCCTTCCTTAACTTTTGTGCCCTGGCTCCATTTTACAGATTCCCACCTCGGGTTGGGAGAGGACCACGGTGGCCAAAATTCTTAGCTTCTTCCTTTCCCTCATGCAGCCCATGGATAGCCAGCCCCAGAGGTAATGTCACAGGATGGGAAGTTTCCAGAGTGGGTGGGAGGTGGGTGGTTAGAGAAAGGCAGCAGGGGCCTCCCTGTGGATGTCAAGAATCTTTTTTATTTATTTATTTATTTTGTCCCACAGTTTAATTGGGGCCGCAGTTTAACTGTTCCTTTGATGCATAGGGGGTGTGTGTGTGTGTGTGTGTGTGTGAGAGAGTCGGGGATCGGTAGTCTCCCTATAAGCATTTATTTTTCTGTGGTTCTGACCTAACATTTCTTTATTTAGGATTATCACAAAATTATAAAACAGCCTATGGACATGGGTACTATTAAGAGGAGACTTGAAAACAATTATTATTGGGCTGCTTCAGAGTGTATGCAAGATTTTAATACCATGTTCACCAACTGTTACATTTACAACAAGGTGAGTTTTTCTGTGTGTTCATTTAGTAGGTGGGGAGAAACAGTAATTTCTATTATTGCTGGATATGTTGTCTACATAAAGTTTAAATCCTTTGCTACTGAAGGTGTTATCCAGGTAGGGTAGTCGGAGTCTTAAAAACCTGACTCTAGATGGTACTATTGAACACAGTGATGTGACTTCAGAGCTCTAGTTGAAGGTTATTTAGAACACTTCATACTTGGGGGTGGTGGTCCTGTTTCTTAGAAATCACCAGAGACCTGAGTAGACCAGGGATCTGTTTTCTTGTCAGCTCTCAAGTTTTTTCTTTCGAATTTTGGGAGACAGTTAGGAGAAAGTGGAAATTAGTAGTGGCCTGGAGTAGGAAATTTTCTTTAAGATTTGATGACAAGATGACTGGTGGGGGTATGGTAATGGCCTAGGGCCTGAATGCCTCTGAGAAAGATGGTGTGTATCTATCTTCTGTTGGCATTTTTTAACTTTCTTTATTGCTGTCTGTGTTCTCATAGCCCACTGATGATATTGTCCTAATGGCACAAACGCTGGAAAAGATATTCCTACAGAAGGTTGCATCAATGCCACAAGAAGAACAAGAGCTGGTAGTGACCATCCCTAAGAACAGCCACAAGAAGGGGGCCAAGTTGGCAGGTAGGAAGAGTGGGAGTTTTGCAAATGGACAACTTAAAGATGGGGAAGAGAATCAAACTACACTTTTTTCCTTTTTTCTAGCGCTCCAGGGCAGTGTTACCAGTGCCCATCAGGTGCCTGCCGTCTCTTCTGTGTCACACACAGCCCTGTATACTCCTCCACCTGAGATACCTACCACTGTCCTCAACATTCCCCACCCATCAGTCATTTCCTCTCCACTTCTCAAGTCCTTGCACTCTGCTGGACCCCCGCTCCTTGCTGTTACTGCAGCTCCTCCAGCCCAGCCCCTTGCCAAGGTATGATCTGTGGATTTCCTCTGGGCAGCAGGGAGGCAAGGGTCTTAAGTAAAGTGGGCTTGGAGTGACAGGTTCCCTATCTTGTTTCTTTCTGCAGAAAAAAGGCGTAAAGCGGAAAGCAGATACTACCACCCCTACACCTACAGCCATCTTGGCTCCTGGTTCTCCAGCTAGCCCTCCTGGGAGTCTTGAGCCTAAGGCAGCACGGCTTCCCCCTATGCGTAGAGAGAGTGGTCGCCCCATCAAGCCCCCACGCAAAGACTTGCCTGACTCTCAGCAACAACACCAGAGCTCTAAGAAAGGAAAGCTTTCAGAACAGTTAAAACATTGCAATGGCATTTTGAAGGAGTTACTCTCTAAGAAGCATGCTGCCTATGCTTGGCCTTTCTATAAACCAGTGGATGCTTCTGCACTTGGCCTGCATGACTACCATGACATCATTAAGCACCCCATGGACCTCAGCACTGTCAAGGTACCCACTGCATGGGGCAGATGGGATGCTCAGGCAGTGATGGGAGCCTAGGTGCAAAACAATAAGTCTCCTTATGTGGGCACACAGCAGTCTTTGGTTCTTGGCATTTTACTTTTATAAAATAATAGTGGAACAGAAGGTCTGGTGTTTTGAGAATTTGTATTTCTTGGAGTTTGAAACAGTAGGGTGGGGTTTCTTTGTCTTGAGAAAAATACTGTCTATAATTAAGTACTAATGTGGCAGTGTTGGGTTAAGGAAGTTATAGGGTGGAAAGACAGGCATAGGCCACCTCTCTGTCACTTAGAAATGATTTCTTTTTCTAGACATAAATATTTCTTCAACCCACCCAAATTCCTTTGACTTCAAACTTGAACCCCAGGGCACAGATCCTTAAGGTCATCCCCACTGTGCTCTCAAGAGAGGGCTCTTCTTGTGGTGTCTGGGGTTGGCAGGGAAAGGTGAGTCTTCCTGCCTGTGCAGCTTCTGATGCTGCCTCCTTCTGCAGCGGAAGATGGAGAACCGTGATTACCGGGATGCACAGGAGTTTGCTGCTGATGTACGGCTTATGTTCTCCAACTGCTATAAGTACAATCCCCCAGATCACGATGTTGTGGCAATGGCACGAAAGCTACAGGTGAGTGGAAAGGTTGGAGTTTGAAAAATAAATGGTATGGGGAGTTATTTTGTCATGTGTGCTGCATAGCCTCAACGTGAGGGTCTCACTGTTCTGTACAGTTGTAAATTGGAGCTATATCACTTGGTGGCTGGGTATGTAGGGCACTGTTTATCAGCATAGTTTTGAGTTTGTGCCTCTTTCTAGGATGTATTTGAGTTCCGTTATGCCAAGATGCCAGATGAACCACTAGAACCAGGGCCTTTACCAGTCTCTACTGCCATGCCCCCTGGCTTGGCCAAATCGTCTTCAGAGTCCTCCAGTGAGGAAAGTAGCAGTGAGAGCTCCTCTGAGGAAGAGGAGGAGGAAGATGAGGAGGACGAGGAGGAAGAAGAGAGTGAAAGCTCAGACTCAGAGGAAGAAAGGGCTCATCGCTTAGCAGAACTACAGGAACAGGTATTTTGTCACTCTTGAAAGTTTTTATTGGGTAAGAGGTTCATGCCCTTTGTCCTCATTTTTTCTTCTTGTTATTTTATCTTTATTTACTTTTTCCACTTCATGTTTTTTTTCCTTTAGCTTCGGGCAGTACATGAACAACTGGCTGCTCTGTCCCAGGGTCCAATATCCAAGCCCAAGAGGAAAAGAGAGAAAAAAGAGAAAAAGAAGAAACGGAAGGCAGAGAAGCATCGAGGCCGAGCTGGGGCCGATGAAGATGACAAGGGGCCTAGGGCACCCCGCCCACCTCAACCTAAGAAGTCCAAGAAAGCAAGTGGCAGTGGGGGTGGCAGTGCTGCTTTAGGCCCTTCTGGCTTTGGACCTTCTGGAGGAAGTGGCACCAAGTGAGTTAGAGTAGGAAGCAGAGACTAGTTTGGCTATTTCTGTCTCTCTGGGGGATGCCATCTCTCTTTGCAAAGATAATTCTAAATGGCCAGTTAACAGATACAATAGGCTTTGAGCAGTGGTCCCCAACCTTTTTGGCACCAGGGACCAGTTTCGTGGAAGACAGATTTTACCACAGACAGGGTTTGAGGGGATGGTTTTTGGGATGAAACTGTTCCACCTCAGATCATTGGGCCATTGGATTCCCATAAGGAGCATGCAGCCTGGATATGTACCATGCGCACTTCACAGTAGGGTTCATGCTTCTATGAGAATCTAATGCTTCTGCTGATGTGACAGGCAGTGATGCCCACATGCCGGCTGTTCACCTCCTGCGTAGCCCAGTAACAGGCCACGGACTGGTACTGGTCTGGGGGTTGGGACCCCTGGCTTTGGGAGTCGGTGTTTCACAGCTACCTGACAGTGAACTCAAAGTAGCCATAAACTAGAAACATGAAGATGGCTGTGTTCCAAAAAGACTTTATTTGCAAAGACACGTGGCGATCAGATTTGTTCTCTGGGCCATATAGTTTGCCTGTTGCTCTAAATCAATGAGTCTAGACTTGTTTTTCATGGCGTAGTAGTTTTTGGTTTTTTGGTGTGGTTTTGTGTTTTGTTTTTTTTTGTTTGTTTGTTTTTTGTTTTTTTTTTTTTAAAGACTCCAGGCTGGAGTGCAGTGGCGTGATCTCGGCTTACTGCAACCTCCACTTCTCGGGTTCAAGCGATTCTCCTGCCTCAGCCTCCCAAGTAGCCAGGATTACAGGCATGCGCCACCACGCCCAGCTAATTTTTGTATTTTTAGTGCGCAGCTAGTTTATGTAGTTTTAGTGGAGACGGGGTTTCGCCATGTTGGGCAGGCTGGTCTTGAACTCCTGACCTCAAGTGATCTGCCCGCCTTGGCCTCCCAAAGTGCTGGGATTACAAATCTGAGCCACTGCAGCTGGCCCATGGTGTAGTTTGGTAGTGTTTAAGGGAGCAGAAAGACCCATGTCAGTATACCTAAACAGGTATACCTTGTTTTATTGTGCTTCACTTTACGGAGTTTTTTTTAGATACTACTTTTTTTTTTAGTTGAAGATTTGTGACAACCCTGTGTGGAGCAAGTCTTTCAACAGTTTTTCCAACATGTTTGTGTGTCACATTTTTAGTAATATTTTTTCATTAAGGTATGTACGTACATTGTCTTTTTAAAGACATGTTATTGCCTACTTACAGTCAAGAGCAAAATGCTCTGTTTCACTATACAGTGTCCCAGTAGCCCACCTCTTACTTGGCCATTGAATGGAAAAACAGAAGCTCCACTCTGGGCAGGAAATAGGATCACTGAATTATAACAGTGGGAACATACTGGAAGAGGTTAATGAAGCTTCTTTTGCTGACAACTCTTTTTGCCCTTAGGCTCCCCAAAAAGGCCACAAAGACAGCCCCACCTGCCCTGCCTACAGGTTATGATTCAGAGGAGGAGGAAGAGAGCAGGCCCATGAGTTACGATGAGAAGCGGCAGCTGAGCCTGGACATCAACAAATTACCTGGGGAGAAGCTGGGCCGAGTTGTGCATATAATCCAAGCCAGGGAGCCCTCTTTACGTGATTCAAACCCAGAAGAGATTGAGATTGATTTTGAAACACTCAAGCCATCCACACTTAGAGAGCTTGAGCGCTATGTCCTTTCCTGCCTACGTAAGAAACCCCGGAAGCCCTACAGTACGTATGAAATGAGGTTCATCTCATGGTTCTGAGGACAGTTGAGGAAAGATGGTGGGGTCTGTTTGCATTCAGGATTGTCAGCTCCCAGGATAATGGGATGTGTTGGTTGGCAGCTGACGTTCAAGAAGGGAACTTGGGAACCTTAGGGGCCCATAATAAGATGCTTGGGGCAATCTTAATGTATCCTGATAAATTTCTTTCATTAGCCATTAAGAAGCCTGTGGGAAAGACAAAGGAGGAACTGGCTTTGGAGAAAAAGCGGGAATTAGAAAAGCGGTTACAAGATGTCAGCGGACAGCTCAATTCTACTAAAAAGCCCCCCAAGAAAGGTGAGTATATACTTTCATGCCACTACAGATTGACTCCATCCTGCCTTCTTGACTGTCTTTTATTGACAAATGAAGATTCAGACTTGAACGTCTTTAACTTTCGAATTTGTTCTGCAGCGAATGAGAAAACAGAGTCATCCTCTGCACAGCAAGTAGCAGTGTCACGCCTTAGCGCTTCCAGCTCCAGCTCAGATTCCAGCTCCTCCTCTTCCTCGTCGTCGTCTTCAGACACCAGTGATTCAGACTCAGGCTAAGGGGTCAGGCCAGATGGGGCAGGAAGGCTCCGCAGGACCGGACCCCTAGACCACCCTGCCCCACCTGCCCCTTCCCCCTTTGCTGTGACACTTCTTCATCTCACCCCCCCCTGCCCCCCTCTAGGAGAGCTGGCTCTGCAGTGGGGGAGGGATGCAGGGACATTTACTGAAGGAGGGACATGGACAAAACAACATTGAATTCCCAGCCCCATTGGGGAGTGATCTCTTGGACACAGAGCCCCCATTCAAAATGGGGCAGGGCAAGGGTGGGAGTGTGCAAAGCCCTGATCTGGAGTTACCTGAGGCCATAGCTGCCCTATTCACTTCTAAGGGCCCTGTTTTGAGATTGTTTGTTCTAATTTATTTTAAGCTAGGTAAGGCTGGGGGGAGGGTGGGGCCGTGGTCCCCTCAGCCTCCATGGGGAGGGAAGAAGGGGGAGCTCTTTTTTTACGTTGATTTTTTTTTTTCTACTCTGTTTTCCCTTTTTCCTTCCGCTCCATTTGGGGCCCTGGGGGTTTCAGTCATCTCCCCATTTGGTCCCCTGGACTGTCTTTGTTGATTCTAACTTGTAAATAAAGAAAATATTATTCAAGTTTTGAGTTACCTTAATATTTGCTTTTGTAGTGTTTCAAAAGGAACATCATAAGAATTGTCTTGATAATTTTGAGGGAAATATTACTGCAGTGAGAAAAGGCAATAGCTAACCTATAATTGGATTGTCTTAATTTTTAAACCAGTAGGCTTTTGCTGTGTTTTTAATAAAGTAAATATGACTTTTGTAAATTGAGTCCTTAGAAGTAATCTTTAGGTCTACAATTTGCTCTTGTTTAAATGAAAAATAGTACTGTGGCTCATTCATGCTTTAACCAAGAACTCAAAATTTTGAGGTAGGCTTTAGGTTTTTCCCTGTGGCACTGGATGTGTGAATTTTCTCCTGAGCAGACTTAAAATATGAGAAAAGGGTGGGAGGTAGCCGAACATAAGTACTTTATGCATTGAGTTTATTGCCTTTTAAAAGGAAATTGGCCTGTAATCCCAGCACTTTGGGAGGCCGAGGCGGGCAGATCACGAGGTCAGGAGATCGAGACCATGGTGAAACCCTGTCTACTAAAAAAAAATTAGCTGGGCGAGGTGGTGGGTACCTGTAGTCCCAGCTACTCGGGAGGCTGAGGCAGCAGAATGGCGTGAACTCGGGAGGCGGGGTTCAGTGAGCCGAGATCGCGCCACTGCACTCCAGCCTGGGTGGTAGACACTCCGTCTCAAAAAAAAAAGTAATTGGGCCTACTACATTGTTAAACATTGTTAAATTTTGCTGCCATGGTCACACACAAATTTACAGATAGTTTATTAGTAGAATACTAAAGAGTATTCCAACGATTAAATCACAAAACTGTGCTTTCTGCATACCCCCTTGTCTTGCTAAGGGGAGAGAAGGGTTGTATAAAAAGTTTAGGGGGTTGGGATGTGTGCATTCTGGAATTTGGGGCTTTAATACTGGAAAAGTGAGACATTTGCTTAGTATAGTGTACCATAGTAGGAAACCTGGATAGAGACGTGGAAATTAGAATCAGGAATGTAGTAAAGCAAATGGTTTATTTTGCTGTAAATGACACCACAAACTAAGTGTAGGGCAACACCACAAACTAAATGTAGGAAGCAATAAATTTTACTAGTGATGCTCAGCCCTCTTTAGGAATTCCGGCTAAACTGGGGCTTGAGCAACAATTTTCAAAAGCTCGGGAGATGGTAATAAAAAATTAGGTTTGTGAACCACCTGCTACTGTTTGCCAAGCACTTAGAGGGAAACAAACCCTTGTTTGGGCTTTCTTGCTAACTTGTGTGCACCAGTGAAAGCTCTTGAGCTCCCTTTGAGCTCTGGTTCCCTTTTGAGAATAACAGATGTTGAGGATTCGTAAGTACTTAATAGAGACGCGTTGGGCAATAGGTGATGAGATACAAATTAAAGTTCTGAAAATCGGAGTAAATAGATTTAAGCTAAGTGCATGTCTATGTCAAGGATTACATCTCATTTCAGAGGGAATTGAAGGATTTAGTTGGATTAGTTTTGGGACAAAATATAGAATATTTTGTCTGACTGCAGCCCCTTCTGCTCATGTACTTTTAAGGTTTGTTTTCTGTAGTTCGGAAAAATAAAAGTTTCAACCTGACATTGGAGGCCCCTGAGTACTTAATTCCCTGTAAATGGAACCCAGACCGCCCTAAATGCTTTAAGAGAGAGAAGGGCTGGCTGACACAGGGGCTTCAGACCTGCCTTAAACCAATTGGACTAGTCTCTTAATTGACTTTAGTTTGAACTTATTTCAAGCCTGTCTCACTTAGGGATTGTAATTGTTTCAGGAGTTTGGTTGAGTTCCATCTTGGTTGCCAAAGGACTTTATTCCAAAATAGCAGTCTCCAGCACAACTCAAAGGACTAGTTGAGTCCTGTGGGCATTATTTCCCCCTATGCTCCTCTCAGCTCTTGGAATCATGGGTTCTATTGCTGCTGCTTTTTCCCTCTCCCCTCATGCTGCCATTTACTGCCTTTTATTGCGTCCATAGGAAGCCTTTTGTTGGGTTGTGGGGGAAGGTGAGAGTCGGTCTTATTTACTCAGTCACACATTTATTGAGTTCCCTTGATTGCCTTTTCAGCAAACTGTTAGGCCTGTAGACCTGGACGTTGCCAAGCCAGAGGGTATAAGGTGAAGATAAGACAAGGTCTTATCATGGAGTTTGCTTAGCACGAATAGGGTGCAATTATTAACCATCATGGTGTGGTAATTATACTGATTGAATCCAAGATATAGGCATGACTTGGTCTTCACAGACCATCCTTATTGTGCACCCATATGTGGACCCCAGTTCCAGCCTGCCTGTAACCTTCCCCAAAGTCCTGCTCTTAGGTTCACTCGGGACTACCTTGATTGGAAGGCCCTGCTTCCATGAGTGACCAGCATGAAGGACTCCCAGGACAAGGACCAGAGGTGACTGGTGTTACTCTGGGGCTTAGTGCAAGACTGGAGGAAGATTTTCCTGAGCAATTAGAGAGTGGCTGTAATGGAGAGCTGGGAAGGAGATGTGGGAATGGTAGCATGGAACTAATGTGTTGTCACCATGATTTCATTTTTTCCTGGGTCATCACCCTAAAGATACTCACAAAATCCCACTAGCTGGTCTCCAGCACTGAATGAGACGACAGCTTCTTGCTCTCAATTTATATTCTAGGATCGGGGAAAGGGGCAGCATTAGACAACTAGTCACACGATTTTTAACAAAAATAAGTAATTCTAACAGGACAATGTGCAGAGGTCTAGCAAGAATTTAGAAAAGAGGGTTCTCTGGTCTAAGCTGAGAGCTATTCAGATATCTCAGAACGATGAGTTCCTTCCTGTTTGTAAGGGGTGGATGGGTGGGAGCAGGGAGTAGTGAACATTGCCAGCAGAAGAAACAGCAACTGAGAAGGTAACTAGGTGATGCTGAAGCAGCAAGGATGAAGGTGAGTGCTTTGAGATGCTTTGAATTTACATCTCAAAGACTAATAGCTAACATTTATTGAGCACTTACTGTGTCCCATGCACTGTGCTAAATAAAAACTTACCCTGTAAACTCATTTGGTCCTCACTATAATCCTGTGAGGTACATCTTGTCTGCATTTAACAGATAAAGAAATGAGGCACAGAGAGATTAGTCAATTTGCCCAACATCACCACATTGTCAGTGAGCACTGGAGGTGGGTTTTGAAACCAGGCGATCTGGCTTCAGGGTCCACATTTATAACTACTGCACTAGACTTCCAGTGCTGTGGGCCAGTAGGGAGCTAGGAGATAGACATGCTTTAAGGAAATTGCACTAGGGACAATCATGTTAGGGTTGGTGGGGTGTTGAGAGTGGATAGTTTAGAAAGCAATTGCAGCAGTTAATCCCAGCCAGTGAGAATAGTGGTGTAGAAGAGAAAGGCAGCAATGTAGATGAAGAAATGTAGATAGATTTGAGAGCTATGTAGGAGTTAAAATAGATGGGACTTATTCTCAAAAGGTTCTTGTCTCCACACATTAAAGGAACAGCAGAGCACACGTGCACTTGCAGACATACAGCTCTCAGAGTCCCTAGCACAGAGCTTTCCAATAGTGGAAGCTTGATATTTTGTTGACTAAAGGAGTGCCACCTGGCTGACTGGCAGATTTGAATGGAGCTCCCTCCAGCATGGCTTGCCGAAGGGGCAGGGGTTCTGAGGCTCTTGTAGACTGCCGCTGAAGGTATTTGGCGCCACCTGTTGGGCGTGTTACCCACGATTGCCTCCTGAATCTATTGTCATTTTTGTGTCCTGCCCCCGAGGTTAGGTGGTTCTTCCCTTCTTACTTTCCTAAACTTCAACTCTTAAAATGTGAGCCTTCATTTTTATGACCCAGAGGGTCACAAAAGAAGGAGATTAGGCCTTTTTAGTCCTTATCTCCCTTTACCTCTGAAGCATCCCATGGGGCTTCCCTAGCATTTTATTTTATATTGATTTATTTATTTATTTTTAAGAAAGAGGATTTCTGTCACCCAGGCTGGAGTGCAGTGGTGTGATCATAGCTCACTGTAGCTTCGACCTTCTGGGCTCAAGTAATGCTCTTGCCTCAGCCTCCTGAGTAGCTGGGATTACAGGCATGAGCCACCGCACCCTGCATCTCCTGACTTCTTTGACTTGACACCACTTGTTCCTAGCTCTCATACTTTTCAGACAGCCATTTCTTAGTCTGCTTCTTTAAAGTCTCTGCCTCTGCCTCCCATAATATATTGTCCCTTATGACACCTTTCTTTGTCCTCTTTTTATTTGCACAGTATTTTTAAGCAAGTTTACCCATTCCTCTGGAGGCACCTCCCACCCATAAAATCTGTGTCTCTGTTTAGACCTTGTATTAGTCCATTCTCACATGGCTATGAGGAAATACCTGAGACTAGGTGATTTATAAAGGAAAGAGGTTTAATTGACTCACAGTTCTGCATGGCTGGGGAGGCCTCAGGAAACTTACAATCATGGCGGAAGACACCTCTTCACAGGGTGGCAGGAGAATGAGTGCCAAAGTGAAGTGGGGAAGCCCCTTATAAAACCATAAGATCTCGTGAGAACTCACTATCACGAGAACAGCATGGGGGAAACTGCCCCCATATCAAACCTTGAGTCAAAGTTCCAAGTGCCTAATGCAATGCCTAATGGCAAGGTCCCATAAGCTCGTGCACACATTTTTAGAAAAGATTCTACCTTTTTCCCCAAACATGTCCCTCGCAGTGAGTTCTCTAAGTCAGCAGTCCCCAGCTTTTTTGGCACCAAGGACTGGTTTTGTGGAAGACAACTTTTCTATGGATGGAGGCGGGGAGAATGGTTTCCAGATCAAACTGTTCTACTTCAGATCACCAGGCATTAGATTCTCAAAAGGAGTTTGCAACCTTCCCTCGCATGCTCAGTTCACAATAGGGTTTGCAGTCCTGTGAGAATCTAATGCCGCTGCTGATCTGACAAGAGGCAGAGCTTGCTCGCTGCTCACCTCCTGCTGTGCACCCCAGTTCCTACCAGGCCACGGACTGGTAGTGTTCAGTGGCCCAGAGGTTGGGGGACCCCTGCTATAAGGAACAAGCACTTATATAGAGTTTACTATGTACCAGACACTTATGAGCACTTCTGCAATTTAGTCTTCATAATAATCCTAAGAGGTAGGTACTCATCACCATTTTATACATGAGGAAACAGACATTTAGTAACAGTTCTATAGCTGCCTAGTTTCTTCCCCTTATTCTCCCCCAACTCCCTGTTCAGCCATTGAGGTCTGTTGAGCCTTCCTCTGTCCCTTCTCTCAGTGCCCCTCATCAGCCTGGACTCTCACACGACTCTGTCACTAGTCCATGTCTTTCAGCTATACTGTGTTGTTTCAGGGCCCATCACTCACCTCTCCCTTCATGCCCTGCCCTATCCCCACCACACCAGTGAAGACCTCCCTTCCTGGGTTATCATCAGACCTGTCACTTGCAGTGAGGCCTCACCTCAACTAAGGAGGTCAAAATAAGAATAACCTCTCATGTGAGTAAGAGGAACTCATCATCCTTGCCAAGCTTTCCAACCAACCCCAAACTTCAAGTATTTTTGTGTCCTTGTACAGTAAGTGAATATTTCTACATAATAAAATATTTCTTTCATCTCTTTGCCAAATGAGGACATTGCTCATTTTGTCAGACAAGCTAATGTTTGATTTGAGATTGAAGGAGAAAAGGGATTTATTCTCCAGCGATAAGCATTTTTGCTGGTGTTTGACAAACAAAAAAAGAGCAGTTCTTCTATTAGCTGCCACTGTCAGACCTCATGGAGTCAGTTGCTATTCTAATTGCTGAGACTATGAGAAGGTAACACTGGTTAATTGATGAATACTTTCCCCTCTTCTGCCCCTGCAGAAGATGTGTTGGAACTGGCTTCTCTATGAAGGCAGGTTGTAGAGACAATGACAGTTCTTCCAAGAAAGACAGTTATTACCTTGTCTTCCTGCATGGTTTTGTTTCTCACCCAGAGTTCCTGCAAAAAAAAAAAAAAAAGAGACATTTTGCAGTTTCATCTACCGATTTTCTCCTCTCTCTCAAAAATAATGTTTTTAAAGACAGAGTCTTGCTCTGTAGCCCAGGCTTGAGTACAGTGGCACAATCTTGGCTCATTGCAACCTCTGCCTCCCAGGTTCAAGCAGTTCTCGTGCCTCAGCCTCCCAAGTAGCTGGAGACTACAGGTGTGCACCACCGCACCCAGATAATTTTTGTATGTTTAGTAGAGATGGGGTTTCCCCATGTTGGCCAGTCTGGTCTCGAACTTCTGATCTCAAGTGATCCGATCCACCCGCAACTGCCTCCCCAAATGCTGGGATTACAGGCATGAGCCACCATGCCCCACCCAAAAATAATTGTTTTAAAGCAGTTCTCAAGGTTTTCTAAGTTTACTTATACTCTTTTAACTCTTAAGTAACCCCAGGTAAGTGGAAGCTGAAAAGTTACAAAATGATAGTTACAAGGGCCAAGCAGTCCTGCATCCCTGTCAGAGTGAAACTTCATTCTCTCTGATGCAAAATAAAATGATGCTTGTTCTTCCAGATCCATGGTTACCATGACATATTATTCTGTATTCTTGATTTAAGAAAGCACTGGCACTGCCCAATCTCTGTGCCCTTTGATTGCTATGTCAAGCTTCAGGTTGCACACCCTGCCTTCTGTAAGGAACTTTCCTTACTTGGCCCCCAATTCCCTGATGTCTGGTCTGTGACCTGGTGTTGAAACTGGCTATGACACTGTGCTTAGACTTCCTCTTAAAATTCTGCATTCTGTTCTGGACCTGTTTCCAACCACAATAACACAACCCACTGATTTACTGTTCTTAAATCCATCTCTGCTATTCAGGCTGATTCCCAGTGATCTCATGTCCTTCTATCACTGCCTTTGGTCTTGCAAATAGACCCTACAGAGCCCCGCAACTATTTAACCAATCATTTGGCCAGGGAGTAAGGCAAGAGACAAAAATTGAGGGAAGGAGAGAATGATGAGCAACTGAGGGAGCAGCTTGGGGTTGAAAAGCTACCTCAGAAAGCAGTTCTGTGATTGGGAGGAAGGTGGCTGATGTTACTGCAGGGGGTATCAAAAGCATCTGTCCTGAACTTCAGAGTCAGGTAGAAAACAAAACAGAAAGAATCTTCTTTTCCTCTGAGTCTGGGGAAACTGAGAGAGAAGGAGAAAGCCAAGGAAAGGGAACTGACACTCACTGAGCCGTTGCTATCTGCCAGGTGTATATTGATGGGCACTTTTCATAGTCATCTTTTTTGGTCCACATGACGTTCCTACCACACATATGTTATTATTTTTATTTTAGAGAGGAGGAAACTCTAAGTTAATGTGCATAAGATCACAGAGCTAGTGAGACAAGATAAGGCTAATTTCAAAGTTTATATCTTCACATACCAAACATTTCTAGTTATATTCTAGATATAAGCAAACAAGGAATTCAGAAGTAAAACTTAGCAAAAACTTCCAGATATTGTTAACTCCACCAACCTGAGCTAAAGAATGAGGCTAGAGATGAACACACACACACATGCATGCACACACATACACACAGTCACACACACACCTCAATCTTTTTAGAACTTTATTTTATTTATTTATTTATTTATTTATTTATTTATTTATTTTGAGACACAGTCTTGCTCTGTCGCCTAGGCCGGAGTGCAGTGGCACGATCTCGGCTCACTGCAACCTCCACCTCCTGGGTTCAAGCAATTCTCCTGCCTCAGCCTCCCAAGTAGCTGGGATTACAGGCACCTGCCACCATGCTGGACTAATTTTTGTATTTTTAGTAGAGACGGGTTTTCGCCATGTTGGCCAGGCTGGTCTCAAACTCCTGGCCTCAAGCGATCCGCCCATCTCGGCCTCCCAAAGTGCTGGGATTACAGGCATGACCCACCAGGCCGAGCCTAGAATTTTATTTTTATTATTTTTATTTCGATAGCTTTAGGAGTACAGGTGGCTTTTATTTACATGGATGAATTGTATAGTGGTGAAGTCCGGGCTTTTAGTGTACCCATTACCCAACAGTGTATATTGTACTCAGTAAATAATTTTTCATCCTTCACCCCACACCCCACTCCCCACTTCTGTGTCTCCAGTGTCCGTTATACTACTCTGTATGGCTTTGCATACCCATAGCTTAGCTCCTACTTACAAGTGAGTGTTAAATTAGGTTTAGCCTAAAGCTGCTTCCTTACATGTTTTAAGTTCAGCCTAAAGGTTTCTCCATACATAGTAAACTGAAACCTAACTTGATGTGTAATCAGACTGAAACCTACTCTAGTGCCAATCACTGAGTTTTGGCCAATCAAAGGTGATCAACTGTTCAAACTGTGTTCAAATAAGACAAATGCCAAGCTTTAACCAATCCTGCTGTTTCTGTACCTCATGTCTGTTTTCTGTACATCACTTTACTTTTTCTGTTCATAAATATTCCACCACTTGGCTGTTCTGGAGTCTCTCAGCCTACTCTGGCTCAGAAGGCTCCCCAATTCACAAATTGTTCTTTGCTCAATTAAACTCTGTTGAATTTCATTCGTCTAAGGTTTTTTTTCTTTAACAATGAGAACACGTAGTACTTGGTTTTCTGTTCCTGAGTTACTTCACTTAGGAAAATGGTCCAGTTCCATCCAAGTTGCTGGAAAATATATTATTTCATTCTTTTTTATGGATGAGTACGATTTCATGGTATATACACATCACATTTTCTTATCCACTCATCAGTTTATGGGCACTTAGGTTGATTCCATACCTCTGCAATTGTGAATTCTATGTCTTTTTGATATAATGACTTCTTTTCTTTTGGGTAGATACCCAGGAGTGGGACTGCTAGATCAAATGGTAGAACTACTTTTAGTTCTTTGAGAAATCTCCATAGTGTTTTCCACAGAGGTTGTACTAATTTACATTCCCACCAGCAATGTATAAGCTATCCCTTTTCACTGCATCCTTGCCAACATCTATTGCTTTTTGACTTTTTAATATCAATGATACTGGCTGGGATAAGGTAGTATCTCATTGTGGTTTTAATTTGCATTTCCAGGCTGGGCGCGATGGCTCACGCCTGTAATCCCAGCACTTTGGGAGGCTGAGGTGGGAGTTCAAGACCAGCCTGACCAACATGGAGAAACCCCATCTCTACTAAAAATACAAAATTAGCTGGGCATGGTGGCGCATGCCTGTAATCCCAGCTACTCGGGAGGCTGAGGCAGGAGAACCACTTGAACCCAGGAGGCGGAGGCTGCAGTGAGCCAAGATCGCACCACTGCGCTCCAGCCTGGGCAACAAGAGCGAAACTCTGTCTCAAAAAAAAAAAAAAAAAAATTGCATTTCCCTGATGATAGTGATGTTGAACATTTTTACATATGTTTCTGGACATTTGTATATCTTCTTTTGAGAAATGTCTGTCAATGTCGTTTGCTCACTTTTTAATGGGATTATTATTTGGTTTTTTTTTTTTCTCTCATTTGTTTGAGCTCCTTCTAGATTCTGGATATTAGTCCTTTGTCAGATATTTGCAAATATTTTCTCTCATTCTGTGGTTGTCTGTTTAACTCTTGATTATTTCCTCTGCTGTGCAGAAGCTTTTTAGTTTAATTAGGTAGGTCCTATTTATTTATTTTTGCTTCCGTTGGATTTGTTTTTGAGGTCCTATTCATAAATTCTTTGCCTAGGCCAATATTCATAAGAGTTTTTCCAAGGTTTCTTCCAGAATTTTTATGATCACAGGTCTTAGATTTAAGTCGTTAATCTATCTTGAGTTAATTTTCGTATATGTTGAGAAACAGGGATCTGGTTTCGTTTTATTATTTTTATTTTTATTTTTTTTTGAGATGGAGTCTTGTTTGTCACCCAGGCTAGAGTGCAATGGTACGGTCTCGGCTCACTGCAACCTCCACCTCCTGGGTTCAAGTGATTCTCCTGCCTCAGCCTCCCAAGTAGCCAGGACTACAGGTGCACGCCACCACTCCTGGCAAAATCTTGTATTTTTTAGTAGAGACAGGGTTTCACTATGTTGGCCAGGCTGATCTCAAACTCCTGACCTCATGATCCACCCACCTCGGCCTCCCAAAATGCTGGGATTACAGGCGTGAGCCACCACGCCCGGCCCTAGTTTCGTTCTTCTACCTGTGTCAATCCAATTTTCCCAGCACTATCTATTGAATAGGGTGTCCTTTCTTCAGTGTATTGTTTTGTCTGCTTCGTTGAATATTAGTTGGTTGTAGGTATTTGGTTTTATTTCTGGGTTCTCTATTCTGTTCCATTGATCTACTGTGTACTTTTATACCGGTACCATGCTGTTTTGGTTACTCTAGCCTTGTAGTGTAATTTGAAGTTGGGTAATGTGATGCCTCCAGATTTATTCTTTTTGTTTAGGATTGCTTTGGCTATCCAGGCTTTTTTTGTTGTTGTTCCATATGAATTTTAGGATTGCTTTTTCTAATTCTGTGAAAAATGATGCTGATATTTTGATAGGAATTGCATTAAACCTGTAGATTGCTTTGGGCAGTATGGTCATTTTTCATATTGATTCTTCCAATCTATGAGCATGGCATGGTTTTCCATTTGTTTGTGTCATCTATGATTTCTTTCATCAGTGTTTTGTAGTTCTCATTAGGGAGATCTTTCACCTCCTTGGTTAAGTATATTCCTAGACATTTACAATTTTTTTTGTAGCTATTGCAAGTGAGATTGAGTTCTTGATTTGATTGTCAGGTTGGTCGTTATTGGTATAGAGCTGTGTTATTGATTTGTGTATGTTGATTTTGTAACCTGAGACTTTACTGAATTCATTTATCAAATCTAAGAGTCTTTTGGAGGAGTCTTTAGCGTTTTCTAGGTATAAGATTATGTTATTGGCAAACAGATAATTTGACTTCCTCTTTTCCAATTTGGGTGTGCTTTCCCTTGTCTGTTTTCTCTGGCTAGGACTTCCAGTACTATGATGAATAGGAGTGGTGAAGGTGGGCATCTTTGTCTTGTCCAGTTCTTAGGGGGACTGGACAAGTTCCCCTGGACAGTTTTTGTTTTTTTGTGTGTGTGAGACGGAGTCTCACTCTGTCACCCAGACTGGAGTGCAGTGGTGCGACCTCAGCTCACTGCAACCCCTGCATCCGAGGTTCAAGCAATTCTCCTGCCTCAGCCTCCCAAGTAGCTGGGACTACAGGCATGCAGTCCCACCGTGCCTAGCTAATTTTTTTTTTTTTTTTTTTTTAGTAGAGATGAGGTTTCACTATTGTTGACCAGACTGGTGTCGAACTCCTGACCTCAGGTGAATTGCCCACCTTGGCCTCCCAAACTGCTGGCATTATAGGCGTGAGCCACTGTGCCCGGCCGGCTTTCAACTTTCATCCATTCAGTATGATATTGGCTGTGTGTTTATCATATCTGACTTTTATAATTTTGAGGTTTGTTCCTTCTATGCCTAGTTTGTTGAAATTTTTTATTATAAAGGGATACTGGATTTTACCAAATGCTTTTTATGCATTGATTGAAATGATCATATGACTTCGTTTTAAATTCTGTTTATGTGGTGAATCACATTTATTGACTTGCATATGTTGAACCATCCTTGCCTCCCTATGATGAAACCCACTTGATCATGGTGATTTATCATTTTGATGTGCTGATGGATTTGGTTTGTTAATATTCTGTTGAAGATTTTTGCATCTATGTTCATCAGGAATATTGTTCTGTAGTTTTCCTTTTTGTTGTGTTCTTTCCTGGCTTTGGCATCAGGTAACACTGGCTTCACAGAATGAGTTGGGGAGGATTCTCTCTTTCTTAATCTTTTGGAATAGTTTCAATAGGATTGGTACCAGTTCTTCTTTGAACATCTGGTAGAATTCAGCTGTGAATCTGGTCCTGGGCCTTTTTTTTTTTTTTAAAGATTTTTTATTACTGATTCAATATCAGTACTTGTTACTGGTTTGTTCAGGATTTCTATTTGTTCCTGATTCAAGCTTAGAGGGTTGTATGCTTCCAGGAGTTCATTCATTTCCTCTAGGTTTGTTCAGGATTTCTATTTCTTCCTGATTCAAGCTTAGAGGAATGCTTCCAGGAATTCATTCATTTCCTCTAGATTTTATAGTTTGTGTGCGTAGAGGTGTTTATAGTATTCTTAGATGATCTTTTGTATTTCTATAGTGTCAGTTGTAATGTCTCCATTTTCTTCTATGTTCTTAAATGCAGCTTCTACACAAGATTCCTGCATACTGTAGAAAATTTTATTTTTTTCACCAAGCCCAATTAATTTAGCTTAGCTGGAGAACTATTAAGAAGTGTGAAGACACAAATAAGAAACGAACGACTTCATTCCATAAATATAAGTAAAGGAAATTCCAGTGATGGCTTTTGCTGCACGAAGAGAAACCAGGCTAAGTTGAACTATTAATATTCGCTTTAGACTGCGTAATTTCTAAATGGTAACTATTCATACCTACCATTCATCCTAACCATACCTTCAGGCTTGGCTTAGACACTGGGACCTTTGTGAAGGAAGAGAGGCCTGAGGGAACTGGATTGTAGGAGATGGATGGTGAGAGGAAAGCTGGGGGTAAGGGTAGGCGTGCGTCTGGGCTTGCGTTGACTACATAAGAAGGAGATTTAAAAACTATAAAGACTTTTTAAGATTTTGGAAACTTAGTACCTTCTTCATTTTTACTTTTTTTTTTTTTTTTTTTTTTTGAGATGGAGTCTCGCTTTGTCGCCCAGGCTGGAGTGCAGTGGCGGGATCTCAGCTCACTGCAAGCTCCGCCTCTCGGGTTCACGCCATTCTCCTGCCTCAGCCTCCCGAGTAGCTGAGACTACAGGCGCCCGCCACCACGCCCGGCTAATTTTTTGTATTTTTAATAGAGACGGGGTTTCACCGTGTTAGCCAGGATGGTCTCGATCTCCTGACCTCGTGATCCGCCCGCCTCGGCCTCCCAAAGTGCTGGGATTACAGGCGTGAACCACTGCGCCCGGCCCATTTTTACTATTTTTTATTCCTCTTTTCTGTTTTCTGATTGGGATTGGCAATAAAATCTCAAATATGGGGAAAATAATTTTTTACATAACATTTTTATGTTTTATAATTTTATATAACATTTTAATGTTTTATAATTTTTTATATAACATTTTAATGTCTTATAAAAACAAAATTATATGACATTTTTCTAGGTGAACTTATTCTTGGTGTTCCTGGGATGTCTATAGACAATGTTACAGTAACTTTTGACTACAGATCATTTTTTTCAAATGATATAATATTGATAAAGTAATTGTAGGGCTCCCAAAATAAAATGAGTTGGTTTTGAGCCTATGGATGAGAAATCTGCTGGGGAAATGGTCAAATTTTATGTCTGTATTTAATAGCCATGTAGTGGAACAAAAATTTAAAGGCATTACATCATGTTTATTTTATTTTAATTAAAACAAAAGAACAACCCATTTACATTATTTATTTAAATTATAAAATATTACAGAACAGGCTGGGAGCGGTGGCTCATGCCTGTAATCCCAGCACTTTAGGAGGCTGAGGTGGGTGGATCACCTGAGGTCAGGAGATCGAGACCAGCCTGGCCAATCTGGTGAAACCCTGCCTCTACTAAAAATACAAAAATTAGTTGGGCGTGGTCGTGGGCGCCTGTAATCCCAGCTACTCGGGAGACTGAGGCAGGAGAATCACCTGAACCCAGGAGGTGGAGGGTGCAGTGAGCTGAGATTGCACCATTGCACTCCAGCCTGGGCAACAGAGCGAGACTCTGTCTCAAAAAAAAAAAAAAAGTTATTCAATTGGTGACATACATCAACTTGTGAGTTCAGGAATCTAGTGCTCTCTCCTTTAATTTCCTGCTATTTTCAAGTATAATAAAGCATTACACACACACACACACACACACACACACACACACACACACACCTCTTTAATTGTGAAAATTTCCAAACCTGCAGAAAACTTGGAAAAAATAAAATAATACTTGAAAGCTGCTATGGTTTGAATGTGTCTCCCAAAGTTACTAGGCTCTTCCTTTTGCTAGAGCTAGGACATATATATTAGTAAATCATTAGTTAAAACTGACATTTCTAGTTCAAAATATTTTTCTAGTTCAAATTTAATATTATTGTTTTAATTCAACTACGTTTACTTGCTTTTCATACATTAAAAATCTCAGTTCTGAATTACATGAACATAATCACTGATTTGCTTTATTTTATACATAACATAAAGTTGTTATATATAAAACATTGGAAACTTAATCCCCAATGCAACAACGTTGAGAAGTGGGACCTTTAAAATACGATTAGGTCATCTCTTAAAGAGATGGGCAGAGCCCTCATAAAGGGCTTAATGCCATCATCTCTAGAGTGGATTAGTTATCTCATCTCAGGAGTGAATTCCTGATGAAAGGATGAGTTTGACTCCTTTCCTCTCCTTCATCCTTTCTCTCCTCCTTTTTTCTTCTGCCTTTTTTCTTCATCACAGCAAGAAAGCCCTTGCCAGATGTTGGCACCTGACATTAGGCTTCCCAGCCTCCAGAACTGTGAGAAACAAATTTCTTTCTTTTCTTTTTTTTTTTTTTTTTTTTTTTTTGGTAAATTACCTAGTCTGTGGTATTCTGTTATGGCAACACAAAATGGACTAAGACAAATACCCATCATATAGATTCAACAACTGTCAAGATTTTGCTGTGTTTGTTTGAACTGTGTGTGTATTCTGAATTCATTCTGAAGTAAATTAGAGATCTAGCATTTCATCCCTAAATACTTTAGCATAAAGATGACTTGATACATAACCGTGGTACTGTAATCATACTAAACAAAACTGAAAACAGCTCTCTAATATCATCGATTACCAGTTCATATTCAAATTTCCCCATTTGTCTGAAAAGTGCTTTTATATCTGTTTTTCCTCAAAGATATTGCCAAGAATCATTCACTAAATTTGATTGTAATGTCTCTTAATTCCCACTATTCCACCCATTTTTTAAACAGCATCTTTTTAGAGAGACAAGGCCAGTAGAATCTCTCACATTTTGAATTTGTGTGATTGGTTCTTTGTGGTTTCATTTGACTTATTCCTCTATCCAATGTATTTTTTTTATAGACTAGAACTTTTTGAAACAAAGGCTTGACTAGATTTAGATGAAAGATTTTTGACAATAATTCTTCATAGGTATTGCTGTGTACTTTGCATTTCATCTTATTAGGAAGCATATGCTTAATGTCTTGTCCTATTATTGGTGAGGCTAAACTTGATCACTCAGTCGAGGTGATGACAGCCATCACCTCTGTAAAGGTATTTCTCCCATTTGACAATAGCAAATAATCTATGACCATGATACTTTGGCATGATGTGACTCTCTTGTTCCTCACTGTCTATTCTCCTAATGGTTTTAACATATATGATGCCTTCCCTGAATCAATGATCACATTAGGCTTACAAAATGCTGGTTTTCTAATTCTGTTATTTTTCCCAACATTTATTCACTGGTACTCTGAAGGGTAGACCTTTTTTCATCAGTGGAACATTTCCTTGTGAAATGTCAGGATATATACTTGTTTTCTTTAAGCACCAATTTCCTGTGTTATGAATTGGAAGATCACATCCAGTGGTAATATCAATGGGTTGTTGTTGCTTACTTTTTAAAATCTGTATTCGACTATTAATAGGAACCCATGGATTTTTATATACTCAATGTGTTTAATTATATTATAGTCATCTTTTTGATGTCTGAGTTGTTCCAGTTTTGGCCAATGGAAGCTCCTTCAAACTGGCTGACCTGTTTTTTTGACATGACTCTATTAGTCTTTGAACAGTGCCTTGTTTTATGAAAACAATGAGATACTCACACTTGCTTTGTATTTTCCATAACTCAGGCCTGGAACTGGTCACTTCTCCAAGAAGCTCTGTTTCCTTTGAGTGGGAAATGATATTTACACACTACAATCTGTGCATTGAGGATGCTCATTGCTACAGGGCTACTATTAGGCTCTTTCATTTGCTAGAGCAGGGACATATATGTTAGTGAATCATTAGTTAAAATTGACAGTTCTAGTTCAAATATTTTTTCTAATATTATTATTTTAATTCAGCTACTTTTACTTGCTTTTTATACATGAAAATCTTAGTTCTTTTTTTTTTTTTTTTTTTTTCTTTGAGATGGAGTCTCTCCCTGTTGCCCAGGCTGGAGTGCAATGGTGCAATCTCCGCTGACCTCAACCTCTGCCTCCCAGGTTCAAACAATTCTCCTGCCTCAGCCGCCCGAGTACCTGGGATAACAGGCGCCCGCCACCACACCCAGCTGATTTTTTGTGTGTTTTCAGTAGAGACGGGGTTTCACTGTGTTGGCCAGGCTGGTCTTGAATGCCTGACCTTGTGATCCGCCCGCCTTGGCCTCCCAAAATGTTGGGATTACAGGGATGAGCCACTGCCCCCGGCCTAAAAATCTTAGTTCTTAATTATATTAACATAATCACTGATTTGCTTTATTTTATATATAGTATAGTTTCAAATAAGGATACAAATATTACTTAACCATAAAACAACTGAATGATGTTCAAAGTTCTGATAGTTCTTTTTGTCCTTAGAATATATTCTATTAAGTCAGCTGGGGCAACATAATGAGACCCCATTTCTATTTAAAACATGTATTTTAATTAACTGGGTATGGTGGCATGTTCCTGAAGTCCCGGCTACTGTACTTGGGAGACCGAGGTGGGAGGATCACGTGAGCCCAGGAATTTGAGGGTGCACTGAGCTATAATCACACCAGCGCACTCCAGCACTCCAGCCTTGGCTGGCAACAGAGCAAGACCCTGTCTAAAAAAACAACAAACAACAAACAACAACAACAACAAAAAATAGAGAGAGAAGAGAGAGAGTAAATGTATTCCACCAAGAACATACAGTAGTATCTTTTAATATCACTTGGGATACTTATTTTTTCTGTGTGGTTCAGTTCTATTTGTTTTAAATTTTAGAGGTTTTTGTCAATTTTTTATTAACATTGTAAATTATTTATACGTTTCAAAGGTCAATATTCACTTCTCACTTCTATTCTCCCTTCCTTCCTAAAAGTAGCCATTTTTATTAATTTCTTGTTTATCCTTCCAATGCAGCTTTTTTCCCCCTTTGGAGACATGGTCTCACTCTGTTGCCCAAGCTGGAGTGCAGTGGCACCATCATAACTCACTATAGCCTCGAACTCCTAGGCTCAAATGATCCTCTTGCTTCAGCGTCCTGAGTAGTTAGGACTACAGGGGGTACCACCATGCCTGGCTAATTTTTTTATTTTATGTAGAGACAGAGTCTTGCTATGTTGGCCAGGCTGGTGTTAAATTCCTGACCTCAAGTGATCCTCCCACTTCATCCTCCCAAAGTGTGGGGATTATAGGCACAAGCCACCACATCTGACCCAATCCACCTTTTTGAAAAAATATGTATCTTTCCTCTTTCTTACCCCAAAGGCAGTACATAGTTTAATCATTGTATTGCACTGTGAATTTTCCACTCTAACCTAGAGATTCCTCCGTATTAGTTCAAAGAGATCTTTCTCATTCCTTTTCGTTAGACTTTTTCCTTTAATTGATACATGATATTTTACATATTTTATTTATGAGGTACATGTGAGTATCTGTTACATGCATACAATGAGACTAATGATCAAGTCAGGTATTTGGGGTATCCTTCACCTTGAGCATTTATCATTTCTATGTGTTGGCAACATCTCAAGTCCTCTCTTCTAGCTACTTTGAAATATACTATATATATATATATATATTGTTGCTGACTACAGTCACCCCAGTCTGCTATCAAACATTGGAACTTATTTTTTCTATCTCCTCATTCTTTTTAACAGCTTTGCATTACTCCATTGTGCAGATGTACTATAATTTTTTCAACTATTGTACTCTTACTAGGCATGTTTCCAATAATTTTCAATTGTTACAAATAATGACATATCATTTTTAAAAGGCAGATTACTATATAATAAAGATACATACTTCACTTTGGGAGGCCAAGGCGGACGGATCACAAGGTCAGGAGTTCGAGACCAGCCTGGCCAATATGGTGAAACCCTATCTCTACTAAAAATACAAAAATTAGCTGGGTGCGGTGGTGAATGCCTGTAGTCCCAGCTTCTCGGTAGGCTGAGGCAGGAGAATCACTTGAACCCAGCAGGCGGAGGTTGCAGTGAGCTGAGATGGCACCACTGCACTCCAGCCTGGGCAACAGAGCAAGACTCTGTCTCAAAAAAAACAAAAAACAAAAAGATACATATTTAAGTTTGGCATTTCCTTACATGTATTAAAATATGTTTTAACAGAAAAATATTACTTCTATTGATTTGTTTTTGGTTAGGTTATTAACACTCTCCTAAACACTTCGGTTTCATGCAACAATTTAGGAAATATCTGGTGTGCTTCTTAGTGAATGTGGAGATACTGGATTTGACAAATATCAGTTGGTTAGACTAGTGTTTGGCACATTGGAAGTGCTCAATAATAATAGTCAATACTATTATGAAAGATAATAGTATTAACAAAACAATACTTGTTAATATCAGAAAAACAAATTTTAATTTATTTTTCTTTATGCGGACATGTCATCAGGGAATTTGAGAGCAGGGTGACTACATTTTGTTTTAGTCAGCTGGGGCTTTAAACATTTATTGAGTAACCACCATGTTTCAGGCATTACAGTAAGAACTTGTACCTGAAGCAGATCCATATACTGAAGGCCCGAGGAAAGGAATAAAGGGCAACTGGGAACCTGACCAGGTCTCAAGAGCGGTGTTGGGACTCTAGGGAGGAGGCAGCAGAACGTTTCCAGTGGACGGAAGTGCCGGGGAGTCCACCTTGGGAGACCTTAGGCTTACTCAGATTTGGAGGCTCCAGGTGGGGTGGATGCAAACCACAAGATGGAGCCAAATTACAAGTCATAGGTAGCAACCTCCTAAACCACAAGGAGGAGAGGAGAGGAAGTGAAGTCGCTCCTCTGCGTGCACGATCACTTGTCTGGAAGCTTTTCTGAAGTCAGAGAGAAAGGAAAGCCTGAGAAGTGGGACATCATTCATTGAAAGGCATCTGTGTGTAGAGATAAATAGGGTAACATGATAGGGAGAGATTGGAGATAGGTGGTTTATTTAGCAAAGTTGGTCAATGAAGCTTCTCTGAATTGGTGCCACACGAGTTGTGAATGGGTGATGAATTGGAGGCATTAATGTTAAGGAGAATTCTGGGGAAGATAGTGTGGCTATTGCTTAATGAAAGAAGGAAGAGTAGAGGGAAGTAAAGATGAAGAAACATGCAGCGCCAGATCATATAGAGTCTTGTTGACCAGGAGGGAATCTAGACTAAGCAAGAAAGAAAGTCTGAACTGGGGGAGTGCTTCGACTGATCCAGGAGGGAGAAGAAAATCTCTTCAGTAATTCCATCCCCAGTCATTCTTCAAGCTCACCTCATTCCCTGCAGCCTGTTGCTGCTGAAGCCTCAGAAGAAGTTTGTTCCCAAAGTTGGGAATACCTCCTCCTACACATTTCCTAGTAATGCTGATGTCTGACCCTGTTCATCCTGCCTCATGTCTCACAAGCTGGTCTCCATTCGCTGCTGAGTAGGACAGTGCAGTGGAAAGAACATGGGCTCTAGCATCACACAGACCTTCCAACCACCTCCTAGCTGTTTGACCTTGGGCAAGTTAGGTAATTTGAATCCTAGCTTCCTTCTTTATAAAATGAAATCATTATACTTAACTTGCAGATTGGTCATAAGGAAGAAATGAAATAATTCATGTATGGCAGAATGATGCTTTTCTTTTTCCTTTGTTTGTATTTAGGTTTGTCACACAAGACAATAGCACATGTCACCGCCAAGGCCTTTCCTCTTCTGGCTTTGGATTTCCCAAAATCTGAAGCTCACTTGACATTATGCCAGGTGTCCCAGACATTGTGCCAGAGAGAGAGAGGGGAATGCCTTTGACAGGCAAAGGGGGAAGGTTCTCCCAAACTGAGGAAGGCACAGTGGCCTGTGGGTCTGAAAGAGCCCTGCTTCCTTGCAGCAGCCAAGGCAGGTGGGGAGGCCTCCCAGGGACGGGGAAGTTGGCCGTATGGTGCATCTTTGCAGTCCTGCTCCCAGGCACTGGGGATCACTCCTCACTAAAGATTCCCCTGCCCCAAGCCTAGTGCAGAAGCAGCAGAGCTTCCACTTGGAAAAGAGCATACAGGTTAAGCCCTAGGCATGCTTGGAGTAAACAGTCTGGACTGGAGAAGACAACAGGGGCTTCTCCAAGGCCTCAGCACTGTGTCAGGGCGCAGACCCTTGGAACAACTGTAAGAGACCAGAAGCCCCAATAAAGACAGATTGAATTTAAAACCAGCCTCATGGCAGGGGTTTTGAATCAGATTTAAGATTTTTTAAAGAGCAGGTTTTGAATCAGATTTTCGATTATTTAAAGACATTTACTATTTTTTGCACTCTGTGCACTATCTTATTAATCTTTTGGACCAAGATTCAAATCCACTACACGTGAAAAGCATTAAGGCCAGGCACATTGCATGTGTTGGGTAAACGGTAGCCAATGTTATTAAAACCAGCTGCAGACAGTCGGACCAGGCTGGATTTGAAGCAAACAAAATTGAATTAAATAGAATTCTACAGTGTTTCAATGCCCATTATGTTCTGGGTGTTGGAACTATAAGACACAGCCTTCTCTTGCTTTAGAGGAGCAGTTAGTGGCAAAGGCAAATTCATACACAGTCAACTGACACAGGGCGGAATGTGGTATGCACTGCAGGGACAGGGTGGCCAGCATATTGGGGGCTGGGATTGAAAATGCTTCACAGAAGAGGTGACATTTAATCTGGACCCTGGAAGGACAGGTAGAATTTTGACTGGTTGGTGGAGGAAGGCAGGTCCAGCACAGAGAATAGTTTGTGCAAAGGCAGGGAGGAGTAAACATGCGACAACAGTTTTCTGTGACTTAAGCATTGATCATTTTCAGGAGGAGCTATTATATGGTTAAAATAGGCCAGGTGCGGTGGCTCATGCCTGTAATCCCAGCACTTTGGGAGGCCAAGGCAGGCGGAGCACCTGAGGTCAGAAGTTCAAGACCAGCCTGGCCAACATGGTGAAACCCGGTCTCTACTAAAAATAATAAAATTAGCCGGGCATGGTGGGGGGTGCCTGTAATTCCAGCTACTCAGGAGGGTGAGGCAGGAGAATTGCTTGAACCTGGGAGACAGAGGTTGCAGTGAGCTGAGATTGCACCTCTGCACTCCAGCTTGGGTAACAGAGTGAGACTCTACCTCAAAAAAAAAAAAAAAGAAAAGAAAAAAAGAAAAAGAAATACCCTGAGGACAGTTTGAGAAGGGTCTTCATCTTGTAGGTAATGGAGCACCTATAAGAATTTAAAGGAGGAAGGGAAAAAGCAGATATCCTATAAGCTTCTGAGAGAAAAAAACAACAACGATTACGTACAAAGTTTCATGACACAATATCTTTTGGATTATCAACAATAACGCAGGAAGCTAAGGGATTATAGAGAAATGCCTTAAAAATTCTGATGGAAATGATTTCCAATCTTGAATTTTATAACCGTGGAAGCTATTATTCAAGTGTGAGAGTAGAATAAATATATTTTCCGACATACGAAGCATAAAAAGTTTTCCTCATATGCACTGTTTCTCAGGAAGTGGAAAGAAGAGGTGCCTCATTAAAATAAGGCAGACCACAAAAGGGCAATGACTGGATACAAGAAGCAGAAGATCCAACTCGGAGGATAGGTAAATCCTGACGAGGATGGCGAAGAGTGATCTCAGAGTGACCGCTGTATCATCAAGGGCAAGGAGTTAAGAATGGAGCAGACAGAAGGTTCTGGGAGAGTTATATCTGGTGATAAAATTGACAGAATACCTGATGTGTTTGATTGTACTGTGAGGAATTTTGTGATTCATTAATAATAAGTACAAATACAGCCACACAAAGGAAAACAGGACAACTATATACTCCAGAGAAAACGAAGTCGTCTAGAAAAGGAAGAGTGAGCATGGCTTGCTCTATGGTTTGCCATTACATGGTCATATTGATAGAAACATAGTAAACACAGTAACTTTTACTATATTGTAAAAATTACAATATAGTCACATTAAAAGAAAGGGCATGGGAAAGGGGGCATGATGTTCTTTGAGGATGAAAAAAATCTAAATCCCCCTCTTCCACAGCAGGAGGTAAAGAGATAAAGCCTAAAGCTGAAAAATCTAGATGTAGCAACACAAACATGTTATTTAGAGATGGGAGGTTAATACCAACAAAACATATTAGAACAATTGAAAGTTATTTTCTGTAAGGGTGAGGATATGGTGGGAGATGGGGCTGGAAACTGGTATTTCTGTAGCAAATATTGTAGAAATATTTGACTCTTTAAACTATAACATAATTTGGTTAAAAATTAAAACCCGAAAGAGAGTGGATGGGAAGAGGGGATCTGGAGGCAGTCCACGTAGACACTCTCAGAGAGCGTGACCAGGAGCTTGGGTGGAAGGGAGACTGGGTCAAGGACAGACAGAGGATTTGATGTTCTTGTTATATAGGAGAGATGACATGCTTATGATTTGTAGGGTGACCCTGCAAAAAGGGAGAGTTTGGATACAAAGGACAGGAGACTACTGGATGTCTGTTCTAAAAGAGAGTGAAAGATCAAGAATGCAGGAGGACAACTTGTTTTTTAAAATAAAAGACTACGTACCTTGAGACTAGAAACAAATGTGAGTATACACGCAGGTGCATAAATCTAAAAGCTCTGGAATTACTCCTAGAAGTTCCAGTGACTTCAGGGTAGTATATGCAACAGTAAAAAAAAAGCATATTTCTTTAGTCAAAAGAACACAATTTTAATGACTTTATCAAGCCTTAGGACAGAGATGAGAGAAACACCTTTCCAATGATGCATCAAGTTAACGTCTAAGCAAAAGATCAGCAGAGATCAGAGATTGTTGGGTACACACGTATCTTGTGATGTCTTCTGAGAACCAACTTATTCCTCTTTCTCTGAGAAGAACTTGACCCCTCGCCCCAGGGCTGAGTGCTTGGCAGCCACATTTGTGTTGAGATCTTGATTTCTGCTCTAACTACACAGGGCTGGGATGGACACCTGCTCCAAGTTTGGCCAGTCATTTATTTTTCCAGTAATTTAAAGCTGTGACTAGGAGACACAGCCTCTGTGGGTTGTGAGGGTTGAGATGATATAAACTCAGGAGCTGTCGGGTGGACATGTTCACTGAGAAGGACAGTCAGTCCACAGAGAGAGAACACCGCCAACATGCAGGGGGGTCTAGAGAACACAGACCATGTGGATCCGAGAGTGTTGGAGGGGCAGCTCTAGCTTCTCTGGGCTTTTCGGATCCGAGTTCTGTTCCTGGGAGGCCTGGCTAAAATCTACCCTTGGGCCCTGCACTCCTCCCCATGGCTATATTGCAAATATCCTATACTTTGCATGTGATCACACAAAGAGGGTTTCTGTTACTGGCACACAAAAAGTTTGCCTGAGATGATTCTCCTCCACTTCCATCAGGGTCTTCTGGTCATTGATTTCAACTTATTCTCTCTTAAGAAGCCCATTGAGTCCCCATAATCTCTTGGTTTCTTTCTTTTCCAGGACCAACTGCTCACAGTTCAAACCCTCATTTTGCCTCTATTTACTTGTACCTTGATTGGCTGATGCCCTAACAGACCCAGGTTCTTCAGAAAGCCTTCCTAGTCCACCTCAGACCTTGGGGATCCCCCTTTCCCATGACCCCCAATGGCACCTGATTACGTCACTGGGTTCCAGTTACCAGACCACAGCCAAGGTCCAGGATGGCTGCATCAGAGTCATCCAGAGCCGGTTAAAAATGACAGCCTCGGCTGGGCACAGTGGCTAATGCCTGTAATTCCAGTACTTTGGGAGGGAAGGTGGGTGGATCACGAGGTCAAGAGATGGAGGCCATCCTGGCCAACATGATGAAACCCCGTCTCTACTTAAAATACAAAAATTAGCTGAGTGTAGTGGCGCACACCTGTAGTCCCAGCTACTCAGGAGGCTGAGGCAGGAGAATGGCTTGAACTCAGGAGGTGGAGGTTGCAGTGAGCTGAGATCATGCCATGGCACTCCAGCCTGGTGACAGAGTGAGACCCCTTCTCAGAAAAGACAGCCTCCCTGTTGCTGCCCCCTGCACTCCCGAGATTCTAATTCAGTAGGTCTGGGTGATGACTGTTATTTTTATATTTTATTTATTTATTTATTTAGAGACAGGGTCTCACTCTGTCACCTAGGCTGGAGTGCAGTGGCGCAATCTTGGCTCACTGCAGCCTTGAACTCCTGGGCTCAAGCACTCCTCCGGCCTCAGCCTCCCCAGTGGCTGGGAATACAGGTGCGAGCCACCATGGCTGGTTAATTTTTAAATCTTTCTTTGTAGAGATGGGGTCTCTCTATGTAGCCCAAGATGGTTTCCACCTCTTGGCCTCAAGCAGTCCTGTCCCCTTGGCCTCCCAAAGTGCTGGGATTACAGGAATGAGCCACTGCACCAGGCCAATGCCTGTACTTTTAAAAGGATCCCAAGCAGTTCTTATGTGCATTCTGGTTTGAAAACCGTAATCTGTATTGCTCATTTTGGTCTTGACATAAACTATGTGGTATGGTGATTTATCTCTTTGTATGTTTTAAATTCTGTTCACAGAAAAGTAGACCAAAATCTTCTAGGCCACATATTTAGAGTGTGTCTAGGTGGACCTCCCCTCTTACGAGATACCTTGCAGACCGACTCTACCACCTCCTACCTAACATGACTGACTCCACTGAGGGAAGTGGCCACCTTATCCAAGCCTTGGGCCTCTCTTTATCATGCATGGGACTCTAGGGAAAAGTAGAAAAAGGAGATAACATCATGGCAGGATACCAGTGGCCTCTTCATACAGAGTAAACCCAGGCAGGAGTGGAGTCCCCATGAGCCTGTCCTGTCCCAGCACCCTTCAGAACTGTTGTTAGCTGAGGGGGTCGTGAGGAACAGGATAATCTGCATCCCTTTCAGGGTAAACCTGAACTCAGGAGGCAAATTTCATGAAGTCCATGTGAAATGGCTCATTCACAAAGTAACACACAATGGGCCAAATGGAGCAAGACACACCTGTGTGGGCCCCAGGATGGCTGCCAATCCCCAGCACCACATGCCTCACCCCTGGAAGAACTGGCCAAGGCCTGGAAAGGACACAGTGCAAACACCACCAAAGCATTTAGTGCTGCCAGCCAGAGCTTTGGGTAGAGCAAGAATGTGTGTTTGTGTTGAATGGGAAGGGAAGCTAGTAGGTGTCCAACAAACCCTGCCATGAATACTGGGGCCAAAAAAGAGGGGACCCGTAGGACAGATGTTGATCCCACTCAAAGTCAGCACAGCGGGATGCACTTAAAGGGCACTGAGCACGCAGGGGCTGTCACAAACCCATGAGGATCTGCAGGGTGTCTCCCACAAGTCATTTCTCTCAGAAGGATCATTACCTAAAATAGCAGAAAACATACGATCGAGGTTGCTCAATTTCAATATGCTGGGATCCTATCTCTGAGTGCCCACCTCCCCCAAAACCTCACTCTCTCACCCTACCTCTGCTTCTTTTCTCCCTGCCCATTTCTTTTCTGACTTCTTTCCCCACAACAGAATCTCTGATTCTCCACCCACGTCCTGTTCAGAGTCATCCACTTTCCTCCCCCACCCCCCAGACTCCCGGGGCCTCTGCACCTGGGGACACTGGACACATATGTGCCCATGATGATGAGGACGGTGCCCACGAGGAAGCCCACCAGGCCGATGGCCAGGCCCAGGGCACAGACCAGGGTCTCCATGGCATCTGGTGGTGGAATAGGCACCTGGAGCTCTAGGAGAGAAAGGAAGGAGTTGGTGGTATATGAAAGGATTCTAGAGTAAAGGAAACCTGGGGCCAGGAGGGTGCATGGGGAGGGGGCTCCGTACCCCAATGCCTGAGGAGTGGCGCATCCAGGCCCCAGTGCTCCACCTGGCAGTCATAGACGTCCTCGGCTGAGGGCACGAAGGGCAGGTAGTGGAACTTGCGGAACAAATGGTCAGGCTGGGAATAGAAGCTGGTCTGGGCCACTCCCTCAGTGACAGTTTGGCCGTTGCGCAGCCAGGTGATATTGATCACAGGGGGGAAGATGTTGTCCACGATGCAGATGAGGATGTTGGGCTGGCCCAGCTCCACCCGAGACTTGGGGAGCACGGTCACCCGTGGAGGCACTAGGAGGAACAGGCCCTGAGTCCACAGGCTCATCCCTCACCCCAGGGCCTTACTAGGACTGGGATTAAGGGACGTTCCCCCTTTGTAGCCATCTGTGGGCAGGGGATGCTCTGGGGTATCCACTGGGGCAGGAGAGGAGGGAAACAGAGGGAGAGGAGACTGGGGAGGGAGTGGGGACGCCAGGAGCTCCTATATTTGACTGGTCCCTGGGCGGGAGTCCGGGTGAGAGGTGTCATTCCTCAAGGAGAGGGGTGCCAAAGGGGTCTGGGAAGACCTGGAGCCTCCTGGGAAAGAAAGGAACAGGGCATGACAGGCGCGGGCGCTGAGAGCGCGCCCCAGAGTGATGGGAGCCTAGGAACTGGGAGGAAGTTTCTCTGGACCTTCCCGCCTGACTGGGTGGGCAGAGGGAGGGCCGGTACCGTTGATGGCTCTGCTGCGGTTGGAGCGCTCCACCAGGATGTCCAGATGGGCTTTGATTGCGGCGATGCCGGCCAGCCCGCCCTGCGGGTCAAAGCGGGCAAAGTCACCAAACTCAGGCAGACGCCACACGGCCTCGCTTTTCTTCAGGTCCACAGAGAACAGCTGTTCCTCATCAAATTCATGGGTGAACTGGCCCGAGGCGCCGTAAGACTGGTAGAAGGCGGGTCCGTAGGAGCCCATGTGGTCAGCTGTGTTTGGCGAGTTCAGGGTCAAGGAGAGAGAAAAAAATGTGTCTGTCTCATCCACAATATGTGATTGTTGAGTCCCTGAGCCTGGGCCCCGTCCTGGGTTCTGTGTGGGGACAGAGTCCTGTTCTGACACTGGGCTGGCCCTGGGAGAGAGAAAGGGAGAGAGAACAGGAAGAAAGAGGCTCATCCCAGCACACTGCAGTCGGCACAGAGACAGTGCAGTCTGGCATATCAGGATGGGAAGAGGAGGGACTGCCTAAAATCATGCTTGGGGTTCCAGAATTTAAATCTTGGCTGTGGTCATCTGCCCTGGCTGTGTTGTCAGGCCCTGTGTTGTGAGCTGGTGGGACTGTGGGGGTGGGATGAGGAGGAATGATTAAGGACAGGAGAGTATGGAGCTTTGCACAGAGATGCAGTGCAGGTGGGTGTGAGGGGAAACAGGCCACGGCTGGCAGGGGTAAGAATTAAGGTTAGTGACCCAGAGACCAAGGGGATAGGGAGAGGCAACTCAAGGCATTACAAAGAGCACTGGACGAGGAGTCAGAAGTCAAGGTTCATGTCCCAATTCCTCCATCTCAGAGCATTATGACTGAGTGTGGCTCTTCCATAACTGTTGTCTAGTTTTCTGGAAGTTAGGGATTAAGTTTTAATTCTTGTAGAACTCTATGAAGTTGTTTGAGCAACAGTTATTGAGGAACTAGCATGCACCCAGCACAATGGTGGGCCAGGGAAATAAAAGAAAAAAAAGATGAACCATCTGTAGACCCGCACCCCAGCTCATGTCTCCCGAAGAACAAAGACAGGTAAATAGTTAACTACCGGCATGGGCATAAATACTGCAACAGAACTGGACTTGATCGGGCACATTCCCGGCCAGGGGTGGTAGAGAAATCAGGGTGCTTGCTGGCATCTGTTGGGTGGAGGTTTGGGTCTCAGGAAGGAGGAAGGAATGAGGAGAAATCTGAACGTCAGCAAAGGCTGACTGGGGCACCTGCGCAGCTGACCGAGCTGCATCTTCATTTAGGTCCAGAGTGGATGTGACAGAGATGAGGGGGATTGGGTGTCTCTTGGTGAAGGAAGTTGCCCATAAACCAGAGAGCGAGAGGAACAAGCATCCTCCATGCCACCTCCTCATGTAACCCAACTCCGTAAATCTCTGCTCCCCGCCGCACCCTCCTCGCCCTCGCACTCACCCTTGGTGGCCCCTGCCTCCTGCGGGCTCAGGAGGGTCATCAGGGTGTGGAACCCCAGGACCAGCCCTGCTCTGAGGGCCATTACACTCTGGTGCTTTAATCAAATCAGTCTCAGTCCGTGTGGTGAGGACAGGAACAAGGCGGAGGTAAAGAAGAAGAAAACAGATTCGAGGATGGGGGCGACCCCTGCTGTCTTCAGCCAATCACAGAAATTCTCTGAGTGAATGTATCTGTTGCTGGGTAAAGAGGGAAAGAGCCGGGGTGAGAAGGTGGAAGGATTCACTGGGCCCCCAGGAGAGGCCAGAGGAAGTTTTGGAGGATGGGAGGGGCTTGGACCAACTATTACCACGTCCTCCAAGAAGGGACCCCCTGAAGAGAGAGAAAAGGCCGTCAGAGCACCGCGCAGCTGAGCTCCAACAAATCCTCTCTCTATGTCCATCTGCGATGCAGGGAATCCTACTTTCCCAAGAAGTTTCCGTGGACAAATTTTGAGTTAGAAAGTAAAATAAACTTTACCAATAATCTTTAAAAGGAAAACATTGGCTACACAATGGAATAAAAACCTCTTAAAACTTTAAATCACTTTCAAAAATGTTATTTTATTTTTCTTTTATTATTATTTAATTTCATTGTGTAAGAAAAAATGTGTAATTGTTGGAGTTGTTTGGTCTAAAGCAAAGTGTAAAGAGCTCCCGTGGACTCCCCGAGGAGGGCAGAGGTGCTGGTCCTCTCTGTTGGTCCCTCCAGGACCCGGGCACCTCCTCCAGGCTGACACAGGCTGGAGGACGGCATCACCCTTGCCTTTGGCTTCTGGTTGGGCTCGGCTAATAAGAGGCACTGGGAGAATTTAGTCCAGTATATATATTTAAAAAACAAAACAAAACAAAACAACAACAACGTAAAGCTAACGTCTGTGTAAAGAGAAATCTAACCAAATTAGGCCATGTGTCAAAGACCATGAAATCGATGATTTTCAACTTGGAGGGAGCTAGGAAATCATGCGGGTCTCTGGTTCCAAATGAGAATCACCTGGGGGGTTCGTTATAATACGTGTTCCTGAGTTTCCTCTTTACTTAATGGGTTAGATTAGCCTTTCCAAGGCAGGGCCAGGGAACCTGTGTTTTCAGCATGCTCCCCAGGTGGTTCTCGGGTAGTCTGTGGACTGGTAAAACCTGCTCCAATGCTCTTTCCTCAATGAATAAGGGATGCCTATTTTAAGTGGGGCAGACACAGCTTCTGACTTCAAATTAATCAAATGACAGCTAGTAATTGATTTGCATGGCCCGGTTTATGGGGAGCCCTAATCTTAGTTTTTTCGTTTCTAGTCCACAGTGTCTACGTAATGCCTAGCACATCATAGGCGCCTAGGAGACACCTGCGCATGAATGAACAGTGTCTTCACTGCTTTGGTCCTGCCCTGGTTAGGACCCTTGCCACCTTCACCTCCCCCCAAGTGAGGTGGGAGCTGGAGCCATGAGATGAAAGACGGGAAAGCCATGAAAAACTCATGATAAAGAATGTTGCTTCTTTGGTTAATAACAGTCGAGTATCGGGTGTTTTTTTTTATTTGAAAACATACATAGATTTTTTAAAGTATGTTTTTTGTTATTAACTTATAATTTAATTACATGATAATCCTCTATGGCTTGGAGTGTGGTGAACTTCTGTAAATATTTCACATGGGCTCTAATAAATGTGATGCAGAATTTTATACATGTACATGTTTATTGGATCAAGCATGTGGATTTTGTCATTCTAATTTATTACGGTTTTCTTTATCTTTGGACTGGCCTATACATAACTAAGAGTGGTGCATTTATTTATTTATTTTTTAGAGACAGGGCCTTGCTCTGTTGCTCAGGCTGGAGGGCAGTGAAGTAATCATGGCTCGCTGCAGCCTCAAACAGCTGGGCTTAAGCCATCCTCCTGCCTCAGCCTCCCAGAGTAGCTGGGACTATAGGCATGCCCCACAATTCCTGGCCTATGAATGGTATATTTAAATCTCTAACTGTGACTGTAGGTTTTTCAACTTGTTTCTAATTTTTAAATCAACTTTTGCCCTCTCTGCATTTAGGTTATTAAGGTGTTTACTCTTGGGAATTATTACAGTCTTGGTGAACTGAGCCTTTTCCCAATTTGTCCTGAGAATCTTTCTGTCCTACTCTGTCTTGTCTGATAGTAATAAGTTCTACAGCTGTCTTTGGGTATTTGTTCACTGTATCTTTTTCTACTCTTTTGTTTTTACTCTTCCTTTGTACTTATGCTTTAGATGTAGCCCTTGAAATGTCATAAATATAGATTTTTGCTTCTGATTCAATCTGACGATCTCTGTCTTCTAACCTATGTTCAATTCATATGGTAGTCAAAGTGAGCAAACTTGTTTCTGCAAGAGACAAACACTGAAGCCTCAGTGGTTTAACAAAACACAGGTTTATTTTTTAGCCACGTCTAGTTCAAGGCAGGTTGGGCACTCTGTAGCTCTTTTCCAAAACATGCCTCAAGGTGGCTAAGCTCCACTTTGCATCTCTATTATTGAAAAGCACTTCATGAACTCCTAGCTTTGCAGGTAGGAGAGAGAACCTGGGAAAGGCACATTGTTTCCATGGTTTTGGACCAGAAACTATTTGCCATCTCTGCTCACATTCCATTGGCAAGAAGTAAACAATGACCCCACATAGGCGCACGGGGATGGAAAAATGTACGTTACCTATGTGTGCAGGAAGATATAATGGTTTGGTGAGCACATGGCACTGTCTTTGCTGCATTCTGATTGTGTTTATTGTGAATATTGATGCACTTGGGCTTGTTTGTAATACCTTATTTATTTCAATATTTCTATTTTTTAAAGTTTTTTTGTTTGTTTGTTTGTTTGTTTTTGAGACGGAGTCTCGCTCTGTTGCCAGGCTGGAGTGTAGTGGCATGATCTGGGCTGGCTCACTGCAACCTCTGCTTCCCGGGTTCAAGCGATTCTCCTGCCTCAGCTTCCCGAGTGGCTGGGACTACAGGTGCATGCCACCATGCTTGGCTATTTTTTTTTTTTTTTTGTATTTTAGTAGAGACGGGGTTTCACCGTGTTGCCCAGGCTTATCCTCCTGAGCTCAGGCAATCTGCCTGGCTCGGCCTCACAAACTGCTAGGATTACAGGCGTGAGCCATCACACCCGGCCAAGTTTTCTTTTTTAATCTTCATTGCCTTTTTTTTTTTTTTTTTTAAGTGTTACCGATACCTTCTCCATCTTCCCTCTGACTGGATAAGAACTTTAGCATGCTTTCAAATTTATTCACATATTTTCTCCTTCACCAAATTATTTGGTCAACATTACTTTTCATATCTTTTGGCACCTTCTAGAATGCGTTCTCTGATTAGAATTCTTCTTCCAAAACCTTTCAGATGTGGGAATTTGCATAGCAAACCTTCTAAAGTCTTGTATGCTTGATAATTTTTTAAAATTATACCAGCACTTTTGAATAAAGTTTAGCTGTGTATTACATACTATTTGAAGTATTTTCCCCTTTAATATTCTAAATAACATCATTCCAAATTTTTTTTTTTGCATCCAATGTCACAGTTAGAAAATCCCATGTCAGTCTTTCATGCTGGAATCTTCTAGAATTTTCTCATTGTCTTTGATATTTTTAAATTTTGCTAGTGTGTCTAGAGTGGGTTTTTCCTTCTCTCTGTAAGACATTATGGATCTTCTCTATCTTTTAATTCTGGGAATTCATCTTTTTATTTCTTTAACTATTTTTCTCCTCTATTTTTTGTCTTTGTGAAACTCATATAATCTATATTTGGATAATTCTCTCCTCCTTTTCCCCTGACTTTTCTATTGATGACTTCTCAATTCTTCCCTCTTTTGTTCTGAACTAGCTCCTCAGTGTAGTCCTCCATCTTTCTGTTTTGTTTTTCAGTTGCATCTCTCCCACTATTTATCCCATTAATGTGGCTTTTACTTTGACTATTATATATATTTTTTACACCTAGAACTTCTAGGTGTTTTCCCTATATTCTCTATTTTTTCATATTATAATAGCTTCTGACTTTTAAAGTGCACTTTTAATGCTCATTTTAAGCGGCTGGTCTATATTTTCTACCACTTCTTTCAAGGACATAGATGGTCCTGTTTGCTGTTTTTCTTTTGAGGTGTCGGCACTCCCTAAAGGTATTATTTTGACCCACTAGTGGCCATCTGTGTTGGTGTCATGTGTGTAAAGAGAAAGGAGGGCCAGCTGGAGTCCTAGGCCAGCGCAAAACCATAGTCACTACCCTTTGGGTGTCACTTCAGGTCAGGACTTCAGGGTGGGAGCACTAGGAGGCGTAGGGAGCACTGATAGCTGGGGTGGCAGAGGAGGCAATGACTAGGGCAGTCCCCAGCTCCTCCCACTCCAGCAGGATTTCAGCTTGGATTTTCTCACCCACCCCTCAACAGCTGGACAGGCAATCAGGATCTTGCCATCGTTTTTTGCAGCAGGGAGCAGGCAGTGATTGCTCAAGGCCAACACCGGGGAGGCAAGAGCAGAAGGTTCCAGGAACCTTCTCATAGCCACAGCCAGCAAGCAACCCAGTTCAGAACACCTTTCAGTCTCACCAGGGCTTCCTCATTATTTGTTTTCTTGGAATGTGTATGTATGGTCCACATTCCCTCCTAGATGGAAAGGGCCTGTAAGAAGGGATCATGGATGATTGAATCTTTGTTACACAATCTTCCTTTCCCCCCTAAACGCTAGCACGTTATTAAATAAATAAGTCAATGATAACAAATAAAAGTGAATAAAGTGGATAACCCTGACTCTAGGGAGAGGTACTGTTATTGGGACTAGAGTCTAATAATGAGGCAAACACAGATTCGACAAAAACTTACTAAAGTGTCCTTTAAAAATGACACAAATCCAGTTGTTCTAAATTGTCTAAAATGCTGACTTTGAGGTAAAGTTGTATCTGTCATGTTCTTTGGAGCATGACAAGTTCAGGTAGGTGTTGGGGGATATTCTTCATTAAATACATGTTTATAGGACACCTGATGTGACTTAGGCACTGTGTGCTGCTCTGGGAGCACAGAAGAGCAGGACATGATCCCCTTCCTCAAGGACTGTGCTGTCCTGTGCAGTAGCCACAAGCCACCTGTAGCTATTAAGCCAAAAAAAACTCTAAGTATAAAATGCCCTGGGATTTGAAGACTTAATTAAATGTATATACATAATCTCAGTAATTTCTATATTAATT
Source organism: Homo sapiens (assembly GCF_000001405.40). NCBI lineage: Eukaryota > Metazoa > Chordata > Mammalia > Primates > Hominidae > Homo > Homo sapiens. The sequence continues at coordinate 4,208,952 of NT_167248.2, forward strand.
AATGTTCAGTTTGCAATTTTTTGTATATTTGCGGTTTAAAATATGTATTAGATTAATCTCACCTGTTTCTTATTGCTTTTTAAATGTAGCTACTAGAAAATTTGAAATTGAATTAAGAGGCTCCCATTATATTTCTACTGGACAGCGCTGCTCTGGGTGCTCTTGGTTGGCTACCAGTTGGCCACTGGCTCCTTTTCTGAGATTTTTACATTTAAGTAGCCAGCTTGCCAGAGTCTTCAAGTCCTTTCCTGTTACTACCTAGATATTCCACCAGAGGGCGACCTTACCATTGAATTTTTCCATTCTGGACCTTAGATCTGACTGTTTGCTGGTGCATCGCTCTGTTTTAATCTATTTTGCTTTAAGTGCCGTGCTAGGCTTTGGGACCACAATTATGGTTCCTGCCAACAAGAATGGCTGTCTTGGAAGTCTGTACACAGAACTAAATACGTGGTGGAAAAAGGAGAAGGTCTATTAATGTGCAATATAAATGTTCATGTGGCCTGCAACTTTCTGGGGCAATCCTTTCCCTAGTAATTAAGCAGTTTCAAGTGCCTGTCTAATTGCAGGAATTCAAATGGCTCACTGCTGTCACCAGAATGTCTGATAATTCCTGGACAGAGAAGTGATGCAAATGTGTGCTTACGTATGGAGTTGATGGCATCTCCTGCACCAGCCTCCTGCCCTGGGCAGACTGTTGTGGTCATTTGGGGGCAGCTCCCCAGCACAGCAGATTTCTTGCTGGCCATCACTTTTCAAACTCTGGACTTCTGCCCTTTGGCTGGGAACTGCTCACTTCCCTTAGAACTTTCCCCTCCCGTCTCCTGACTTCTCTAAATGCCAGAGTTCCAACCTCTGTCTCCTGGGAAATTCTAAGCTAAAATCACTCTTCCTTTATATCTGCAGATAGTTTGAAATTTATACATCAAAAAAAGTAACTTTAAAAATATATAACTGGTCTCATTACACTCTGGAGCAACAATTCCAAATGATGGTAGGAAAACCCCAAAATTGGCCATCGAAAGACATAGATACAGCCCTTCCTGTTTAAAAGAGGTATTTTTGAAAAACTTCAAATGTCTTCTGGGAAAGGCACAATCTTTCACGGTTTCTTCTCTTCCCCCTCTTCCTCCCCCTTTTGGGAATGACATCCTGGGGCAGAGGATGAACTTACAGAGCGTGCTGGCTGTGGGAAGCTGGGTCTAGGTGGCATTTTTTCTCTTTTCTGATGGTTCTCTGCCCCCAGTTCCTTGGCCTGTCCCCATCGCTTGCCAACATTTCCGTGGCTGGTCTAATCTGCGATCGATTATCCCTGACGAAGGCAGTGGGGCTCAGCCACCTTGCCTGCTGGTGGCCCCAGCGTGGCTCTGCTACTACTCACATCCTTCCAGTTTGGCGAGGCTGCAGCCTGATCCTGGGCCCGTGTGTTCTGGGCTGTGGCCTCTGGCTCCAGGCCAGTTCAAGCCTCTCCATGACCATCCTGAACACCAATTTACTGCACGTCAACTCACTAAAATCAACCCATCAACTAATCAGAAATTAATACATCAAATCATCAATTCCCCAATTTTATCAATTTGCCAAAAACTTGACTTTAAAGTTTTGTCCTTTTATATTGAATTTAATGGTTTTTACAACTTTTGAAGACTTCTGAAAATGTTGGTTAATTTGCCTTTCCTTTTGTTTTCATAGTAGCTTATAAGTAATATTCGATTTGTCAGATGTTGGTGATACAGGGAGAAGATGACAATGGTGACAGAGTGTTTTTCATCTTCCCAAGTGTCCTCACAAAAACAGAGAGTGCAATTGGGATAGCAAAGGAAAATATCCACAGGCAGTGTCTCTTTATCAGACCAGGGATATCCCTAGAAGATCCCGTGAGACTCTAGAATGTGTGTGGGTAGATCCAAGCTGTAGATCCAAGGTAGATCCTGTGGGCTCTAGTGCCATGTGGAGGTAGCAGAGGGTTGAGAGGAGAGGGTTCTGGTGTTTCTAAGATCTCGGGAACACAGAAGTGGCCAGTGAGTGCCCACCTCCCAAAAGAGGTGATCTCAGTCTAGAATGAATCCCCAGCAGAGAGCTCTAAGGACCTAGACTTTTGTAAATTTAGAAACTCCCTTTTCTCTTACCAATGTCTAATTTTTAAGACTATGACTTTGATATAGCTGTCAATATTCTGTTTTGGAATATTGTTTGCTTTTGGTCTTCTGTGATAAAAATCCAAATTTTCCCCTGGGTGAATAGGCATAAGGTCACATCTAAAGAAGTGCAAAAGGAAAACATTAAGACCTCTAGTAAATTAATGTTTTTATAATAACATATATCTCCATATGCTTCACAGAAACATGTAACTTCTGTCTATACAAGCTTTGGGTATTTCATTTATAATGAAATGGCGCATTAACGTGTTTTTCTAAATCAAAAGTCAATTTCCTCCTTGAGATTAATTACATCTCCAGAATATGAAAGCAGCTTCTGACACTATGTATTTGAAATAGCAATTTCCCATGTTTGCTATAACAACAATAAATAAATTGTTGTGTAATACACAAAAGGGAATTCTTAATTCTGCCCTAGGTAGGAGAAGCTAGAGAGAAGATGACATTTGAACTGTGCCTTGGAGGATAAATACAAGTCTACTGATGCGGAGAAGAGGATGAGAGCCTTGCAAGGAGAGAAGATGGCCTGGGCAAAGGCACAGAGGCCTCAAAGTATATGGTGGGCAGGGGACTGCTGCATGGCCAAGTAAACGAGGAGCCGGAGGAGACGAGGCTTAGGAAACAGGCTGGTGTCAAATTGTGAAAGCCGCAGATGTCCTGCTAAGTAATAGGGTTGTGCCTTATCTATGATTAATGGCAAGCAGGCACAGTTTTTGCCTTGGAGCCCGGTGAAAGCAGGATTGACTTGAATTGATAGAAAGAGAAAAGAGGCAGCAAACCATTTAATTGATTGACTGATCAATTAATTAATTACCCGAGTCTCCTTGTGAAAGTTCCAAACCTTCTCACTCTCCTCTCACTCCACATTCAGTTCTACATAGCAGCAGGAATTCCTTGGCTCTTACTTCATCAAGAAAATTGGTCAGGCACACACTTCATCAGCGACATTCTGACCATTTGGAGACCCTGGTTTCTCTTTCTTCTTCTTCCTGAAGTCTCAGAGGCTGGGGCTCTTCCTGCTCCAGGCTAACCCTGACCTCCAGTTATGCGCTCGAGACCTTCACTCCTGCCTCCACTGGGAGCTTGTCTCAGCTGTCCTCCCTTCTATCTCTCTGTTAACTCTAATCAGCCCCCTGCTGCCAGATCCTTCCCTTCAGTTTAGAATTTAGGCTCAAATCTTCCTTGTCCCTAATGCTCTTCTCATCTCCCTAGCTTCCACCCTCATCTTTCTTCTTTACTCTTCCCATGTTCCTTAAAGAAAATGTTACACTTCTGTGTTTCCTCTTTCTCCCCTCCCACTCATTCTCAGCCCCACTGCAGTCTGACTTCCTTGTCCATGACCTCAGTGGGACAGAAATTGATTGCCAAGGTCACCAAATCTTTATCTTTGTGGAGTTTTCTGCTGCTTTCATCACAGTAGATCATTCCACTTTCTTGAAATCTCTCCTTATTCAGATTTCAAGACATCACACTCCTCTGATTTTCCTGACACCATTCAGATCATTCATTCTGGGGCTTCTGCTCCTCTGGGAATCTCTAAATGCAGAGTGCCTCTAGGGATCTGTCCCCAGCTAACAATGTCTCCTTGATCAAACATTCATTTGTATAGCTTCAATTCTTAGTCATCTAATTATACCTAACATAGCAAAGAACAATCCTTGGCATCTACTAGGTGCTTAGTAGCTGTCACATCTTTTCTTCTTCTCAGACCTTTTGAATACAGCAACCTGGTCTTCTATTAATGGAGAGCAAAATCTAACCATTCCACCTCCTCTCTCCTCAGGGCCACAATTTTATTCTTCTAGATATCTCTTCTTTCTCTACATTAATCCACTTCTTTTTCCATTTCTGTACACTCACTTTCCTTCTTTGGCTCTCTTCATCTGATCAAAATGAAAAATTAAAAGATATTTCAATGTTTTTGTGTAATAGCTAATCTATTATAAAATATTTATATTCTTAGACATGCAGCTTTATTATGCAATCACAAATGTTTTACACGTTTGACTTTTCTCAAAACCAAAAATCAGTTTTTAAAATTGCTTTTTACCTATATGTGGTTCTTGCTTGATGAAAACAAGCAACTAGAAAAAACTGGTCTACTTCCACTCAAACAGTGTCTCCAACTATGTGGCTTGCCCAGCTACCAGACCCTTCTTGAGAAATATTCTGCCAGACACAAATGAACACTCTTAGTTCACACTGCCCATTGGCACACGAGGGCATGGAGAGTGTTCTCTATGGAGAAGTAGGTGCTTACAGCAGAAATAGCCTTCCATGAGGTTGCGTCGGTTCTGCTTTCACTTTCCCGTCTCATGCAAAGTGGCCCAGAAAACAGCAGCCCCTCCCTGGAACTATTTCCTTCCTTTCTCAGAGAGTTGCATCTCCTGCTCTCTGGAAAGTTTCATGAGGAAATGGATTGCCTCTGTTCTTGGTGAAAATTAACTCCATTACTAAGTTCTTAATCTTTTTTGTTTATATAGCTCTCATTCCAAAAGACAATCTCCCTGACTGGGCTAGAAAGTCATATGTTTGTAAATAATCAGAGAGAGGCCAAGGAAAAGGACAGAGCTGGCCACTGAGCCCAGAGGGCTCTGTTGTCAATCCCATGGCAATTCACTGCTAGTCTTCTGCAAAAGACACATGACCCAGAGGAGACCCTCAGACACGAGGAAAGAGGAACTCTGTAGGGGACTTAGAGGCAATCTCTTTAATTGGAGGGGCTAAATAGCTTTCCTCTCATGGTTTGCAGCTCAGTGTAAGGCCAGGCAAGCTCCCAGGAGGCCATCCAGGCTGTGAGGTCCCTAGAGAATCTCAGAGACCACACCAAAGGGTCACTCCTGTCTTAGCAACTGAGTAGGAAGCATTGTTGCCACCAAACTGTACAAATCTGAGAAACTTAGTCAAGGAGGGAAGGGAGGACTTTGGGGCTTACAGTTAAGCAGACTACTGCCCAGACAGGCGATGGCAAGGACAGGCAGAGTCCAAAGTGTCCTTTGAGACAGAAGCAGCATCAATGGTGTGGTGATAATCCAAGGACATGATAGAACTTCAGGGGATAAACACACACGGATTCTAGAGAAAAACTGTATACACGGCCAGCGTGGATTAGTCTCAAAGCCAAGGGGAGGTTTGATGGGACTGAGATGTCTTCATGAGGCCAACCTGGAGTGGGACTGCCCTCATTTCCAGAGGATTTAGTAAGTAGGTTTGGGCAGAGTCAGGCTGGGACCAGCTATAAAGGCTTTGCCAATCTGACTTGACTTAGTGCCATAGGAAAGTGAAGGCAGGAAACTGATGCTAATTGATTCTGGGCCTCTTGTTTTCTGCCTCAAAATAGAGAGCTCTGGGATTGAGGAGGGAATCATACTAGCACCATAAATGGTTTGAAAGGTGTAAAGGGGAAAATGTGAAAACATTTTTTATATGTCATGTCAAAGTCCAGTCTTTCTGGAGCACAGCGTGTTTGTAAGGACACAGAGGGAGGTCAGGCTGAGGAAAGACTGTAGACAACTGCAATGCCAGGCTCAGGATGTGGGACTTTGCAGGCAGTGGAGAGACAGTGATGGTTTTTGAGGAGGAAGTGAGATGATCATGGTTGTGTTCTAGGATTATTAACCTGGCACTAGTGTAGCAAATAAATTCGATCTGAGGGTGGCAGGAAGGTTAAAGAAAAAATAAGAACAGCCTTAGCCAACTGCTTTGGAGAACAACAGGGTAAGCTCAGAAATGCCCAATTCGATACAATAATTATCACAAAAGGAGTTGCATTTGTAACGTACGTATTACTTTTTAATGTGCCTTTTCATCTGTCACATCATCTGGTGCCTCTGGTGTGACCTTCCAAGTCCATCCTCCTTCCTGACCCTATCCATCCAGGCTCAGCCCCTGGGAGTGTGCCCACTGCTCCTACAGTGCCTTCCACCACTGGTCCTGAGTTTTGGAGAAGACATAGGGAGATGACAAAACTTTAGAAACAACGGAAACAATTTAGGGAATGGGGTGGTCACTATGAGAGGAATAAAAGATGTCCACTGTAGACAGCATATATGGTGCAAGTCTATAATCTTGGAAAAAGTCAGACTACATTAATCTTGTTCACCAAATCCTGAAATACACAACAGGGAGAGTCTTTTAAACTTTGAAGATGGTAAGTTTAACATAAGTAGAAAAGCAGACTCTCTCATACCAAGGCTAACAAACCTATGGGAACCTGTTAGTCCCAAAAGTGAAATGTGTAAATTCTCAAAACATGTACATATATATATATAATCTACTCACACACACACAAGGGTGACAGAAACTTGAAGGACTGCTAAGAGAGCTCAAGGATATTTATGGCCTATTTAAACTTATGAAGCTTCTGTGGAGGAAATCTGTCCTTCTACACTTTGTCCCTGATGAAAGAGAGAAACCCTATGCTTACAGCAATATCCACCAGGAGTGATTTTGCCTCACAGGGGATATTTGCCAATGTCTGTAAACATTTTTGTTCTCACACTAGGAGAGGGGAGCACTATTGATATCTGGTGGGTGTAGCCCAGGGATGTTGGATGTTGCTAAACATCTTGGAATGCGTAGGACAGCCCCCAGCACAAAGAATTATTCAGCCCTAAATGGCAATGGTGCCAGGTTGAGAAACCATGGCTTAGGGTCATGCTCCTGCCCTAAAGTGCCATTGCTATTGTTTGCAAGTTTAATTATTCCAGGAGCTATACCTCTGTTAAGGACTGAATTTTATCCCTCCCCACAACTCGAAATTCCTATGTTGAAACCTTAACACCTAATGTGAATGCTTTGGAGACAGGGCCTTTAAATAGGTAATTAAGGTGAAACGAGGTTATCCAGGTGGGGCCCTAAGGCCCCTTATAAGGACTGGTGTCCTTATAAGAAGAGGAAGAGACACCAGGAGAGCAAATGCACAGAGGCCCTGTGAGGACACAGTGAGAAGGCAGTCATCTCCAGGCCAGCGAGAGAGGCCTCAGAATGGAACCTACCTTGCTGGCAACTTGATCTTGGACTTCCAGACTCTGAGAAAATAAGTTTAAGTTTAAGCCACCCAGCCTGTGGTATCTTGTTATGGTGGCCCTGGCTAACTAATCACCCTTTCTCACTTACCTTTAGCTCTTCCTTACTCAATAAGTTTCCACTGAAAACTAGATGCTGGTGTGGTCCCCCTGCCCGATGTGCACACGTGGCCCACTGCAGATGGACCTACACAAGTGGCGCTGGAACCCTGAGGGGCTGAGGGGACCCCGCGTCCAGGCCACCCAGGTGCGGGGTGAGGGGGCACCCCAACTTCCCTGGATCACATGGGCTGCGGTGGCCGGTGGATCAGGGAGGAGAGGCGCGGGGAGCTTGCTGCAACTCCTCACCAGGGCAGGAGGGAAGATGCCCCCCACCTCCTCTAGTTCACCCTCTGGATTCAAGTTTGTCAGCCCCTGCCGCTGAGATCAGGGGATGGCACCAGATAGAATTTTAATTCAAAAGGAAGCAGAACTTAAAGATTAAGAAAATTCTTAGCCTATCCATATTGTGAAAACTAAGAAATCATGTTCAGGACAGAACACCAGTGGTGTGTCTATGTAACCATCGGATGAGGAAATTAGTATGGATCAACCATCTCAGTGGAATCTGGGTGCTATTCATCAAGGCAATGAAAGAATGACCCAAAGACATTTCAGATCAGGGCTGCCACTCCTATCCGAGGTGCGGAATACAAGGGCATGAGGGACAGAATGATTTCAAAGGAGGGGCTGCAGGTACTTGTGGGGCTTCAGCACTCACTATCATGGGCCACCTTGAGGCTCTGCTCTCCACATTCCATCACAGGGCTCCTAGGCTACCCCAGGTATGGCTCCAACAGATCCTGGTTTAGTGAGTGCTGTGCTCTGAAAAGCTGTGCGGGCATGGTAACCTCCACCTAGATTTCAAAGGATGCTCTGGAAAGCCACAGTGCGTAGGCAGAAAGCCACCATGTGCAGGGCCACCATGGAGAGATTGCACTGCGCAATGCCCAGTGAAGCAGTAGGGTAAGGCCACCCCTGAGGCCCTAGACCAATTGAACCACTGGTATACAATTTCAGCCTGGGAGAGCCTCGGGCACCCAGCTGCCTCAGAGGTAGGGCCACCAAAGGGAGCAACTATGAGGGCAGGGCTGCACAAAGCCATGAGGCAGAGGCCACCTCCCCAGTGTGCCTGGAGGGCAGAACCTTGATTCAAAAAGATTATTCTGGAAACTTGACTTGCTCAGGACCTGGTACACTTTTCTTCTCTCCCATTTCTTCCTTTTGGAATAAGAATTTCTATCCTATGCCTGTCCCATCATTATATTTTGGAAGCAAATAGCATATTCGATTTCACAGCTGGAGAGCAATTTGCCTCACAATGAATCATACCTTGAGTCTCATCCATATCTGATTTATCCTCTTAACCCTTTTATGTGTATAGCTCAGTTGGGTAAATAATATTCACATTGTTGTGTGACAACTCTAGAACTTTTTTATATGCAAAATGAAACTTTATCCTCAGGGAACAACTCCCTATTTCCCGCTCTTCCCAGCTCCTGGAAACCCCCACTCTGTTTCTATTATTTTGACTTTAGATATCTCTTATAAGTGTAATCATACAGTATTTATCTTTTTGTGACTGGCTTATTCCACTTACCATAATGTTCATCCATGTTGTACCATGTAAGAGGATTTCTTCTTTTTTTAAGGCTGAATAATATTCCACTGCATATACATATATATATATATACACACCACATTTTCTTTATTCATTTATCTGTCAATAAACTTTTCGGTTGTTTACACCCATTGTCTATTGTAAATAATGCTGCAATGTACATGAAAGCAGAAATATCTTTATTAAATGCTGATTTTGTTTCCTTTGGGTATGTATCTAGACATGGAATTGCTGAATCATGTGATAATTTTATTTGTAAACTTTTTAGGAAATCTCATACTGTTTTCCATGGTGGCTGCACCATTTACATTCCTACCAACAGTGCACCAGGATTCCAGTTCTTGACATCCTCGCTAACACTTGTTATTTTTTTTGTTGGGTTGGTTTTGTAGTGGCCACCTTAATGGCTGTGAGATATCTATCTCATTGTGGTTTTGATTCATGTTTCTCGAATAATTAATGGTGTTACACATATTTTCATACACTTGTTGGCTATTTGTATATATTATTTGAAGAATTATCTGTTCAAGTCCTTTGCCCATTTTTAAACCAGGTTATTTGCTTTTTTAATTGACAAAGAAAAATCATATATACCTATCATGTACAACGTGATGTTTAAAATATGTATGCATTGTGGAATGGTTAAATTGACCTAATTAATATATGCATTATATACTTCTATGGTGAGAACACTTAAAACCTACTCTCTTAGCAATTTGCAAGAATACAATGCATTGTTATTAATTATTTTCACCACATTGTACACTAGGCCTCTTGAACGTATTCCTCCTATTTGGCTGAAATTTTGTAACCTGGGACAAACATCTTTCCAACCAGCAGCATTTTCAGCTCCTAATAACCACCATTCTATTCACTATTTTTATTAGTTCAACTTTTTTGGATTCACATATAAATGAGATTATGTGGTATTTGTCTTTCTGTGGCATATCCACTTAACATAATGTTCTTCAAGTTCATCCATTTTTGTTGTGAGTGACAGGATCTTACTCTTTTTTAAGGCTCAATAGTATGCCATTGTGTGTATATACCACATTTTCATTATCCATTTATCTGTTGATACACACTTAGGTTGTTTCCATATCTTAGCTATTGTGAACAATGTTGCAATGAACATGGAGCATAAGTATCTCTATGAAGTGCTGATTTCATTTCCTTTGGGTGTATGCTCAGAAATGAGATTGCTGGATCACATGGTAGTTCTATTTTTAATTTTTTAAGGAGCCTCCATACTGTTTTCCATAATGACTATATAATTTACATTCCCACCAACAGTGTACAAGGGTTCCCTTTTCTCCACACCCTTGCCAGCACTTGTTACCTGCCTTTGGCAATAGTCATTCTAACAGTTGTGAGATGGTATCTCACTGTGGTTTTAATTTTCATTTCTCTGATTAGCTATGTCGAGCATTTTTTTCATATGCCTGTTGGCCATTTGTATGTCAACTTTTGAGAAATGTCTTTTCAAATCCTTTGCTCATTTTAAAATCAGGCTGTTTTCTTGCTATTGAGTTGTTTGGATTCCTATACCCCTTATCAAGCATATGGTTTGCAAATGTTTTGTCCCATTCCATATGTTGTCTCTTCACTCTATTGATTGTTTCTTTGGCTGTAAGAAAAACAAGGTTTTTAGTTTGATATAATCCCATTTGTCTATTTTTGCTTTTGTTGCCTGTGCTTTTGGGATTATATCAAAAAATTATTGCCCAAACTAATGTCATGGAGCTTTTCTTCTATGTTTTCTTCTAGTAGTTTTACAGTTTCAGGTCTTATGTGTAAGCCTTTATTCTGAGTTGATTTTTGCATATGGTGTGAGATGACAGTCTAGTTTCATTCTTCTACATGTGGATATTCAGTTGTCCCAATACCATTTATTGAAGAGACTATGCTTTACCCATTGTTGGTTCTTGGCACCTTTGTTGAAAATCAATTGACCATGAATGTGTGGATTTGTTTCTGGGCTATTTTGTCAATGCATCTGTTTTTATGTCAGTACCATGTTGTTTTGATTACTATGGCTTTGTAGTATATTAGTATATTTTGAAATCAGATAGTATGATGCCTCCAGTTTTGTTCTTTTTGCTCACAATTGCTTTGGCTATTCAAGGTCTTTTGTGGTTCCATATGAATTTAAGGATTTTTTTTTCTGTTTCTGTGAAAAATGTAAGGAAATTTTGATAGGGATTGCATCAAATCTGCAGATCACTTTGGGTAGTACAGACATTTTAACAATATTGATTCTTATAATCTATAAACACAGGATATCTTTCCATTTGTTTGTGACTTCTTCAATTTCCTTCATCAGTGTTTTATAGTTTTAAGCGTATAGGTCTTTCACCTCCTTTGTTAAATGTATTATTTTACTTATTTACTTATTTTTAGCTATTGTAAATGAGATTGTTTTATTGGTTTCATTTTCAGATAGTTCTTTGTTAGTGTGATGCTACTGATTTTTGTATGTTGATTTTTGTATCCTGCAACTTTACAAGATTCCTTTATTTTTTTTTCAGTACAATCTGTATTCTGTTGCAACTAGATTTCTTTATTACTTCATAGTTTTTAAGTGGAGTTATTATGGTTTTCTATTTATATAATCATGTCATCTACAAACAGTGACAATTTACATTTTTCCTTTCCAATTTGGATGATTTTTATTTCTTACTCTTGCCTAATTGCTGGCTAGAACTTCAGTACTATGTTGAATAGAAATGGTTAGAGTGGACCTCCTTGTCTTGTTCCTGGTCTTAGAGGAAAAAAATTTCAACTTTTCACCATTGAGAATGATATTAGCTATGAGTTTGTCATATATGACCTTCATTGTGTTGAGGTGCATTCCTTATTTGTTGAGAGTTTTTTTTTAAATCACGAAAGGATGTTGAATTTTGTCAAATGCTTTTTCAGAGTCTATTGAGATATTAATATGGTTAGTATTCTTCATTCTGTTAAAGTGGTATGTCACATTTTTAGATTTGAGTATGTTGAAACATCTTGCATCCTTGGAATAAAACCCACATGATCATGATAAAAGACCCTTTTAATGTGCTGTTGCATTCATTTTGCTAGTATTTTGCTGAGGATGTTTATAGGCTATTTGTCATTGTTGCTGCTGTTGAGTTGTAGAAGCTCCTTATATATTCTGGATATTAACTTCTTACTGAAAAGATAATTTGCAAATATCTTATTTCATATTGTTTTTCACTCTGTTGATTGTTTTCATTGATGTGCAGAAATGTTTAAGTTTGATGAAGTTGGATTTGTGTATTTTTTGTTGCCTGTTTTTGGTCATATCCAATAAATTGTTGCAAAATTTAATGTCATAAAGTTTTCTTCTATGTTTGATAGAACTTCTAGGAGTTTGATACTTTTAGCTCTTACATTTAGGTCTTTTATCCATTTTGAGTTAATTTTTGTATTTGCATATGGTGTCAGGTAAGAATCCAACTTCATTATTTTCCATGTGGATATCCAGTTTTCCCAACGCAATTTGTCGAAGAGATTGACCTTTCCCCATTGTATACTCTTGGCACCCTGGTGGAAGATCATTTGACCATATACTTGAGGGTTTACTTCTGGAATAGACAGTTGACATTGGGGTACTCAGAAAACAGCAAGAATCTAAGAGTGTTTGAGGGTCTATTCTTAGAAAAAAACCTTTTTCATACCTCATAATCTCTGCTTTTGTGAATCCTTTCTATCTTTGAAAACAAAATCCATACTTATTCATTCATTTATCATTCATTCATTTACTCACTTACTTAACTCGATTTTATTGAGCACTTAGTGGCAGGATTCAGAGTAAAGACCCCCCTGTAGGACTTACGTCCTTCAGTTATCCTCAGTTTTTAATGATTCATGTTTCATCTTAGCTCCTGTAACTCTTCCATATGGTCGTTCATTTACTGTACCCATAGTGTCCCGTATTTGCATGGGACTCAAATATATATGTCTTGAATCTAGACAAGGGATATTGTGTTTTAAGAAGTTATAACAATGAACAAATTCCATTCGCCCAGAGCAACTTTCTAATGGATTATATATATATATATATATATATATTTTTTTTTTTTTTTTTTTTTTTTTTTGAGACAGAGTCTCGCTCTGTCGCCCAGGCTGGAGTGCAGTGGCCCGATCTCGGCACACTGCAAGCTCCGCCTCCTGGGTTCACGCCATTTTCCTGCCTCAGCCTCTCGAGTAGCTGGGACTATAGGCGCCCGCCACCGCGCCCGGCTAATTTTTTGTATTTTTAGTAGAGACGGGGTTTCACCGTGGTCTCGATCTCCTGACCTCGTGATCCGCCTGCCTTGGCCTCCCAAAGTGCTGGGATTACAGGCGTGAGCCACCACGCCCAGCTCTAATGGATAAATTTAAGACACAACTATAAGATGGGAGTGGCTGAAAAAGCAGGGACTTCCTAATGCCCTGAAATCATGTGATAACTTTTTATCTTCTCTAAGACTGTCTGGCATGGTTTTCTCTTCTATTATTTTTGACAAATGTGGTACCTCTAGGCGTGAGTTTTTCTTTCACTTCTCATTTCTCCAACCACAAATGCTGTCACAGGCCAACAGGGAGAATTCAGTGATACATCATACTCATCCCTGAGCTGTGATGTTGGCTCTCCACCTCTATCAGCCATCAGATTTTCATATTATCTTGCCTCTCTCTTCCTCTTTCCTTACACCAAACATTGATTCATCAAGGAGTCTTACCACTTTACTATACTTCCATTTCAACTCACACTCAAATTCATCACTGATAATGTCTACTTTATAAAATATTCCTTCAAAGCAGCCATTGGCCTAATCCCCAGATGATGCCATTGATCCATGACAATAGGGAGAATAATGTCTCCATCATTACTTTCTTCTCATAGTCTTTTAATTCCTTATACAGAGGCTAGTTTCAACTGCAGAAGTAACATGGGGTCCTTTGTCTATCAAACACTCCCCTTGTAACATTCATATCTGCTCTGGGACAGAAATCTGTCCTCTGGACACCAGAGTAGGAGGTTTAAGAAAGGCCAAACGTTGATACAATCCAACTGATGTAGAGTGATAAGGAAGGCAGTCAGGCAGCATGAGGAAGTGGGAGGATGGGAGTTACAGAGAATTTCTGATGTAGACAATGAGCTTCTTTTCTTTTTCTTAAGGGATTTCCACAATCCTCCACTTTGTGGTATTGGGGACAGTGGTAATGACAGGGTGGGAAGGGCAGAAGAGGCTTATTTCAAGAGGAAGCAGTAAAAGGTGGGCCTGTGAGGACCTGTTTAGCAGGCTTTAACATCCTATGTACAAGTCCTTATCTTTTGAAGTGCTCTCCTGATCCAGGCCCTGCTTATCATTATTCACAAATTTCAGTGTCTGAAATAATCCAGAAGGTGGACAATCAGACATCCACAGATTAATTGATGATTTATACTTATTCTCCCTCTCTCCCCACTCTCTCTCCCTTTCTCTTCTCTCTCTCCTCCTCTCCCTCCCCTCCCTCCCTCCCCCTCTCTCCTTCTCCATCTCTCCCTCTCCATCTCTCCCTCTTCATCTCTTCCTCCCCTTCCCTCCCCTCCCCTCTCCCTCTTCATCTCTTCCTCCCCTTCCCTCCCCTCCCCTCTCCTTTCTGTCTCTCTCAGCTCCAAAAAAGAATGATACAGAGATGCATAACACTCCTCTCTCTCCCATCTGAAAATTTAGGGATGGGGTGGGGTCCTAAGAAGCTAGCCTTAGAATCTCTTCCTCTTACTGTGGTTTCCTTAACCCTCCATCATCTCATAACTAATGATAAGTCTGAAAATGAGCTTCCGTATTAATTCTCATTATTCTGACAACAGACTCTAGAATCCAGCCATATTCTACTGTTTGGAGCCAGCCAGGGACTTTCCAAGTATTCACAGTGAAACACTGGCTTCCATGCCTGGGTCTCCCCACCCACTGCCTCTGCACTTGGTGCCTTTGAACCTCTCTTGTTCCTCTTGCCCTTGCTACTTCTGTATAGATCACAAGCTCCCTCCACACAGCTTCAGTTACACACATCCGTGCAGCAGGACCTTCTCAGGGGCTTAGTCTGCCAGAAACTAGTGACACTGCCTTTCACCCACTTTTTATTGGATAGAGAGAAATGTTACCAGAATTTCCCAGGAAAAGAGCTTCTTTGAAGTCTCTACATGCATTCAGATAAATCCTTTCCCCTGATATTTTCCCTCCATCCCCCTCCTCACAGCCCTGTTCAGAAGCCTGAACATGTCATGATGGCTGGGGCCTCAAATCCAGGGGACAATCTGAGGTGAAGGTGAGCAAGGAGACAGTCTACAAAGAGGCCGTGGAAGCTGTCGGGGAAGGAGAATGTTCAAGTAGCACAGGCAATCAAACACTTCCTATTGCTCCAGGTGCCAAAGCAGGAATGAAAACCTGTCCCCTCTGTTGAATACTCTTCTTCTTCACTCCTAAAACTACACACCTGATGTTAGTCGTCAGCCCTCTTCTTATCACTCTACACCTGCTGCTCTGGAGAACTCATCCAGGCCTGTGGCTCCCTGCACGTCTACACTAGTAACCTCTGAATCCACGGTCTCCAGCACTCCCTCCTGCTCCCATCCCCAGGTGGCAGTCAGGTGCCTGCACTTGGCTATCTCAACATCAACATCACCCCAACACCTGTTTTTTCATGCATTCAAGGGAGATTTTTTTTCTCCCCAAGTTTCTTTCACCTTCCCTTTGGGGTTCCTGGAATAAATAATACAAAACTTGAGGTTCTCTTGTGATGCTGTTTGGAGTCGAGAGAGAGACAGAGAGAGAGAGATACCCCCAGGAGGGAGTTGTCCCGATTCTTTTCCATCACTCGGGAGCTAGCCCTACATCTAGTCTTACTGTTTGGAGCCTTATAAAAAGATCTCATGAGCAGCCCCCTGGGAATAGCATGTCTTTGTTCTCTGAGAGGCAATGATTTTTATCTGGACCCCACATAACTTTTCCCCAGAGAGCATCACAGTAAAAGCACATGTTTATCTTCTCTCCTTAACTTCTGACATCCTTAAATCCCAAGGAAGGGTATGGAGGGAGACAGATTGATGATTCTGTGTATTTGGGTAAACCAGGTTCCTGGCTAAAATCACTTAGTCAAAAATGCCAAGCATGGTCAAGGGAGAAGGGTTAGAGAGTCTAAAAGAATGAAATTTGGAGACAGGTAAACTTGAAATTTATTCTTTCCTTCACCTATTATTGTGTATGTGATTTGGGGTCATATTCTTAACTATAACTACCTATTGTCTCATCTTAGAATAAGGATAAATAATATCTATGTTGAAACACTGCTGTGAGCATTAGTGCTCAATAACTATTACTACTGTACTAATGCAGGTTCTTGATTTTAAACAATAGAATGCAAACTTGAATAATTAAGCAGAAAAGGCATTTATTGGAAAGGAACTAAACAGCTCATAGAGGATATGACAAAGGCAGGAGTTCTTCATAGTTGATATTGTATCTCCGTGCATTGAATCAGGAGACACATGATGTTGATTTGTTCTGTTATCAGTGATGCTAATTTTGACTACTTGATTTTAGTGGTAACTGACAGATTTTTTCAACCATAAAGTTACTATTTTCATTGCTTGATTTTCGTATATTAAACTTACCCTGTGATGCTAAT
The DNA here is from genome assembly GCF_000001405.40 of Homo sapiens. Lineage (NCBI taxonomy): Eukaryota > Metazoa > Chordata > Mammalia > Primates > Hominidae > Homo > Homo sapiens. Next base: position 4,225,457 of record NT_167248.2, read on the forward strand.
TTTGACTACTTGATTTTAGTGGTAACTGACAGATTTTTCAACCATAAGTTACTATTTTCATTGCTTGATTTTCATATATTAAACTTACCCTATGTTCATAGAATAAACTCAACTTGGTCATTATTTTACCTAGTGTTATATTTAATTGACTAATAGATCTTTTAGGAGTTTTGTATCTGTGTTTAAAAATGAGATGAGCCTTACTTTTGCTTTTTTGTTTTTGTTTTTGCTTCATGCTTATGAGGATTTGGCATATTGCTGCATGAGTTGAGAAATGTTCCTTTATTCCCCCGTCTTTTGGAATCGCTTGTGTAAGGTTAGCAAATGCCTTCACTGAATATTTAGAAGAATTCACCCAATAAGATCATCTTTGCCTACAGATTTCTTTGTGGAAAGTTTTGTAATTACCAACTCAATTTCTTTAATAGATACAGGATTATGAAAATTTTTCTATTATTTCTTGAGTTCATTTTAGTAAGTGGTGTTTTCTAGAATATGTCTATTTCATCTAGCTTTTCAAATTTGTCAGCATAAAGTTATTTATAATATTTTCTATTGTAATTTTAATGTCTACAGGACCCATAATGACAGTACCTTTTTCATTCCTGATATTGGAATTTCATGCCTTCTGTCTTGTTTTAAAATCTTCCACAGTCTTGCTAAAATTTTATCAATCCTATTAGTCTTTTCAAAGAAACAAGCCTTTAGTGTTGTTGATGTTTTTCTACTGTATTATTATTTCCTATCAAATTATTTTCTTCTTTTATGTATATAATTCCCTTACTTTTACTTTTCTTGGGTTAAATTTGACATTCTTTTTCTAAGTATATGATTGATTTTCAGTATTTCTTTCTTTCCAATTAATTATATGCACTTAAGGTTGCATATAATTTTTGTCTAGACCTGACTTCAGCTTCATCTTATGTTATAATATTTTGTAATGCAAGTATAATTTGCAATATTTTCAATTTTCTTTCTTCCTTCCTTCTTTTCTTTTTCTTTCCTTTCCTTTTCTTTTCTTTCAAGACAGGGTCTCGCTCTGTTGCCCTGGCTGGAGTGCAGTGGTGCTGTCATATCTCACTGCAGCCTTGGACTCCTGGGCTCAAGTGATCCTCCCACCTCAGCCTCCTAAGAAGCTAGGACCTCAGGCATGCAGCACCACACCAGCTAACTTATATTTTATTTTTCGTAGAGATGGGGTCTTATCATGTGGTCCAGGCTGGTTTTGAACTTCCTAGGCTCAAGCAATCCTCTTGCCTTAGCCTCCCAAAGTACTGGGATTACAGGCATGAGCCACCACACCCAACTGATATTTTCAATTTTTTATTGTCAGGGATCTGATAATAATTAGATTTAATCTCTGATTATCTTCTTTGATCTATGGATTATTTTAATTTGTATTTCTTAATTTCTAAACTCTTCAAAATTTTTTGGTTATCTTTCTGTAATTGATCTCTAGCTCTGTTCTATTTTTGTCAAAGAACATTAGAAAAGATAAAATACTTTGAAATATTGTATTCTTTTTCATTGTTTTAGTAGTTATGTTTTTCGAGAAATTTGTCTTTTTTTTTTTTGACAGGTTGCTATGTTGCCCAGGCTACAGTGCACGATAACCCCATACTCCTGGGTTCAGGCAATCCTCCTGCCTCAACTTCCCTAGTAGCTGGTACTACAGATGTGTGCCACCCTGCCCAGCACAAAATGTGTCCATTTTATCTAGATTATCTAATTGTTGGCACGCAATTGTACACAGTATTCCCTTATATTGTTTTTCATTTCTGTAAAGTGGTAGAAAGGTCTCATCTTTTATTCCTGATTTGAGTAATTCAATTCCTTTCTTTTTTTTCTTACTCAATCTAGCTAAAGTTTCCTCAGTTTTGATTCTTTAAAAGCAAAAACTTAGTTTTGTTGATTTTCTCTATCTTTTTCTATTTCCTAGTTCATTTATTCCCATTCTAACATTCCTTTCACTAGTTCTGGTTTGTCTTACTCATTTCTAATTTCTTTTCTTTTCTTTTCTTTTTTTGTTTGTTTATTTGTTTGTTTGAGACAGGGTTATTTTTTTGAGATGGAGTCTTGCTCTGTCACCCAGGCTAGAGTGCAGGGGCCTGATCTCCACTCACTGCAACCTCCCCATCCCGGGTTCAAACGATTCTCCTGTCTCAGCCTCCCGAGTGGCTGGGGTTATAGGTGCCTGCCACCACGCCAGGCTAATTTTTGTATGTTTAGTAGAGATGGGGTTACATCATGTTGGCCAGGCTGATCTCAAACTCCTGACTTCAAGCAATCCACCCTCCTTGGCCTCCCAGAGTGCTGGGATTACAGAGTGAGCCACCGCACCCGGCCTCTTTTCTAATTTCTTAAAGTGGAAGGTTGTTACTGATTTGCAATTTTTCTTCTTTTTTAATATAGGTATTTACAGCTATAACTTTCTCTTTTATCATTAAAATGTCCTTACTTTTCTCTAGTGGTATGTTTGTATTAAGGTCTATTTTGTCTGGCATTAGTGTAGCCACTCCAGCTTTCTTTTGGTTGCTCTTTGCATGGTGTATCTTTTCCTGCCTTGTACTTTCAACCTCTTTGTAACTTTGTATCTAAGGTTTGTCTCCAGCAGAGAATATATAGTTGCATCATTTTTATTTTATCCATTCTGCTAACCTGTCTAAATTGAAATGTAATGTATTTATATTTAGTGTGATTACTGTAACATATTTTTATGTCTGCCATTTCATTGTTTATTTTCTATTTTTCTTATATCTTTTTTGTTCCTCTATTCCTCTATTACTGCCTTTTGTTGTGTTAAATAGACATTTTCTATGTATCATTTTAATTCACTTATCATTTCTTTTACTCTACATTTTTAGTTCCTCTACTTTTTTGTCTTAGTGACTACCCTACAGATTAAAATTAGCATATTAATAATCTAGTTTGTATTAATACCAACTTAATTTCAATAGTATACAAACACTTTATTTCTATACAGCTCTGTTCCCTACCCCCGTGCTGTTATTGTCATACAAATTATACCATTCTTACATGTGTGCCTATCAACACAGATTTATAAATATTGTTTGCTGAAGTTTTAAATTAAATAGGAGAAAAAGTCATTAAAAAGTACATTTATATTGTCTTTTATATTCACCTATTTCAGTTACCTTATTGGTGTCTTTATTTCCTTACATGGATTTGACTATATTACACTATATTCTAGTGTCCTTTCACTTCAGCCTGAAAGTATTTTAGTACAGCTGTCTTGCTAATGATGAAATCTCTGTTTCTTTTTACCTGAAAATGTCTTAATTTCTCCTTCATTTAGAGTTTTTGGCTGACAGCTTTTCCCCTCAGCACTTTGAATAAGTCTTTCAATTGCATTCTAGCCTCCATGGTTCTCTTTCTTTCTCTTCCTTTCTTTCTTTCTCTCTCTCTCTCTCTTTCTTTTTATCTTCCTCTGTCTCTCTTTTTTATGTTTTTACTTTTTTCTTTTAAATAGGGATGGAGTGTTGAACTCCTACACTCAAGCAATCCTCCCACCTCAGCCTCCCAAAGTGCTAGGATTAAAGGCATGAGTCACCGCACCTGACCCTCCATGGCTTCTAATGAAAGATCATCTGTCAATCTTCTTGCTTGAATGTGATAAGTCATTTCTCTCTTAATGGTTTCAAGATATCTTTGTCTTCAACTTTCAACAGATTGATTACAATGTGTGTAGGTGTGGATCTCTTTGAGTTTATTCTACTTATAGTTCATTAAGATTCTCAGATATGTAGATTAACATTTTTTATCAAATTTGCAAAGTTTTCAGCCATTATTTCTTCAAATATTTTTTCTGGCACCCTTTTTTTCATTTTAGGACTACAGTTATACATATTTTGGTCTGCTTGATGGTGTTCTACAGGTCTCTGAGGATCTGTTCATTTTTCTTTTCCCATTTTTCTTCTTCTTCCTCAAACTGGATAATCAAAATTAACCTACATTTAACTTTGTTGATTATTTCTTCTGCCTTGCTCAAATCTGCTGTCAAGCCAGTCTGGTGAAATTTTCATTTCTGTTATTGTATTTTTCAACTCCAGAATTTCTATTTGGTTCTTTTCTTATATAATTCCTGTTGCTGTAGTCTCTACTGGGTGGTGAGACATCATTCATATGCTTGCCTTTAGTAAACATGATTTCCTTCCGTTCTTTGAATATATTTTAAATGCTTATTTAATGTCTTTGTCTAGTAAGTCTAAATGCTGGGCTTCCTTAGAGACATTTTTTATTTATTAATTTCCCCCCTATGTACAGGCCATGCTTTATTATTTCTTTGCATGTCTTGTAATTTTTGTTGAAAACTAGATATTTTGTGTAATATAATGTGGCAACCCAGATAATGAGATTCTTCCCTCGCTTTCCCTTCTAGGGTTTGCTTTCATTGTTTGTTGTTGTTTTATTTTGTGACTTTTCTGAACAAATCTTGCAAAGTCTGATTCTTTGTTATGTGTAGCTATTACATTTTTTCTCAGTTAGCTTAGTGGTCACCTAATGTTTGAACAAAGGTTTCCTAAAATGCCTGGAATAAACATATCTCCTAGTCTTTCCTGGGGAGCTTTTTCTTTGTTTTGTGTTCCTATAAGAGAACACCTGAGATGAAGTAATTTATAAAGAAAAGAGGTTTATTTTACTCATGGTTCTGCAGGCTGGAAAGTTCAATATTAGACAGCTGATTTGGTGGCTTCTGCTGAGGTCCTTGTGCTGTGTCAAAACATGGCAGAGAAACAAAAGGAGAACGAGGTATATGTGAACAGGACAAAACAAGAGAGGCAAACTCACTTTATAACAACCCACTCTCAAGGGAACTTCATAACTAACCCAGTCTTTCAAGAAAGACACCAATCCAACTTAATGACCTAAGCACCTCTTAAAGGCACCATCTCCCAACACCACCAGATTGGGAACCAAGCCTCAAAATAAGTTTTGATGAGGACAAGCCATATTCAAACCACAGCAGGTTCTGTGTGCATGTTGGTGATACCTTCAACACTCAGCCAGACAGTTGACAACTCCACTTTACCCTTTATTTCCTCCTTGTACAGAGCACCAAGGCCAGTCCAAGAAGAAAGCTTACAATCTTCTCAGGTCTTTCCTAAGTATGCACCCCATCCTACATATGTACATGGCCTTCTAGATTTCCAGGAATATGATGGAAATAATCAAAGCCCCTTGGACATCTCATTTCCCAGATTTTCCCTTTAAGCTTTTTATTTAATCTCTTGTTTTCCTCAACTGTTATCCACTGCCTCAGGCAACTCGGTTGCCTTTAATTGTTTCCAATAAATATTTTCATGGAAAAGGATTTTTGCACCGGGCAAGTTCCCAATCAGGTCAAATGAGAACTACTTTGCAAATTGGGTATTCCAGGAAACCACCAGACAGGTAAAATAATGACAATTCTCTGATCACAAGGTTTTGGAAAAGCCCCAGCTCTGTTCTGCTCCCTCCAGGCCGCTGATTTTCACCATGATTACAGCTTGTTGGTTCTCAAGTCTACTGCAGAACCCGAGAGGACAGAATGGGAATTGTACAAGTTAAAATGTCACAAAACTGTTCTTATTGAGATTGCACCATTTTTCTTTAGTAAATGTTCTCTGGATTGCTGCAAGACTTTGGTTAATTTCCAGAGTTCTGAAAGAGTTGATTTTTTTTTCAATTTTTGTCACTTTTCTTGTTGCTTTTATGGAGAGGAGAGTTTTTGGAGGTTCTTACTTTGTTATTTTTGCCAATATTGACCCATCTATAGGAGTTTTTAAAAATTTATATCATCATTTTTTAGTTCTAGAATTTCTATTAATTCTTTTCTATACATTCTATTTCTTTAATAAAATTTTTCATTATGATTTCTATTATCTTTTTACATATTCATTATAGCTATTATAAAGTTTATCTCTAATCCAATAATTAAGTTATTCATTATTTTTCTCAGTGATGCACTTTTCTTCCAGAAGGAATTAGCCTTATCCTCTGTTAGGCATATAGAGTAGAAAATGATCCTTATTTTAATCTGGAATGGATCTGACTTGAAGCAGAGTTTAAGCTTTTTCTGGCTGTCATTGTCTACTGTTTCACTGACATCCTGATCCCTTAAATTTGGCAGCCCCAGATACCATTCTTTGTCTCTCCATGGCCATAAGTTGTTTGCTAGAATTATCAGTCTGTTGCTCTGCCCTAAAAATAAGATAATCTTTAGGAGTAAAGCAACTGGAGAATGTTGGCTCCTCTCTTGTTATTTTCTTTTCATGATCTTGTCTTCTCAAGCTGTCATCACCTTGAGAGTTTTATGATTCCCTCAAGCATATATTTTTTGTAGTTTTTTTTCCTTTGAGAGGGGGTCTTGCTCTGTCACCCAGGCTGGAGAGCAGTGGTGTGATCATAGCTCACTGCAGACTCAGCTTCCTGAGCTCCAGTATTCAAGCAATCCTCCTGCCTCAGATTCCCAAGTAGCTAGGACTATAGGCATGGGCCACCATGCCCAGTTGATTTTTTATTTTTATGGAGTCTGGGTCTTGCTATGTTGCCCAAGCTGGTCTTAAGACTCCTAGGCTCAAGTGATCCTCCTGCCTTGGCCTCCTGAAGTGCTGGGATTGCAGGTATGAGCCACTGTGCCTGGCCTATTTTTTGTATTTTATCTGGCTTTACTCATTATTATTGGAAGGAACATTAATACTGTACAAGCTATTCCATCATAGCCAAAAAGAGGAAGGCAATCTATGGTATTGTTTTTTATTGACAACTGGGGATAGAATTGGAAACTCAGGTCTTTCTACTAGTCTCTTCCTTCATAATCTCTTATTTCAGAAGTGGAAGTTGATATTGGACATCTTCCAGTAGCCAAGTGTATATATTGCATTAATATAGTATGGATCTGGGAGATAACCGAATGATGTGTTATGACTACCATAATCTACCACTTTGACCAGCAAACCATAGTCACTCCTTGTTGGGAGAATACAACGGATCAAACATACATTATGTCTGGGACTAGAAGAAAAATAATTTTATTCCTCTTCAGTTACTATACGGTAATCATTAATCTTAGATACTCCTAGAATTAATGACACTCATTAACCAGTTTATCATTGATGTCATTGTTGTCATAGTAAATTAGAAATGAGGGATTATCTTCATCAATGTCAGTATTTCAAGTAATACCAGCAAGAAATTAATAATAACCTGTATAGATGTGCTTGGGCAGATTCATTTGAGGCTGGGGAGAGAGAATAGCCAAGTACATCAAGTACATGGTCTGGTAAAAGTAAGGCGTCCAGTATGGCTAAAGTGTAGTGTACAATAGCGTGACAGAGAGTAAATGACTAGAATAATGAGTTGATGCCTTTTATTTACTACTTCTCTGCCTCTCGCTGGGTAGAGAGGAGGTAAACAATATCAAATGTTGGCAAGTAACAATATCTTATTATGGCTTTACATTGAAAAATCAAGGCCTATAGTGATTAGTAAGCACATAAAACACAATATTGAGAGTTCTAAGATCATTAGTATAAGAATCAGTCATCCTTAGTTTAAACCTATCTATGTCCCTGATTAAGCCCGTGTAATAATTTAACTATGCATGGAGTGAATGTAAAGCCATAAATACATTTTCTACCTTGTGTATCCCCAACTTAACTTTCCCTTATTTGAATCTCTGAAATATCTATGGTCACTCTATTGCCGCCTAACAAGGGGCAAAATGTATGATGGATGAGAAGTCAGAATGAAGAAATACAACAGTCTTAACAATTTGCTGTTAAATTATCTTACTTTTTGCAGATTGTACAAAAATATATGATGTTAAAAGGCTCCTGCAAGAAGGGGTCCCGAATATTAAGTCTTTTTAGATTAAAGGTAAGTCAGCCTCTGTATAAGGACAATTTCATTCCTATACTTGCTCCTATTTTCTTTCCTTTTTCTCTGGATTTGGCTCTCTCCTATCTTCTTTTTCTTGTCACTCTATTTATTCATCTTTTTTTTGCCTATTTACCAACTGGTTGTAATTTAGAAATGAAAAATATGTATCTTAATATTTTGATGTATTCATTTACGTAATAATGTAAGTTCTGAAGATTTGGAATGTATAAGTGAAAATGTCATTATGCTTTGTTTCTGTAAAATAAAAACTAAACTACATGTTTGGGTTGGGGGCTTTGGTTTTTGTTTTTAGTTCTAAAATTTTTTGATACATTATATTTGAACATATTCATGGGTTATATGTGACATTTTGTTACATGCATGCAATGTAATGATGAAGTCAGGGTGTTTAGGGTATCTATCACCCACAATTTATCATTTTTATGCATTGAGTACATTTCAAGTCCTCTCTTCTAGTTTTTTTGAAAAATACTATACATTGTTGTTAACTATAGTCACCCTACTCTGCTATCAAACACTGGAATTTATTCTTTATATTAGTATAGGTTCATAACCATTAACCAACATCTCTGTATCTCCGTCCACTTCCTAGTCTCTGGTATCTATCATTCTACTCTCTACCCTGATGTGATCAACTTTTTAAACTCCCACATACGAGTGAGAACATGTGATATTTGTTTTTTTGTGCCTGGCTTATTTCACTTAACATTATGACGTCCACTTCCATCCATGTTACTGCAAATGACATGATTTCATCTTTTTAAATGGCTGAATACTTTCATTGTCTATATATACTACATTTTCTTTATCCATTCATCCATTCATGGACCCTTAGGTTGATTCCATATCTTGGCTCTTGTGAATAGTGCTGCAATAAAGAATGTGTGTATCCCTTTGATACATTACTTTCTTTTCCATTTGGATAAATACTAATTAGTGAGATTGCTTGATTGTGTAGTAGTTCTATTTTTAGTTTTTTGAGAAATCTCCATATTATTTTCCATAGTGGCTGTACTTACTTACATTCCAAGCAATGGTGAATAAGAGTTCCCTTTTCTCCATATCCTTGCCAACACCTGTGGTTTTTTTGTTTTGTTTGTTTGTTTGTTTTGTCTTTTTCATAGTAGCCATCCCAACTGGGGTAAAATGATATCTCATTGTGGTTGTTTGTTTTGCTTTTGTAGTGATGGGATCTCACTACTTTGCTTAGGCTGGTCTCAAACTCCTGGCTCAAGCGATCCTCCCACCTTGGCCTCTGAAAGTGTCGGCATTACAGTCATGAGCCACTGTGGCCTGACTTCATTGTGGTTTTGATTTGCATTTCCCTGATGATTAGTAATGTTGAGCATTCTTTCATGTACCTGTTGACCATTTATATGTCTTCTTTTCTTTCTCTTGCTCTCTCTCATTTTTCTTTTCTCAATGAAGAGAACAAATGCCTGTCTTCTTTTGGGAAATGTCTGTTCATGTTCTTTGCTCATTTTAAAAATGGGGTTATTAATTAATTAATTAATTAATTTAATTATTTATTTTTGAGACTAGATCTTGCCCAGGTTAGTGTGCAGTGGTCCCATAGTTCACTGCAGCATCAAATTCCTGGGTTCAAGCTATCCTTTTGCCTCAGTCCTTCAGCTGGGACTACAGGCTCATGTCACCATACCAGGCTATTTGGTTCTTTTTAATTTTAGTAAGAGACTGAAGTCTAGCTATGCTTCCTGGGCTGATCTTGAACTCCTGGACTCAAGAGATCCTCCTGCTGTAGGCCCCCAAAGTGCTGACATTACAGGCATTAGCCACCACACCTGGCCAGGATTATTTATTTTTTTACTATGAAGATGTTTGATTTCCTTGTATATTCTGGATATTCATCCCCTGTTGGATGAGTAGCTTGCATATATTTTCTCCCATTTAAGAGGTTTTCTCTTCACCCTGTAGATTGTTTCTTTTGCTGTGCAGAAGCTTTTTAGTTTAATATAGTTCCATTTGTCCATTTTTGGTTTTGTTACTGGTGCTTTTGAGATCTTAGTCATAAAATCTTTGCCTAGACCTATTTCCTGAAGAACTTTTTCTATGTTTTCTTCTAGCAGATTTATAGTTTCAGGTATTACATTTAAGTCTTTAATCTATCTTGAGTTGATTTTTGTATATGGTGAGAAGTAGGGGTCCAGTTTCATTCTTCTGCATATGGTTATCCAGTGTTCCCAGCACCATTTATAGAAAAGGATGTCATATCCCCAATGAATATTCTTCATAGCTTCATTGAATGTAAGTCAGCTATAAATATGTGGATTTATTTCTGGGTTTTCTATTCTGTTCTATTCTTTTTTAAAAAAAATTTATTTCTATAGGTTATTGGGAAACAGGTGGTGTTTGGTTACATGAGTGAGTTCTTTAGTGAAGATTTTTGAGACTTTGGTGCACCCATCACCCAAGCAGTATACACTGCAACCAATTTGTAATCTTTTATCCGTCACCCCCTTCCCACCCTTTCCTGCAGAGTCCCCAAAGTCCATTGTGCCATGCTTATGCCTTTGCATCCTCATAGCTTAGTTCCCACTTATGAGTGAGAACATACGATGCCTGGTTTTCCCTTCCTGAGTTACTGCACTTAGAATAATAGTCTCCAATCTCAAACAGGTCACTGCAAATGCCATTAAATCATTCCTTTTTATGGCTGAGTAGTATTCCATCATATATATATATTCCATCATATATATATATATATTCCATCATATATATATATATATTCCATCATATATATATATTCCATCATATATATATATATTCCATCATATATATATATTCCATCATATATATATATATATTCCATCATATATATATATATTCCATCATATATATATATATATTCCATCATATATATATATATATTCCATCATATATATATATATATATTCCATCATATATATATATATATATATATATATATATATATATATCAAAGTTTCTTTATCCACTCATTGGTTACTTCCACATTTTTGCAATTGTGAATCGTGCTGCTATAAATATGTGTATGCAAGTATCTTTTTTGTATAATGACTTCTTTTCCTCTGGGTAGATACCCAGTAGTGGGATTGCTGGATCAAATGGTAGTTCTACTTTTAGGACTCTTTAAGGAAACTCCACACTGTTTTCCATAGTGGTTGTACCAGTTTACATTCCCACCAGCAGTGGAAAATTGTTCTCTGTTCACCACATCCTTGCCAACATCTATTATTTTTTGATTTTTTGATTAAGGCCATTCTTTCAGGAGTGAAATGGTATTGCATTGTGGTTTTGATTTGCATTTTCCTGATTATTAGTGATGCTGAGCAATTTTTCTTATGTTTGTTGGCCATTTGTATGTCTTTTTTTGAGAATTGTCTATTCATGCCCTTAACTCATATTTTATGGGATTGTTTGTTTTTTACTTACTAATTTGTTTGGGTTCATTGTAGATTCTGGATATTAGTCCTTTGTCATATGTATAGATTGTGAAGATTTTCTCCCACTCTGTGGGTTATCTGTTTACTCTGCTGACTGTTCCTTTTGCCGTGCAAAAGCTCTTTAGTTTAATTAAGGTCTCAGCTATTTATCTTTGTTCTTATTGCATTTACTTTTGGGTTCTTGGTCATTAAATCCTTGCCTAAGCCAATGTCTAGAAGGGTTTTTCCGATGTTATCTTCTAAAATTCTTATAGTTTCAGGTCTTAGATTTATGTCCCTGATCTACCTTGAGTTGATTTTTGTGTAGAGTGAGAGACATGGATCCAGTTTTATTCTCCTACATGTGGCTTGCCAATTATCCCAGCTCAATTTGTTAAATAGGGTGTTTTTTTACCACTTTATGTTTTTGTTTGCTTTGTCAAAGATCAGTTGGCTGTAAGTATTTGGGTTTATTTCTGGGTTCTCTATTCTGTTTTATTGGTCTATGTGCCTACATTTATACCAGTACCATGCTGTCTTGGTGACTATGGCCTTATATTATATTTTGAAATCAGGTAATGTGATGCCTCCAGATCTGTTCTTTTTGGTTAGTCTTGCTTTGGCTATGTGGGCTCTTTTTTGGTTCCATATGAAATTTAGAATTGTTTTTTCTAGTTCTGTGAAGAATGATGGTGGTATTTTGATGGGAATTGCATTGAATTTGTGACTGCCTTTTGCAGTATAGTCCTTTTCACAATATTGATTCTACCCATCCATGAGCATGGGATGTGTTTCCATTTGTTTGTGTCATCTATGATTTCTTTCAGCAGTGTTTTGTAGTATTCCTGGTAGAGATTTTTAGCCTCCTTGGTTAAGTATATTCCAAGCATTTTTTAAATTTATTTTCGGGAAACTATTGTAAAAGGGATTGAGTTCTTGATTTGATTCTCAGCTTGGTCATTGGTGTATAGTAGTGCTACTTATTTGTATACATTTATTTTGTAACCTGAAAATTTGCTGAATTCATTTTTCGGATCTAGGAGCTTTTTGGATGAGTCTTTAGGGTTTTTGAAGTATATGATCATATCATTAGTGAACAGTGATGGTTTGACTTTCTCTTTACCTATTTGTATGTCCTTTATTTCTTTCTCTTGTCTGATTATTCTGGCTAGGACTTCCAATCCTATGTTTTGTCTTTTTTTTTTTTAATTTGTAACTTCCCTTTTCTTTTTCTTTTTTTATTTTTATTATTATTATACTTTAAGTTTTAGGGTACATGTGCACAATGTGCAGGTTAGTTACATATGTATACATGTGCCATGCTGGTGTGCTGTACCCATTAACTTGTCATTTAGCATTAGGTATATCTCCTAATGCTAACCCTCCCCCCTCCCCCCACCCCACAACAGTCCCCAGAGTGTGATGTTCCCCTTCCTGTGTCCATGTGTTCTCATTGTCCAATTCCCACCTATGAGTGAGAACATGCGGTGTTTGGTTTTTTGTCCTTGCGATAGTTTACTGAGAATGATGATTTCCAATTTCATCCATGTCCCTACAAAGGACATGAACTCATCATTTTTTATGGCTGCATAGTATTCCATGGTGTATATGTGCCACATTTTCTTAATCCAGTCTATCATTGTTGGACATTTGGATTGGTTCCAAGTCTTTGCTATTGTGAATAGTGCCGCAATAAATATACGTGTGCATGTGTCTTTATAGCAGCATGATTTATAGTCCTTTGGGTATATACCCAGTAATGGGATGGCTGGGTCAAATGGTATTTCTAGTTCTAGATCCCTGAGGAATTGCCACACTGACTTCCACAATGGTTGAACTAGTTTACAGTCCCACCAACAGTGTAAAAGTGTTCCTATTTCTCCACATCCTCTCCAGCACCTGTTGTTTCCTGACTTTTTAATGATCGCCATTCTAACTGGTGTGAGATGGTATCTCATTGTGGTTTTGATTTGCATTTCTCTGATGGCCAGTGATGGTGACCATTTTTTCATGTGTTTTTTGGCTGCATAAATGTCTTCTTTTGAGAAGGGGTGAAAGTCAGCATTCTTGTCTCCTTCCAGTTCTCAAGGGGAATGCTTTCAACTTCTCCCTGTTCAGTATAATTCTTTCTGTGGGTTTGTCATAGATGGCTTTCATTAAGTTGATGTATGTCCCTTCTATGCCAATTTTGCTCAGGGTTTTAATTATAAAGCGATGGTAAATTTTGTCAAATGTTTTTTCTGTGTCTTTTGAGTTGATGATGTGATTTTTGTATTTAACTGTGTTTATGTGATGTATCACATTTATTGACTTGCATATGTTAAACCATCCCTGCATCCCTGGTATGAAACCCACTTGATCATGGCGTATTATCTTTTTGACATGCTGTTGGATTCAGTTAGCTAGTGTTTTGTTGAGGATTTTTGCACCTATGTTCATCAGGGATATTGGTATGTGGTTTTCCTTTTTTTCTGCCTATTCCCAGTTTTAGTGTTAGGGTGATACTGGCTTCATAGAATGAATTAGGGAAAATTCTCTCTTTCTCTATCTTTTTGAATAGTTTCAGTAAGATTGATACCAATTCTTCTTTGACTGTCTGATAGAATTCAGCTGTGAACACATCTGGTCCTGGACTTTTTCTTTTGGGCAGTTTTTAAATTATTATTTTAATCTCACTACTTGCTATTGGCCTGTTCAGAGTTTCTATTTCTTCCTGATTTAATCTAGGAGGGTTGTATATTTCCAAGAATTTGCCCATCTCCTCTAGACTTTCTAGTTTGTCTGCATAAAGGTGTTCATAGTAGCCTTCAATGATCTTTTGTATTTCTGTGGTATCGGTTGCAATATCTCCTGTCTCATTTCTAATTGAGCTTATTTGGATCTTCTCTCTTCTTTTCTTGGTTAATCTTGCTAATGGTCTGTCAATTTTGTTTATTTGTTCAAAGAACCAGCTTTTCATTTCATTTATCTTTTGTATTCTTGGTTTCAATTTCATTTATTTCTGCTCTGAAATTTATTTCAATTTCATTTATTTCTTTGCTATTTATTTTATTCTGATGGGTTTGGGTTTGGTTTGTTCTTGTTTCTCTGGTTCCTTGAAGGGTGACCTTAGATTGTCTATGTTGACTTTTTGATGTCTAGATTGACTTTTTGATGTAGGCATTTAATGCTATGAACTTTCCTCTTAGCACCACTTTTGCTGTCTCCCAGAGTTTTTGTTTTTGTTTTTGTTTTGTTTTGTTTTTTTGAGAATTTCGCTCTTGTTGCCCAGGCTGGAGTACAGTGGCACAATCTTGGCTCACTGCAACCACCACCTCCTGGGTTCAAGCAATTCTCCTGCCTCAGCCTCCCGAGTAGCTGGGATTATAGGCACACACCACCACACCCGGCTGATTTTTGTATTTTTAGTAGAGATGGGGTTTCATCATGTTGGCCAGGCTGGTCTCGAACTCCCGACCTCAGGTAATCCACCCACCTCGGCCTCCCAAAGTGCCAGGATTACAGGTGTGAGCCACCGTGCCCGGCCTTCCTAGAGTTTCTGATAAATTGTGTCACTATTATGGTTCAGTTCAAAGATTTTTAAAATTTCCATCTTGATTTCATTGTTGACCTAAAGATCATTCGGGAGCAGATTATTTAATTTCCATGTATTTGTATAGTTCTGAGAATTCATTTTGGATTCAATTTCCAGTTTTATTCCACTGTAGTCTGAGAGGGTACATCATATAATTTTGATTTTCTTAAACTTATTGAGACTTGTTTTGTGGCCTACCATAACATCTGTCTTGGAGGATGTTCCACATGCTGATGAAAATAATGTATATTCTGCTGTTGTTGAGTAGAATGTTCTGTAAATATCTGTTAAGTCCATTTGTTCTACAGTGATATGGTTTGGATCTGTGTCCCCACCCAAACCTCACCTTGTAGCTCCCATAATTCCCACGTGTTGTGGGAGGCACCCTGTGGGAGATTACTGAATTATGGGGGTGGGTCTTTCCAGTGCTGTTCTTGTGACAGTGAATGGGTCTCAGTTGATCTGATAGTTCTGAAAACGGAGTTGCCCTCACAAGCTCTCTCTTTGCCTGCCACCATCCAAGGAAGATGAGACTTGCTCCTCCTTGCCTTCCACCATGATTGTCAGGCTTCCCCAGCCATGTGGAACTGTAAGTCCAATTAAACCTTTATCTTTTGTAAATTGCCCAGTCTCAGTTATGTCTTTATCGGCAGTGTGAAAACAGAATAATACAGTAAATTGGTACCGGTAGAGTGGGGCACCACAGAAAAGATACCCAAAAATGTGGAAGTGACTTTGGAACTAGGTAACAGGCAGAGGTTGCAAGAGTTTGGAGGGCTCAGAAGAAGACAGGAAAATGTGGGAAAATGTGGAACTTTCTAGAGACTTGTTGAATAATGATATGGACAATGAAATCCAGGCTGAGATGGTTTCAGATGGAGATGAGGAACTTGTTGGGAACTGAAGCAAAGGTGACTCTTGTTATGTTTTAGCAAAGACACTGGTGGCATTTTGCCCCTGCCCTAGAGATTTGTGGGACTTTGAACTTGAGAGAGATGATTTAGGGTATCTGGCAGAAGAAATTTCTAAGCAGCAAAGCATTCAAGAGGTGACTGGAGTGCTGTTAAAAGCATTCAGTTTTAAAAGGGAAACAGCATAAAAGTTTGAAAAATTTGCAGCCTGACAATGCGATAGAAAATAAAATCCCATTTTCTGAGGAGAAATTCAAGCCAGCTGCAGAAATTTGCATAAGTAACAAAGAGCCAAATGTTAGTGCCCAAAACAAGTCCCTTCCGCTGCTTCCTCTACCCCTGTGTTTCCCTCAGCTTCTAAATGGACTCAGCTCCAGTTCAGGTCAGAATCTTCTCCCATGATCTACACCTTCAGGTTCCCCAGTGAGGTATGCATTCAAGGGTGGAAGATCCCCCTTTCCCACCTCCACAGTTTGGGCACTCACAGTATTTGGGATGTCTCCCAGGTCCTGCAGGAGCAATCTGCTCCCTTCAGAGGGTCTGTGGGTTCTCTCAGCTTTCCCAGTCATTCCTGCAATAGGTCTGGAGCAAAAGTTCATGATGCAAGACTCCACAAGCTGCTCTGTCCATCCAAGTTGGAGGGGCAATGTATAATGCCTCCCATCCACCATGATTCTGTCCCCTATTCTGTTGTATTCTATTGGTCTATGTGTCTGTTTTTTATACCAGTACTCTACTCTTTTGGTTACTACAGCCTTGTAAAATGTTTTGAAATCAGGTATTGTGATACTTCCAGCTTTGTTCTTTTTGCTCAGGATGGCTTTGCCTATTCAGGATCTTTTATGGTTCTATACAAATTTTAGGATTGTTTTTTATATTTTTGTGGAAAGTGACATTGGTATCTTGATAGGGATCACATTAAATCTGTAGATTGCTTTGGGCCATATGGTCATTTTAATGATATTAATTCTTCTGATCCATTAGCATGGAATTTCTTTCCATTTGTTTGTGTCCACTTCAATTTCTTTCATCAGTGTTTTGTAGTTTGCCTTGTAGGGATCTTTCATCTCTTTGGTAAAATTTATTCCAAGTATTTTATCATATTTTTTGTAGCTATCATAAATGGAATTCTCTTCTTCATTTCTTTTTCAGCTATTTCATTGTTGGTGAATAGAAATGCTACTTATTTCTGCATATTAATTTTGTATCCTGCCAAGTCTACTGAATTGGCTTATCAGTTCTAAGAGTGTTCTGGTGGAGTGTTTGGTTTTTCTAAATATAAGATTATTTTGGAACTTGCTTTATGAGCTCTTGCCAGGAAGATGGCAGATAGGAGACAGGGCTGATGTGCAGCCCCCCTTGGATAGATAGAATAGTACTATGTTGAGTAGGAGGGGTGAACATGTGTATACTTGTCTTTTCCCAGTTCCTAAAGAAAAAGCTTTCAACTTTTCACCATTCTGTATGATGTTAGCTGTGGGTTTTGTCACATAGAGCCTTTATTATATTAAGGCATGATCCTTTTATGCCTAGTTTGTTGAGAGTTTTTATTACGAAAAGGTGTTGAATTTTATCAAATGCTTCTTCTGCATTTATTGAGATAGTCATATGGATTTTGGCCTTCATCATGTTGATGTGATGTATCACATTCATTGATTTGTGTATGTTGAAATATCCTTGCATCCTTGCTGTAAATCCTACTTGATCACATTATATTATTGTTTTGATCTACTGTTGGATTCGGTTTGCTCTTATTTTGGTAAGTATTTTTCCATCTGTATGTATCAGGATATTCACCTGTAGTTTTCTTTCTTGGAGCATCCTTGTCTGGGTTTGCCATTAGGGTAATGCTAGCCTCACAGAATGAGTTTGGGAGAATTCCCTCTTCTTCAACTTTTTGGACCAGTTGGAGGAAAATCGGTGGTGGTTCTCTGAAAGTTTGGTGGAATTCATCAGTGAAACTATATGCTCTTGGATTTTTCTTTTTTGGGAGATTTTTTATTACTGATTCCATTTCAGTACTCAGTATTAGTCTGTCCAGATTTTCTTTCTTCCTGATTCAATCTTGGTAAGTTGTATGTTTCCAGAAATTTATCCATTTCCTCTTGTTTCTCCAGTTTGTTACCATATATTTGTTCATAATGGTTTCTGATTATCTTTTGTATTTATGTGGGATCTGTTGTAATAGCTTCTTTTTCATTTATGATATGGTTTACTTGGGTATTCTCTTTTCTTTTCTTGGTTAGTCTAGTGTGGGGGTTCAGTCAGGATGGTGGGAGAAATTGTAAAATTATAGGATATAGACACAAACCTTCTTGGAAGGCCAGAAGGTATTTGCAAAAGTCTCAAGATAGGGTTATGGCTGAAAGCAGCGTAATCCTTACCTTGAGTTAATTGCTTGGGGCACAGATACAAAGGAACATTTATCTAAATAGCTTGTTTACTCATGTGGTCGTAAGACCAACATTTGATCAACTGCAGATGCATAATTGCTCTCTACTTGGGGGGGTCGGCAAACAGGTCAATTGCCCTCTAGTGGTGTGAACAAATGCGAGCTTTGCTGGTTGATCAGGGCCATAGATGCAACTCTTTACAGCACCTTCCTTGGTGTCTGTGTGTGGCCTGGACCCTCAGCTGAACTGACAAGCAAGATATCTGTGTCAGTGTACACCTCTCATCCATTACTGGGTCAGGGTCTGTGGGTCAGACTACCACAGCTGGTGCCCCGCGTGAGGAATGCTGCAAGGGGAGATTGATGAACCCCCTGAAAATGAAGGTGAAAAAGGAACTGCGCAGTCAGTGAGTAATCAGTAAGTCATTGGTACTTGCTTGGGATTTCCAAGTTCGGGGCGGGGGATTGTTCAGGCTAAGGTTTCATCATGGGACAACAGTTATCAGCTCAACAGAAACAGTATATAAAAGTATTGAAATGGCTGCTTAAAGCTAGCAGAGCCTCAGTTTCACAGGTTTAATTAAGGAACCTAATGCAAACTGTTGTATCCCATAACCCATGGTTCCCCCAAGAAGGCATGCTAGACCTAGAGCTCTGGGAACGAGTGGGAAAAAATCTTAAGCAACATCATGTTCAAGGGTAACGGGTCCCAGTATCATCTTTAATGCTATGGGCCTTAGTAAGGGCGGCTTTGGTCCCATTATACACAGAAGAGCCTAAAAAGGGGAAGGACAAGGCACCATCATGTATTTTACCACCCGCAAGTTCCTCAGCCCTGATATCACCAGGCCAAAATAACAAAGAGGAAATGGAGGTTTTGCCTGAGCCCCCTCCTCCAATAGATAGGAAAAAAGACAGGAGACATGCTCCAGCTATGGGACCTTGTCTTAAGCAAGTGGCATTGGAAGGGGAGCTCTTAGCCTGCCTGGTAATGCAAGACCGACAAGGCAATCAGGTACATGAACCCATTTCTTTTAATGCTTATAAGGAGCTAAGAAAAAGCATTAAAGAAAACAGAGCTGCTAGCCCATTTATGAAAGGAATGATTGAGGCCTTGGCAGACCACTTTTCTATGACCCCATGGGACTGGGCAATGCTAACCAAAACAACTTTGGAGCCTAGCCAATACCTCCTCTGGAAGGCAGAATATGATGAGCTGTGTGAACAACAAGCTAACCAGAATCAGGCGACGGGGCAAGACCTAACAGCTGCTATGCTCCAGGGGAAGGATCCCCATGCCTATGTACAACGACTAGATTTTGATTCCCCAGGCCTAAAATCAAGTGTCTTTGTGTGCTCTCAGGGCTTGGGACTGAATTCCTGAAAGTGGAGTTTAGCAAGGATCTTTTATAAATGTTCAACAAGGGCCTCAGGAGCCATTTGTTGAGTTTTTCAATTGGTTAACCCAGGCAATTAAGAGACAAATTAGTCACGCCCAGGCTGCTGATATCTTATTGTTGCAATTGGCTTTTGAAAACTCTCATGTGGATCACCAGCAGGCAATGCAGGCAATCAGAGGAAAGGCAGCCACAGTCGGGGAACTTATATGAGCATGTCAGCTGGTGGGAACTGAGACACACAAGCCAAAATATTGGTTATGGCATTAAGGCCTCCTAAAGTGAAAAGGGAGAGAAGCCAAAGTTGTTTTCTATGTGGAGAGCCAGATCATATGAAGAGGGAATGCCCCCATAATAGAGACGAAGGTAACTCAGGGAAAGAACCCCCTTCTATATGCCCCGGATGTAAAACGGTGAAACATTGGGCAAATCAATGCAGGTCAAAATTTGATAAAAACAGAAACCCCATAAGTAACCAGGTGGGAAACTTCATGACGGGCTGGCCCTAGGCCCTGCTTCAAACTGGGGCAATCCCACCAGCTTTCCTCGGTCTGATGGAGAGCTCACAGTCCTCTCTCTCAGAGCAGCCACCACTGGGAGTGCAGGACTGGACTTACTCTGCCCCAACAAATCAGTGCTGAAAGAAGGAGAAGACCCTAAAAGGGCTGCATACGGGATCTGGGGCCAGCTGCCTCCAGAAGCAGTGGGATTAGTCCTAGGGCGGTCTAGCCTGTCCAGTAAAGGAATTAATGTGCTCACTGGGGTAATTGGTAGTGATTACCAAGGTGAGATATTGGTTATGATGGAATGTAAAGGTCTGAATATTCTTCCCCCTGGATCAAAGATAGCTCAGTTACTGATTTTGCCATACTGGGTCCCCAGTGCCCACGGAAAGGAAAGGGGAAAGGAAGTTTTGGGAGCACAGGAGCCACAGGAGTATATGGGAATCAATTAATCACTGATCAGAGACCCATGATTATCTTAAAAATTGGAAATAATAATTTTACTGGCTTATTGGACACAGGGGTGGACGTTTCAATCATTAGTGATCAAAACTGGCTAGAAATTTGGCCTTGGGTCACTCAGAAATAAAAAATTGTCTGCATCAGGGAAGCACACAGAGCCAAGCAGAGCATGCACTCCCTAACCTGTTGCAATTCAGAAGGAAGAAAGGCAGTTATACAACCCGTAAGCATGCGCATCCCTGTTAATCTTTGGGGACAGGATTTATTAGCCCAATGCGGGAGGGGTGACTCTCAGCCCCCTTTATAACAATGGCCACTGTTATTATTCCTCCCCTACCCCCGTCGTAGCTCTCTCAAGATCCAATTTGAGTAGAACAGTGGCCTCTGAAGGGAGAGAAATTACAAAAAGCCTGTGAATTAGTTGAAGAGCAATTAAAAGCTGGGCATGTAGAACCATCTATTTGTCCTTGGAATTTGCCCATTTTCATCATTCCCAAAAAGTCTGGGAAATGGAGATTTTGCATGACCTATGTGCTGTTAATGCTAATTTGCAACCTATGGGACCCCTTCAACAGGGCCTCCCATCCCCTGTGGCGATTCCTCGAGATTGGCCTATAATCATTATTGACTTAAAGGACTGCTTTTATATGATTCCCCCAGCAGAACAGGACAGAGAAAAATTTGCATTTACAATACCAGCTATCAATAATGAAAGGCCAGCTTGTTGATTTCATTGGAATGTGCTTCCTCAAGGGATGCTAAACAGTCCTACCAAGTGTCAGTATCATGTAAATCAAGCTTTGCTCCCAGTAGAAAAGAATTTCCTAATTGCAAGATTATTCGTTTTATGAATATTTTACCAGCAACCCCAACAGACCCAATACTTTTAAATTTATATACCTCTGTCATAAAGAATAAACAGCTAAGAGGTTTAATCATTGCACCTGAAAAAGTACAACTTTCTCTCCTTGGAAATATATCTTGGGTACATGCTAACTTCCTGGTCAGTAAGACCTCAAAATGTTAAATTAAATACTAGCAACTTACATTCCTTAAATGATTATCAGAAATTACTAGGTGATATCAACTGGCTCTGCCCCACTTTAGGCATTCCTACTTATAAGCTGCAAAACCTGTTTTCTATCTTAAAGGGCAATATAGCCCTGAATTCTCCCAGATATTTAAACCCTGCAGCAAAAAGGGAAATTGAGGAAATAGAACAAGCCATCTCTCAGAGGCAACTAGATCACATAGACACCCATTATTTCATCCAGTTGTTTATTTTCCCCACCAAACACTCCCCTTCAGGATTAATAGGACCGATGACCCCAGGACTGCGCTTTCTAGAATGGATTTTTTTTTGCTCACATACCAGGACTAAAACACTCTTTCCCTACATTCAGTTAATTAGTAAAGTCGTATATTCAGGCCTCAAACAATGCAGTCAGTTGCTAGGCTATGATCCTGATATCCTGAAATCATCAGGATTCCTTTAAGTAAAAAGCAATTAGAAGCAGTTTTGTCCCTATTGTTAGATCTGCAAATAGCTCTCTCTGATTACACAGGACAAATAGAGCATGTTCTTCCTGCTGATAAATTCCTTCATTTCTTATCTCATACTCCTGTGATCTTGCCTACAAAAATAGTTCACTCCTCCATACCTAATGCTTTAACATTGTTTTCTGATGATTCAGGCAAACATGGAAAGGCGGCAATCTGGTGGAGACCACATAATTCACTCACTCAATCTGGGTTTACTAGCATTCAGAGAGGTGAGATCGGGGCCCTGATATTGGCCTTGGAAACTTTTTCTACTCAGCCATCAATATAGTTAGTGATTCTGCCTACTTTGTTTATTTATTGCAAAATCTTGAAGCAGCCGTAATTAAGTCCACTCTGGAGCCTGCCCTGTGTGCTCTTTTTCTCTGATTTCAGCAATTGCTAGATCAATGTACACATCCTATTTTTATTACACACATTCGAGTCCACAGCTCACTGCCTGGCCCACTGGCTTATGGCAGTGATCAAGGAGACCTTCAGGTGATGACATCACTGCTTGACCAAACCACCCAATCGCATCAATTTTTCCACCAAAATTGGAGAAACTTATCTAAGCAATTTCAACTTACCCAGAGACTGGCTAAACAAATTATCCCACAATTCTCAAATTGCCAGCTAACAGGCATGTCCCCTCCTTCAAAAGGTGTTAACCCTAGAGGATTAGAACCTAATCAGTTATGGCAAATAGAAGTTACATCCCTGAAATTGGAAAACTAAGATATGTACATGTATCCATTGATACCAGCACTCATCTAATTAGTGCACACGCTCTTCCTTGGAGAGTCCACTCAATATGTCATTAAACATCTTCTTTCAACTTTTGCATGTATGGGGCGGCCCATAAAAATTAAAACTGATAATGGTCCAGTTTATGCCAGCTCACAATTTCAACAATTTTGTCACACGTGGAATATCCAACGTTCCATAGGCATCCCGTATAACCCCCAAGGACGGGCCATAGTAGAACGTGCCCACTCCAGCCTTAAAAATATGCTCAAAAAACAGAAAAGGGGGAGTATGGGTAAAGACCCTGCAACACTATTGGCACAAGCCTTATTTACCCTTAATTTTTAAAATGTAGATGACAAATTTCAATCAACTATAGAGAAACACTTTTTGCTAAAACCTCTCAAGACATAAAACCTGCAGTTTTATGGAAAGATGTAAGCAGTAATGTATGGTGTGGTCCAAATGAATTGTTAACTTGGAGAAGAGGGTATGCTTGTGTCCACACCCCCTCAAGTCCTCTTTGGATTCCAGCAAGACACATCAAACCATACCATGACATGGCTAGGACTCAACCCGGTACCAGAAATGAAGGAACTAACCCTGCAGGACCCACGGTCCCGGATGATGCAGCTTCCGTGGATGACACAAACCCTAGACATTACTGGGGGATGCTGAAGAGGACAACTCAGGAGGCTGAATGAACCCTGCTCTGGACACAGACACCATTCACTCCAGATAATTTGCTCCTTGCTATGATTTCTGTTGTACATTGCAACTCATGTAGGGTATTGATCCTTTTTATGCTCGTGCTTTGTCTGCAACCTGTTCCTGCTACACTCTATTGGGCTCATATCTTAGATCCGCCTTTCTTTCACCCTGTCACCTAGGCAGACACTCCCTTCCCAACTTTTAATAACATAACTGCTTGGCTAGGAGGGATAGATTTACCCCCAGTGGGGTCCCTCGATAATGGCATACACTGGACTAAGGTGCCAGACACACTACATATCACTCCACTATCCTCCCACTGTGTGTAAGTTATAAAGATTATAACCCTTACTGTGTACCTGCCCAAACACAATTATGGCTACATCATGGCAAAAGAAATGCCTTTAAAGTCTTAGCTGCAGGTAGCTTCAAATCAGGTAATGCAATCAATGATTCTTTCCCAAACATTCCTTCCTGTGCTAAAGAATAAAGCTGGGAAAGTAATGGATTCCACTTTAGCTGGGAGGTCTGTCACGGGGAATAAGCTTGTAGCCTCCAGCTAGGCCATTATAATACCTTAGACTGGAGCCCCCACGGCCATTTTCAGGGCATCCTTACTGATGTCCTCATCTATCATGGTGTTAATCACAGTTTTGTAGCCTCATCACGTTCCCCTATGATTTAGGCCAATGGGGGGGATGGGTTATCCCATACCCCAAGTAAAGTCCATGCTACCCAAGACACTTTACGGTACCTGGGACATCTTAGCACCTCCTTTTCACCTGGCATGGGACATATCATAATTCCAGTGGCAAATACACTATAACCTTTATTCATAATCACACTGATCAGTGCCTAATTTATACTACCCATACATATATTTTCCTTATGGAAACTGATACTTCCATTACACCCCAAAACTCCGCATTTGTGACCCAGGTGCAGGAACAGGCTTGGTTTGCCTCATGTATCACTAATTATAATACATCTAATTTAAATATTACTAGTGTCATGGTATTAAGGAGACAATCTGAGGCATTCCTACCCAGTCAATTTGACATGCGATTGGCAAGGTTCCTCTGCCCTTGCCACCTAAGAATGTGCCCTGTCCTAGGCCAGACCCAAAAGATACATAGGCACACTTACAGCCTTTATAGTCTCAGCCACAGTCATCCTAGCAACTGCTAGTGTGGCTGTAGCAGCTATTACTGAATCAGTACAAATAGGTGCTTTTGTAGATAATTTGGCCAGAAATGTGTCTAATGAACTTCTCTTACAGCAGGGTCTAGAGCAAAAGATTCTTGCACGTCTGCAAGCCCTTGAGGTCCTTGAGGCTGCCCTGTATGGGGGAGTAACAAGATGCACTGGCATTCTAACAGCAATTAAACTGCGACTGGGCGCATAAACATATCTGTGTCACTTCTCTATCATAGAGTCAATCAATACATAGTTGGGATGAAGTGAAACAACACCTCTGGGGAACAATTCATGACAATTTAATAGCAGATGTAAAGCAACTTCAAACTAAAATTTTAGAATCCCTTCCCACTATAGATCTACACACCCAACAAACAGCCATATGGAAGGGTGTGCAAGATCATCACTCCTGGTTAGACCCCCGCTCCTGGGGTTCACTCTTTGACTGGAAAAGAATATTGCTAATTATTCTCATGATTGTCTTATGTTATTTGCTAATTCTAGGATGCAAAGCCGGAATAAAAGCGATGACTGCCTTGCCTGACAGACGTGTTGCTGCACACAACTGTACACTTCAGTCAACAGAAGAGCGTGTGCACTTATTAGATGAGTGTTGGTATCAATGGATACATGTACATATCTTAGTTTTCCAAATTCAGGGATGTAACTTCTGTTTGCCATAACTGATTAGGTTCTAATCCTCTAGGGTTAACACCTTTTGTGTTAGAACCTGTGAAGTAGAAGTAACTCAGAAGTGCTCCTCAGAGAGTAGACAGCTCTTTCTCTAACCGTTTCCAGCTCAGTAGAATTTAGAAAGGCTTCTAGGAGGCCAACCAGTCTTTTTGATCCAACATTGAATTGTAAAACCGGATATGGAAGCCAAATTTCACAGTGGATGTAACAAAGTAGCTAATGGGTACTATGCTTCTGAGAACCTGAACAGGCCTCTGAGAGCTGTAACTAGAAGAAAAGTAAAGACTCCGGACTCCAGCACCAAGCAGGTTTTCCTTAGCAATTTACAACCTGAAGCTCCAAGGAAAAACTATTTTAGCATACACCAAAACTATTCCCATGTGCCAACAGGTAAGGAGACTTGTACTTATATTCTGTTTTATTCTTCTCTAACTCGTTTCTGTGCACTATTTCTATGTTTTCTCCTTAGTTTTACCTTGCCTGGGTTTGCCCATTTGTTATTCATATCTATTTATCAATCCCAAAATACTAAAAGGATCCAGGCAGGGCAGCTTTAATTGGTGGCTGCACAGAGTGCTACTTCCTGTGAGGCAGCAATTCTAACCCTAGTTGGCATACACTTCAGATTTTCTCAACAGCAGAAGATGTAACCTTCCCAAGAACCCACTTCAACCCTCAGTTCTCTCACTTCTATGTCCACGTGACACTCTGATACATTTTCCCACTATGAAACAGAACTGTTCTCTTGATAGCATGCCATACCTCTCCCTTCTCTGCAACTCACTCAGGACAATCTCAGTACCTTTATTACCTGGTCACAAGTGAGGATGCTTCACACTCAAATCTCATTGGCTGGAGGGAAAGTCATTAAGAAGTGATAATTCTTGTCATCACAGCTTTCTCCAAACCTTCTCCATCGGCATTTTACTCTCACTCTTAGAGCTTAGCTTCAACCATCAAACAGACAGTTGAGTGTTCAACAGTCCCTTTATGGGACAGATTTTTTTAGTTGACTGTGTATTCTAACCCTGAGCAATGGGGCCCCTGGCTAAGAGAGAGAAGGGAAAGCAGAGAGGGAAGTGTTGCAATGCTACCTTTTCAGAGAGGAAATAGAGACAAATAGTTTTTATGGGTGTAATACACAGCCTCCACTGTCCCACAATAAGAGCAATTGAGCTTAAATACCAAAAAGGGCTTTTCTATGTGAGCTGAAAACAGAAAGAGAGAGCAAATGGGAGGATGGGCTGGAGTAATCTTGTTTGAAGTTCTCTCATCCTAAGGAAGAACCTTTTCTTCCTCTGTCATACACGAGTGCTTAGGGCTTACATAAGCCCCATCTGCACGCTGCTAGGAGCAGATCATCCTACTCAAGACAATAAAAAAGGAATCATCATGTACCTTACATATTTAGAGATACGTGAGTACACTTTTCTCATAAATAAAGCAACACACCCCTGCCTGACCTCCTAGGACCTCCATAGTTGAGGTATAGTTATTTGGAGTCAGAGATTCTTAAACCAATCCTGGTTCTGCTTTTTTCACTTCACCAGACCAAACTTGACCAGATTCTTTAATGGCTCCAAAATCACAACCCTTTGAACTATTTTACTCCTGTTTTCCATTTTCCTTTATACCTCTGTCCAGGTGGTACAGATTTTTCTTAAAAATCTATGTCTGAGTGTACAGAGCTTCAAGTAAAGTTCAAGCAGGGAATAGGAGATCTATCACCTTCCTTATTACAGAAATATTGCTGATATTAATGCAGGCTAATGTTATATTAAGTCCCTTGACAGGTATATCAAACTATTTGGTCTTATCCAGTTGGTGGTCAACCAGATAGTTATAAGTGAGATGGAGAGACAGGTCATTCTCTTCCCATAGCCCTCTCTTCCTTACCCTATTTACCCCAAAACGCTGAGGCAGGAAATAATGCATACTCCTTTGTGCACTGCTCCTCCATTTCCCATTTTTAAATGGAGACATACTTAAGGCATAATCTTCAGCCCTTTGCTCATCTCTCTACACTCATTCTCCTGCAGATCTCAGTCACCCTCATGGCATCAATCATGATGCCACAGAAAAACCCATTAGTGTATAGTCTCTGGCTTCATCTCAGTATATGTACTGGGCACATCCGTCTGGATGTTCCGTCATTACCTCAAACTCTGTCCTTAATTTTTTTGTTAGAAACATCTCTTCTCTACAAACCATGCTTTGTGTTCAGCATGCTCATCTGGCATCCAGTTTAAGAAGGATATCTTCTGGCCATGATTTGATTTTTGTATGAAAAAAATCTTTGTTGTAGAAATCAGCATACTATTTTTTTATTATTATTTTTTTATTGATCATTCTTGGGTGTTTCTCGCAGAGGGGGATTTGGCAGGGTCACAGGACAATAGGGGAGGGAAGGTCAGCAGATAAACAAGTGAACAAAGGTTTCTGGTTTTCCTAGGCAGAGGACCCTGCGGCCTTCCGCAGTGTTTGTGTCCCTGGGTACTTGAGATTAGGGAGTGGTGATGACTCTTAAGGAGCATGCTGCCTTCAAGCATCTGTTTAACAAAGCACATCTTGCACCACCCTTAATCCATTCAACCCTGAGTGGATACAGCACATGTTTCAGAGAGCACAGGGTTGGGGGTAAGGTCACCGATCAACAGGATCCCAAGGCAGAAGAATTTTTCTTAGTACAGAACAAAATGAAGTCTCCCATGTCTACCTCTTTCTACACAGACACGGCAACCATCCGATTTCTCAATCTTTTCCCCACCTTTCCCCCGTTTCTATTCTACAAAACCGCCATTGTCATCATGGCCCGTTCTCAATGAGCTGTTGGGTACACCCCCCAGACGGGGTGGTGGCCGGGCAGAGGGGCTCCTCACTTCCCAGTAGGCGCGGCCGGGCAGAGGCGCCCCTCACCTCCCGGACGGGGCGGCTGGCCGGACGGGGGGCTGACCCCCCCCACCTCCCTCCTGGACGGGGCGGCTGGCTGGGCAGAGGGGCTCCTCACTTCCCAGTAGGGGCGGCCGGGCAGAGGCGCCCCTCACCTCCCGGACGGGGCGGCTGGCCGGGCGGGGGGCTGACCCTCCCACCTCCCTCCCGGACGGGGCGGCTGGCCGGGTAGGGGGCTGACCCCTCCACCTCCCTCCTGGACGGGGCGGCTGGCTGGGCAGAGGGGCTCCTCACTTCCCAGTAGGGGCGGCCGGGCAGAGGCGCCCCTCACTTCCCGGATGGGGCGGCTGGCCGGGTGGGGGCCTGACCCCCCCACCTCCCTCCCGGACGGGGCGGCTGGCTGGGCAGAGGGGCTCCTCACTTCCCAGTAGGGGCGGCCGGGCAGAGGCGCCCCTCACCTCCCGGACAGGGCGGCTGGCCAGGCGGGGGGCTGACCCCCCCACCTCCCTCCCGGACGGGGCGGCTGGCCGGGCGGGGGGCTGACCCCCCCACCTCCCTCCCGGACGGGGCGGCTGGCCGGGCGGGGGGCTGACCCCCCCACCTCCCTTCCGGACGGGGCGGCTGGCCGGGCGGGGGGCTGACCCCCCCACCTCCCTCCCGGACGGGGCGGCTGGCCGGGCGGGGGGCTGACCCCCCCACCTCCCTCCCGGACGGAGTGGCTGGCCGGGCAGAGGGGCTCCTCACTTCCCAGTAGGGGCGGCCGGACAGAGGCGCCCCTCACCTGCCGGACGGGGCGGCTGGCCGGGCGGGGGGCTGACCCCCCCCCACCTCCCTCCCGGACGAGGTGGCTGCCGGGCGGAGACGCTCCTCACTTCCCAGACAGGGCGGCTGCTGGGCGGAGGGGTTCCTCACTTCTCAGACGGGGCGGTTGCCAGGCAGAGGGTCTCCTCACTTCTCAGACGGGGCGGCCGGGCAGAGACGCTCCTCACATCCCGGACGGGGCGGCAGGGCAGAGGTGCTCCCCACATCTCAGACGATGGGCGGCCAGGCAGAGACGCTCCTCACTTCCCAGATGTGATGGCGGCCGGGAAGAGGCGCTCCTCACTTCCTAGATGGGATGGCGGCAGGGCAGAGACGCTCCTCACTTTCCAGACTGGGCAGCCAGGCAGAGGGGCTCCTCACATCCCAGACGGGGTGGCGGCCGGGCAGAGGCTGCAGTCTCGGCACTTTGGGAGGCCAAGGCAGGCTGCTGGGAGGTGGAGGTTGTAGCGAGCCGAGATCACGCCACTGCACTCCAGCCTGGGCACCATTGAGCACTGAGTGAAGGAGACTCTGTCTGCAATCCCGGCACCTCGGGAGGCGGAGGCTGGCGGACCACTCTCGGTTGGGAGCTGGAGACCAGCCCAGCCAACACAGCGAATCCCCATCTCCACCAAAAAAATACGAAAACCAGTCAGGTGTGGCGGCGCGCGCCTGCAATCGCAGGCACTCGGCAAGCTGAGGCAGGAGAATCAGGCAGGGAGGTTGCAGTGAGCCCTGATGGCAGCAGTACCGTCCAGCTTCGGCTCGGCATCAGAGGGAGACTGTGGAAAGAGAGGGAGAGGGAGACCAGGGGGAGAGGGAGAGGGAGACCGTGGGGAGAGGGAGAGGGAGAGACACTATTTTTTAAAATATGGAGAGAAGATATTCTGGTGACTGAAAGTGTGGTCTGGTGTCAGATATAAATGTGCAAATGCCTTCTTGCTGTCCTGTCGGTCTCAGTACATTCACCTTATAGCTGCTGGAAATATCGAAGGTTCCTTTTTTGTTTGTGTAAACTCTAATTTCTATCAAGGTGTCATGGACTTTTAAAATTAGTATTTCATTACAAATGTCTCAGCATTGGTCAATTTTTGCCAGGACCATTATTGATCAAGCAAATAAATTCAACAGCCATTAGGAAAAAAAAAGAAGGCCATCTTCTTTTTTCAATAAATGTATTATATAGTTAATAGTTTCATTTATATAGAATGCATAGAAACTGTTCACAGAATGTCCAGCATTTTGTATTTTTGCAGTAGGGAACATTTCTTCACTGAATTCCACTTTCACATTAGATAATTTAATAGTTTTATGGAGAAAGTAAAATGCCCGCCCCCCTCCCCCACCCAAAATTGAAAATTTCAGTTGTTGGTTTTCATGGACACACCTTATCAGGTAATTCCTTTTTATTCCTAGTTTTCTAGGACTTTTTATCATGAATGAGCAAATGCCTTTTTCTGCATCCATTTACATAATTACATAATTTTTCTTTTGTATTCTGTTAAGATGTGGAATCACATTGATTTTTTGCATGTTAAACATGCCTTCCATTCCTGGCATAAACTTTTATGATCATGTTATATCATCCTTTTTAATATATTATTGAATTCAATTTTAAAAAATATTTTGTTAAACATTTTCATGGCTATGTTTGTGTGTCTTTAGTTTCCTTTTCTTTTAATGTCATTGTTTGGTGTTAGTATATTGGACTTGTAAATTATTGGGATGTGTTTTCTTCTGCTCTTTTGTTGAAAGAGTTTGTATTGAGTTTGTATTGTTTCTTCCTTAAATGTATAATAGAATTAATCATACAGACATTAAAAGTATTATGACAGTATTATGACAGAATACTATGGATTAATCAATGAAGCCATCTGACCTGGAAACCATTTGGCCTTCTCTGTGAGAAGGATTTTTAAAATTACAAACTTAATTTCTTCCATTGACAGAGATTTCTTCTTGATTTAGTTTTGGTAATTTGAATCGTTCAAGAAATGTTTCTATTTCATGTTGTTAAAATAAAAATTTTAGAGAAGTTGAATTTAACAGAGTTTATTTAGCAAAGAACAATTCATGAATTGGGGAGCCCTCAGAACCCAGAAAGATTCAGAAAGCTCTGTCCAGCAACATGTGAAGGCAGTGTTTATAGATAAAAACAGGAAGTGATACTCAAAACCAGCCAATTTATTACAGCTCAGTGTTTGCCTTATATGGGCATGGCGTGATGAGGCATTTGCCTTATGGGGGACATAATATGATCACTTGGCAGCCTGTGATTGGCTGAGACTCAGCTATTTATTACAACACTCTTAAGTTAGGCTGTAGTTTGTTTGCATAACGCAGTTATGTTAAGTTGGGTTAGTTTGCTCTGTAGGAATTTAAGATATGGAGAAAGCTTTACACCAAATTTAATTTAATTTAACAATGTAAATTGTCAAATTTATTGTCATTTTTGTTTATTGGCATTTTCATAGCATTCTGTCATAATACTTTTAATGTCTGTATGATTTGTTGTGACGTACCCACTTCCATTTCTGATATTGGGGATTTGAGTCTTATCTCTTTTTCTTGATCCATCTAGCTAGAGATTCATGAATGTATTGAGCCTTATTGAAAACCAGCAATTGACTTTGTTTATTTTCTTTATTGTTTGTCCATTTTATTGCATTTATTTCTGATCTTATTAATCTTGGGATTCATTTGACTTTTTTTTTCTAGCTTCTTAAGATGGGAACATAGATGGTTGATTTTAGAGTTTCCCTCCTTTCCAATTATGTAAAGTTATAAATTATTCTCTAATTAGTGTATCATACTAATTTTGATACAGTGTGCTTTCATATTCACTCAGTTCAAAATATTTTCTAATTTTCCTTCTGACTCTTTTTAAATCCAGGTGCTGTTTAGCAGTATACTTTTTAATTTCTAGGTATTTGGGACTTTCAAGGTATTTTTCTGTTATTGGTTTCTAATTTAATGCTATTGTGGTCCGAGAATGTATTCTGTATGATTTCAATAGAGACATTTATTTATTTAGACATTTATTTATATGTGTTTATGACCCAGTGTATAGTCTGTCCTGTGGAATATTCTTGAGCATTTGAAAATAATGTGTATTCTGCCACTATTGGGTGGAATATTCTACAAATCTTGATTAGATCACGTTGGTTCATTGATAATGTTATTTAAATCTATCATGTCCTCATGAAGTTTTTTCCTAAATATTTTATTGTTTACTGAGTGCTAGAATACTAAAATATAATTGTGAATTTGTCTATTTCTGATTTATTTTTATCATTTTTGGTATAATGTGATTTAAGACATATTTTCTAAGAACAAACACATTTAGGATTGTTATATGTTGATAATAAAATGATCCTTTTATCATTATGAACTATCCTTCTTTCTCCTTGGTAATATTTCTGAGTCTTATATTTCTGATATTAACACAGCCACCAATACTTCCATGGTTGGCATTATTTTCGTTTTTTTTTTTTTTACTTTAAGTTCTGGGATACATGTGCAGAATGTGCAGGTTTGTTACATAGTTATACATGTGCCATGTGGTTTGCTGCATCTATCAACCCATCATCTAGGTTTTAAGCCATGCATACATTCGGTATGTGTCCTAATGCTCTCCCTCCCCTTGCTCCCCATGCCCTGACAGACCCTGGTGTGAGGTGTTCCCCTCCCTGTGTCCATGTGTTCTAATTGTTGAACTCCCACTTACGAGTGAGAACGTGTGGTGTTTGGTTTTCTGTTCCTGTGTTAGTTTGCTGTGAATGATGGCTTCCAGCTTCATCCATGTCCCCACAAACAACATGAACTCATTTTTTTATGGCTGCATAGCATTCCACGGTATACATGTATTTTCCCATTCTTTTACTTTTTACCTGTCTTTGCCTTCATATTTAAAGAGGGCATTATGTAGAGAGCATGAAGTTGGCCTGTAGATTTTTTTGTGCATTCTGACAATCTTTCCCTTTTCATTAGAATATTTAGGCCATGTGCATTTAATTCAATTATTAGTATGGTTGTTTTAAACTCTACCATCTTACAGTTTGTTTTCTTTTTGTCTTACCAGACTTTCCCTTTTTTATTTCTTTATTTTGAATTAATTATGCTTAGTGTTCTATTTTATCTTCTCCATTGGCCTCTTGGCTATACCTCTTTTTTTTTCAATAGTTATCAGGAGCTTAAAATATTCATCTTAATACATTCTACCTTCAAATAATAACACACCACTTAACATGTATAAGAAACTTACAACATTATACTTCCATTTCTCCCTTCTATTCTTTGTGCCATTGTCATCATATTTTACTTCTGGGTATGTTATAAACCCCCAAATAATTTTTACTTTAAACAATTCCTTTTTTAACTTAAAAAAAACTAGAGAACATGTTTTTATATTTATCTGAATTTTTACCATTTCATGCTTTTTTCATCGTAATATCTAATGAACACTCATAAAGAAACAAAATCCTTGCTCAAATAAGATATTTTTCTTCATAATCATCACTATTCTCAAACCTTTGAAAGCTCTGGTAATCATGATTTAAGTTCTCCCACATGGAGTGACTATGGCTGGTAAAAATTGCAATGAATTAGGGCATTTTAAAAAATTTATTTCTTGGCTCTTAGTTTATCATGTAGAAAAATCCTCCATGAAATATTGCTATAATTACAATACAGCCTTGGGAAGGAAGCTCAGGGGCTGTGAATGGAATCCTAATCTGCCTGAAATCTTGATCCAGACAGACCAAATCTCTTCCCTCAGAGACTTCAAACACTGCAGTCTTCAAACTACATCCAAGAAAATCTTCATCCAAGTAAAATTTCCCCCAAATATCCTTTCTCTACCCCACCCTATCCTGTAGTTAGGGAAAAACCCAGGACTGAATCAATATCCTCAGACCTTTCCGTTCAAGTGGGATCAGAACCTTTAGTAACCACATCGGCAACAGAGGTTGAAACCACACCTTCAAGAAATAGTATTCACATGTGACCTGGTCCTAGACTTCCAGTAAGAATGACTCAGAGTCTCCCCGCTCTGAAATACTGAAGTATTTATTGGTCTTAGGGTATTCTCGGGAAGGTGACAGTGAGGGGCTCTTCAAAGGAGAACAGAGGATAAAAGGCTCAATGAAAGGATAATCTCCATATTAGTGCTACCAAAGTGTCATTAATTTCTATTTGTTGGAAACTTTACTAAGGAATGACTGCTTTGAGGTAATGGATAAGGACAGAGCTTGAAGGGTCAGCAATTCAGTCAGCCACTGGAGTAGTTTTCACATGAAGTGAGAAGAAAAGCTGAGATGGAGTTTGTAGGGCAGCTGGAGTTCAGATCTCTCCTAAGTCCTCTTCTGTTCAGATATTTTGTCACCTGCAGCAACACACACAGTTATTGTCATTCCTGGGTTCAGTACTGTAAGCCCGGACCCATCTTCCCCACTCCCTTTGCACCCGAGCTTCCCATTTCTCTGCCCTGTTCAGGTCCCAGGGAGAAGGTGGTCATCCCTGCACATGCCCTGGCCCTCCAGGTGAAGAGCACATAGGAGCCAAGGAGTTCACGAAAGTCATTGAATTTCACCCTCAAACCCCAGCTGACTGTGAGGCCATCCCACATGCTTCATGTCTCCAAAATATACAGACAAGGGGAAGGGCCACATTACTGAGGGCAGAGAAGAAGCTTAACCCTGGAATGAGAATTGGAAGGGACAAATATCCAAACCATATCAATGACGGCAATGAACGAAGGATACTTGCTCACATTGTGTATACTGCTCTTTGAAAGGATTTCAAAAACCAAGGTAAATTTTCTAAAATGACCTCTGTTGAACATCTGACAGCAGTACTTCCTCCTTCCTGAATTCTTTAATTCCTTGGCTCATGTGACAGCATATTCTCCTAATTCTTCTGCTTCTCTGCTTCTCCATTTTTGTTAAATACTCCTCTTTGGATGTTTTGTTAATCATGTATCTTTGCATTAATTTTGCCTTTTCAAGATATTTCATTAAAATATGATTTATTACTGAGTTCTTTTGGTATCCCCCAAATTTTGCACCTAAGCCAAGTGCATCCCCTACATCACCCTAGTCCCAGCCCTCTTTTCCATTCTTCCTCTTAACATCTGACATTCTACATTCACTTCACTCTGTTACAAATCATTATAGATATAATTATAAATGTGTGTGAACTAAGAAAAATAAACAAGAATTTGTCCTACTGGATACTAACACACACTACAATGTCATAGTAATCAAAATACTAGGACACTGGCACAAGAAGAGACAAACAGAACAGTGGAACAAGATGGAACTCAGACACAGGCCCACCTATAATGGGAGCTTTCAGTATAGCAAAGGAGACACTACTAACCTATGGGGAAAAGGTGAACTATTTAGTAGTTGTGGGAACACACTGGCCCATTATATAAAGAAAAATAAAACATGATCCCCATCAAACACAAAGATGAATCCCAGATGAATTAAAGTAGTAAATGTGAAATTTAAAACTGTAGGAGATGTTTTAAGAGTATCTTTGATATCTCAGTATAGGGAAGACTTCTTTTAAAAAAGACACACAAACAAAAATACAGTTGATGGACTTCATTACAAAATATTAAGGATTTCTCTTCAATAAAGGAAACCAAGGAGACAGTTGCCAGAAGTCAGATTAGAGGAAAACATTTGCAATGCCTAAAACTGACAAGGGACTACTAGCAGGACTATATAAGGATCACCTGCAAATCAATAAGAAAATGATGGAAGCACATAGTACAAAAATGGACAATGAATGTGAACAGGCAATTTATAGAAAAGGAACCCCCAAGTGGCTAATCAGTCCTAATTATAACCCCAATTATTAGTAATTAAAGAAATGCAAAATAAAACAGCATATTTCTTTATGCACATGAAATTGGCAAAAGTTAGAAAACTGGATAATGTCCAGTGTTGAAGTCCATTTAGGAGTTGCAGGACAATTAGAGTACTGACAAAGGAAGTTCAGATGAGTACAGCCATTCTGATGAGAAGATGAGCAGTGTTTAGTCAAATTAAGGAGCTGCATCTCCAGCAACCCTGCAACCCCTTTCTAGGATACATACATTCCAGGGATGCAGGTCAGGCCCACATGTATATGCAGTTCCATGTGAGATACAAGCATTGCTTGCAATAGTAGAGAACCAGGAATGATCCAGGTATCCCAGGAGCAATGTAGATATGTGGATTAATATGATTTGGATATTTGTCACTTCCAAGTCTCATGTTGAAAATTGATCCCCAGTGTTGCAGGTGGGGCCTGGTGGGAGGTATTTGAATCATGGAGGAGACCCTCATGAATGGCTTTGTCCCCTCTCCGGGTAATGAGTGAGTTCTCACTCTATTAGTGCACATGAAACCTGGTTGTTAAAAAGAGGCTGGCACCTCTTTCTATGTCTCTTTCTCCCTCTATGACCATGTGATGCACTGGCTCCACTTGCCTTCCACCA
Source organism: Homo sapiens (assembly GCF_000001405.40). Lineage (NCBI taxonomy): Eukaryota > Metazoa > Chordata > Mammalia > Primates > Hominidae > Homo > Homo sapiens. The sequence continues at coordinate 4,262,086 of NT_167248.2, forward strand.
TGAGTAAAAGCTTCCAGAATCCCCCAACAGAAGCAGATGCTAGTGCCATGTTTCGCGTACAGCCTGCAGATCTGTGAGCCATTTAAAGCTCTTTTCTTCGTAAATTAGGTAACTTCAGATATTCCTTTATAGCAATGCAAAATGGACTAATGCATGGACATATAAAGTAAAATACTATGGAAGATTTGGAAGAAACAAACTGGATGTACAAAATTAGATCTATAATTTAATGCCATTTTGGTTAATTAAAAATACATGTACACTGGACACTACTACATATTACAGAGGATCTATGCAAATAAAAGGAAACATCAAATTCATTAAAATGTTTACCTATGAGGTAGGGGTAAGAGGTTAGATATGGGAGTAAGGACTGGAGATAAAAGGGACCAAATAAATCAAGGGAGAGAGAGAGAGCTCGGAGGCACCAATGATGATCATATAATGAACTGAGAAGTTCTTAACCTTTTGTACCTGAGGTCCAGCATGAATAACAATAATAATAATGAATTAGATGTGGTCATCTGCATGGAAGTTCACTGTCTAATGCTAAGAGAATTCCCAAAACATATAAAAATATAAAGCATGGTGAGTGTTATGATAAATAGAAACCTGTAAGATCTCTGGAGGGGCATTTTTTGTGTGAACATTGCCATGGAATGAGTCCAAGTAGAGACAGTAAGTAGTTACAGGCACCCACCACACTGTGTTGTAATTATGTATAGAAATATAGATCTGACTCCATTATTTGGCAATGGACTCTGGAGAATTTGAACTTGGTCTTTTCCTTCACAAAATAGGGTGAATAGGACAGTGGATAAACAGTCTTGGATCCAGACTTTCTGGATTGGAAGCTAGCCCTACTACTTCATAGCTGTGGGAACTTGATCAAAGTGCTTAAAGTCTCTGTGTATGTAAAAAGATGTAAGTATCTCTCATGTGAAATAGTGAAAATAATAGTACCTACCTCAAAGACTATGTGTGAGAATAAAGTGAGTTAATAAATGTAAATCCTCAGAATAGCGCCTGACCATATTAACTACTCAGTTAGTTATCGGTGTTGTTGTTGTTATGTGGCTGAATGCTTTTAACCCATTAGAAGATCAATGAACACTTATCAGATTGAATTTTTCCTCCCTTCCTTACATTCTACAAATCCTAGGGCCTCCTCTTTACATTCCCACCTTTACAGTATTTCACAGGGTCCCCTGGGCCCGGGGGTCATGGCCAGAACGCAGAGACTTTATGATGAGGACGGTGCCCACGATGATGCCGACTAGGCCCAGCACCAGGCCCAGGGCACAGAGCACAGTCTCCGTTGTCTCAGGCATCTGGATTGGCTCTTGGGCCTCTGGGGGAAGAATGAAGAGATAGGGTCAGGAGGTGCAGTGAGGGTGGTGATGGCCTGGGATGGTTGTGGGAATTGAAGGTTATGGACCAGTTAATTGGATGTTAGGACGAGGAGAGGACTGAGACCCAGCCAGTGCGGAAAGCTGGTGCAGAGGACACCAGGTCTTTGGAATAGAGGATGCCAGGAGATTATGGAGAGAAAAGCAGTTGCATACCCCAGTGCTTGAGGAGCGGCTGGTCCAAGCCCCAGTGCTCCACCCTGCAGTCATAGAAGTCCTCTGCTGAGGGCACAAAGGTCAGGTAATGGAACTTGTGGAAGCTGTAATCTGTTCTGGGCAGGAAGAGGCTCTCAGCGACACCCTCAGTGACCAGCTCCCCGTTGCACAGCCACGTGACGTTGAGCACTGGTGGGAAGAACTTGTCAATGTGGCAGATGAGGGTGTTGGGCTGGCCCAGCTCCACAGGCTCCTTGGGAAACACGGTCACCTCAGGGGGATCTGGAAGGAGACAGCACCAGGTTAGGCCCCTCTTCTGGGATGAATCACAAAGGCTCCACCTCTTAGGGGAGGGTGGTCCTCTACCTCAGCCTTAGATTTTATGGCAGCTCTGAATCACAGACAGGGGTATCACACCACTGACCAGCCTCACTCTGCTCACCTTTCTCTCTCCTGAGAAGAGAGGATGCAAGCCCTTGCTGTAGTGGGATCAGCCCATGGCCACTAGGGGAAGAGGATCACACAGCAGGGGGCACTTAGGCTTCCTAGTCTGAGGGTGGCAGAGAGGCCCTCTCATCCCTTCCAGTTGGGCTACAGAGGAAGAGGCAAAGATAGGGCGTACCGTTGGTGGCCTGAGTGTGGTTGGAACGCTGGATCAAGGTATTCAAGTTGTTGTTCAATATAGCAATGTTAGCCAGCCCGCCCTGAGCCTCAAAGGAAAAGGCTTGGCCAAACTCCTCCAGATGCCAGACGGTCTCCTTCTTGTCCAGATCCACATAGAACATCTCATCTTCATCAAATTCAAACATAAACTCCCCTGTTGGTCTATGCGTCTGTACAAACGCGGCATAAGTTGACACATGGTCCGCTGCATAAAGACAGTAGAGAAAAACACGACAAAATGTCAGTTTGAATATGCAAGTGGTCAAAGCTAGAGAATGAATAAAGACTTATGAATATAAAAAGGAAGAAGGTAAGAGGTCAAAGGAAGGACATATGGGGAAGAAGAAGGAGCAACACCATAAAGGAAATAATACAGAGCAGATGAGCAGTTATAAAAAGAAAGGAGCAAAGAACAAAATGAAAAGTTTATCACTGATAAGTCAAGCTGCTTCCTGGTCTTTGAAAGTCTGGGCATCCTGACCCTACACAATAGTAATAGTAACAATGACAGCTAACATTTGTTGAGCACTTACTTGTGCCAGGCATCCTTCTAAATACTTTACATATTTCAGTCGCTGAATTGTCACAATAACCCTATGAAGCAAATACATATCATACATTTTACAGGTAAGGAAATGCAGGGAAGTTACATATTAATAACTTGCTAAGGTCATACGGCTACTGGCGGAACTAGTAGAGAGGTTTTCTCTCCCATTAAGATCTTAATTTTTCTATGACACAGATGTAAAATTGTTTTTAGAGTCATGGGGGTGGGGGAATGGACATTTTCTTTTTCTTATTATAGAAAAGGTAGAAAAAAATACAAAATTGAGAGGAAGAAGAAAATATCCTTCAAATTTTAGGGCTCTTGACAGTTTTAAAGTTTCTGTCTTAGTTTATGAACATGAAACTGTAGAATGTATAGCTTTGTTGATAATATTTTTCATTTGGGGCATATAAATTCAAAAGTACAGTACAGTTATTTTGGCATTTGTTCCAAACTTTTGTTTCCTTTTTAAAAATATTTCAACATTTATTTTATGTTCAGGAGTACATGTGCAGGTTTGTTGTATAGGTAAACTCATGACTTGGGGGTTTAGTGTACAGATTATTTCATCACACAGGTACTAAGCATTCTAAACTTTTCTTACATTTATATTTTGATTTTTGTTTTAGAGGCCAACTAGAAATTATTGCTGAGTTTGGAACACCTGTAGGATTTAATTTATTTTGTTTCTTAGTCTTTATTAGTTTGTAAGAATTAGCAAAGATAAGAGGATAAAAGCAACTATTATCATGAAAGAAAACGATGAATGTGTATGTGAAAGTCTGGGTTTAGAATGATAAATGCATCAGAGTGAGAAGGAACTACGGGACTCTTCTGCTCTCACCTCCCAACTCACAGATTTCCCTGTGAGTTTTCAGCCCTGACATGTGGGGACCCAGTCTGTGCTTGGCCACTTACAGTGACAGGAGAATGACTCCTTGCCACTGTAATTGTAAGTGTCTAGAGGGTATGACCTGTGTCTTATTTTTCACTGAGAATGACTCCCTGACACAGTAAGTGGCCAAGCAAAGAGTGGTATTTGAAACTAAACAAAACAAATCCTATAGGTATTTCACTAGGAAACTTAGCTTGCTCCTCAGTTTAAAGGACTCAAAGGACTCATCAGGAAAAAGAGGGTAAAATAAAAAGACACAAAGTCCTCTAGCAGTTATTGGAAACTCATCTTCTTAATACATGAATGTCCCTTGTACTTTTTAAAATGCTTTTTAAAAAACACTTTCACAAGTTCTGCAGTCCAAAGATCAGCCAGCTATGGAACAGATTATTTTTCTTCAAAATATCATTTCCATTCAGACAAAAATATGTATTAAAAGACTACTATATGTCAAACACTGTTAGATGCTAAATACCCAAATAAAAATAATACATACGTCCTGTTCTGCAGACGCGTATAAGTCACAGAAGGAAACACAAGTGACAGGACAACAGCAGGTTCAGAAGGATAAGTGCAGATACGTAGGTATACACAAGATGCGACCAAACAGCACATCAGGGAAGGCTTCCTGGGGAACAGATGGCTTCAATGTAGGCATTCAGAAAACAGGGCAAAAGCCACTTCTCTCAGGGAAGACAGCCTGACCGGGAGAAGATACTGAGTTCACTGTGGGGCTATTGCACTTAGAAGACCTGAAAGTCATCTAAGGAGAAATAATACATAGATATTTGTGGATTATGGGTGGTCTCAGGAGAGGAATTTAGGCCATAGAACTGAGAGTCATTAGTGGCAGGTGCAGGTTAAATAAGATTTTCCAGGAAGAGTGCCAAAAATCAGAATTGCCGAGATCTCAGGGTATAATGAGAGAACATGATAGTTAAGAGGTGGTTTAAAAGATGATAAGGAGGATCCAGGTAAACAGGAGAAAAATAAGGACAGGGTAGTTCATCAGAAAGAAGTGGATTATAGTGCAAATGTTATTAGTAACTCAAGTCAGAGGCACTGAGAAGAACCCACTGAATTTGACCTTCTGTAGAGGTTCCTGATGGCCAAGATGAGAGGATCCTCAGGGATGTACCAGAGACAAGTCAGAAGCTTAGCTCCACGTGTGAGGACACAAAGAAAGTGTCTCTGGGACAGGATGCAGACTGAAGGCAAGGTTGTTTTTTATCAGTTGGTTTGCACTTATGTTTTTAAGGTAAATGACATGTTTAAATGTTAAGAGACTGGGCAGGGAAGCCCTGAAGAGACAGCTGAGCTCATTAGGAATTTCTACCAAGAATACTAAAAAGTATTTGCATCTATGAAGAGAAGCCTATTGTGGTGTTTATTATAACATAACATTAGAAATAACTCAGGTGACCGCGAACAGGGCAATAGATACTTCTGGTTCTACCCAGCCTGACCTCCTCTTTATTCTACACATCTTAAATAAAACTGTCTGAAGCCAGTGTGCATCTTGTACGTTATGGATTCTAACCTTCCCCATCACTAGATTTTGGAATGACAGCATCATGCACAGGCTTGATGTCATTCTCCCTGATTTCAGCTACAGGAAAAAGGAGCATTCACTACGGTCCATCTCTGGCTGAGTCCTTGCAGCTATCAAAAGTCTAGGCCTCCCTTGCAGTCCTGAATCTCTCAGAACCCGAATCACAAGGCTATCAAGACCATGCAACCCTGCTGTCTTGAGAGAGGAAAGCTTGTGACCACCCACAAAGACCCAGGAAGAGCCCTAGGGTCCTAGAAGAGAGGGAGGATACAGAAACACTCTTTGCACTTCGTCTCCTAATGCAGAGTCCATAGCTCGGAGTTCCTGTAAAGCAGCCACAAAAGATAGAGGCTGGGGATCCCAGAGAGATAGGAGGGCCCTGATAGTAGGTCACTGTGTGCAGGAATCTGGGGAAGGCAGTGTATGACCCTCAGAGCTGGGTCTGGACTTCAAACTTGGCTCGTTGATCTGCTGTGTAACCTTGGAAAACTTATTCATCTTTTTGAGCTTCAGTTTTTTCAAAATAATTTCTAAATAAAAGGAATAATTTCTAAATGAATGGAATATTATCTTCATTGAAGATTCCTGTGAGATGTAAATGGGGAAAGAAACTATGCAGGAGTCTCATAAATTCTGGCTGTTATTGCTGTTATTATTATGAGGGCCAGAGGGAACATAGACTATGAGGACCAGATAGATCAATGAGCCCCTAAAATCTGTGATCCCTGAAGCAGCAATTGATGTGAACCACCCCATCACTCACCCCGACGCTCCTGCGTCCTCCTGAGCACTCACCCTTGATGGCCCCAGCTCCTCGGAGACTCAGCAGGAAAGCCAAGGAGAGGGCTCTCAAGATCACAGCTCTGATATGGAACATTCTGTCTTCAGGGCGCATGTTGTGGGGTCTATAATTGATGACTGTGAGCACAGGAACAGTGATGAGGAACTGAGGCCGAGTGGAGGCAGATGAGACTGAAACTGTGGGCCTCTAGCACTGGAAATGGGTGGAGAGGAATCAGCATGGCTGGGATTCACCTATCAGAGAAATCATAGAGCTGACATTCTCTGTTGCTGGGTAAAGAGGACGCTGGAAGGTGCTGGGGAAGAGATGGGAGAATTTTAGGTACCAGCGTGGTCAAGAGAGCTCCAGTTCACAGTTCATTTTCAGAGTTAGAGAAAGAGATGTAAAAAGATAAGTTACACCTTCTTCTGACGGCAAATGTTTTCCATTATGTTCCTTCTCCCGAGCCCCACCCCCATCCCAGACAGTCAGATGATCTTCGATGTTTTTTGGTCACTATATTTTAAATCATGTTTTATGTTATGTTGTCAATATTTTACAAAAATATTCTGCTGATAATTAAGAATGAATGTGCTATCTAATAAAATATATAATTAATCTTTCTTTCAGGTCCACCTCCCTGAGATACCTCCTTTTTATTTAATCATTTCTGCAGAAGTGTTATAATTTCTATTTAGAGGTTTTAATTAACTTGAATGAAGTTGATCTTTAATTGTTTATCTATTCCTGGTTACCTTTGTTAGTGAAATTTCTAGATAATTTTTATTTTTCAGATTTCTTAGTATTTGATTTTTCCTGGTATTTAAACAGTGTAATAACATTTTTATCTTTAAATTACTAGTCTTGTTATTTCATTTTCATATAAGAATACCCAGGACAGCATTACCTGTGGTAACAATGTGCGCCCATATTTTGATCTTGTTTTTAAGAAGGGTTTCTCTAATGTTTTTCTGTTACAGGTAATGTTAATTTTTTATTTTATATTCTCTTTACCATATTTAAGAAATACTTTTCTAGTCTCATTTTAAATATTTCAATTTTGAGCTATTTATTTGATACTCATAGAGAAGGTCACAAAACATTTACTATTTAATGTAATGATGAAGTACATATATTACGTTAATATTTTATCTTATTTGTGGTAGCCTTACCTTGCATAAATAATAATTACTAACAGATTAGGACATGAGAGATTCTGTTATTAGTGCTTTGCATGCATTACCTCATTTAAACCTCATATTAAACCTGAGGGAGGTATTATTAATGTCTACTGTAAAAATAAATTACCTGAGACATCGAGGAAGTATTTGTCTAATTATCTATGGCAGGTAAATGACAAGGAGAAAAGTCCCACCCAGGCAGTTACTAAAAAAACTGAGTTTTTCTCCACAATCCTCTCCTGGCCCCTTAATCCTACTAGACACCTTCTACTACATAATTATTTTCTTCTCTTGCATTTTACATGCTAGCCTTCTATTTACATTTTAATATTGATTTAAAGAAATGATGCCAATTTGATTTTTTTTGAAATTAGAATTGGTGGTCCAACAGGATCACATTTATAAGTGTCTAAAGTAAGAAGTAATGTTCTTTGAAAGTTTGTAAAAATATTCACTCTAAACAAAATAGAATCAGATGCTTTGAAGGAGGTGGGGTCTTTGATGATTTTTTTTCACTTTCTTCCTTATTTACCAGTCAATTTATATTCTCTATGGACTTTATTTTTCCAAAGCAATTTCAGACCTATTGATCTCATTTGATCTTAAGAGCTTTGCTATAAGGCAGGTTATATCATCCCCATATTGAAGACAAGGAATCGAAGTCCAAGAGAGGCAGTGTCGTTAAAGCTGCATATTTACATGGTAGGGTAGGTGGTGTGTCCACGCTCCCAGTGTAAGGTCCCTAGACTGAGCCCTCCTGACCCTGATGACAGTCCTGTGGAAGAACCTGGTAACTCCTGCACATCGCAGGACTCACAGACCTCTGGGAGAAAGTAAATATGAATGGGTGCTAATCTTAAACACACCCTTGGACAAAGGCAAGACAGACAGACTCAGACCTCATTTGAGTTCTGAGATGGGTACTCTAATCCCTCTAAGTCATGCCACTGAATGACCTTTTACACACTAAGATAGCACTTTTTCCACAACAGACCATGTCCTGTGGGTGTGTGAGGTGTGGCAGAATTGGGGAAATGATAATCCCTGTAGATGGGCCAGCAGAATATTTGAGATCACCTTCAGAGCAAAGAAAACGCATAATCTCGCCAAACATCATGACTTATCTGACTGGTTAAAATGAGTATCACTGTCTTTCCTCCGTCATCTTAAGTGCATCACAGGCTTTATATTTTCAGACCTTTCATACTAACTTTCTGCCTAGTGAGCAATGACTCATACAAAGCTCAGTGTCCATTGGTTCTTTTCTCAGACTCTGTCCAATCCCAGGGTCACAGAAGACTACTTGGGTTCATGGTCTCTAATATTTCAAACAGGAGCTCCCTTTAGCGAGTCCTTCTTTTCCTGACTGCAGCTCTTTTCATTTTGCCATCCTTTTCCAGCTCCATGATGGTTCTGCAGGTTTCTGCGGCCCCCCGGACAGTGGCTCTGACGGCGTTACTGATGGTGCTGCTCACATCTGTGGTCCAGGGCAGGGCCACTCCAGGTAAGAGCCGAACTGCCATTCTTGGAGGGTCTGGCTCAGGGAACAATTCCTAGGGGACGTTATCTTTAAGGGATCAAATTCTGAGACAGGCTGCGGGGGCTCCTGCCCTAAGGCAGTGTCCTCTCTTCCCAGCTAGAGAAAGAGGTTCATCCCCTATAGGATAGCTTGCTACCCTACTGGCCTATTCTCTCTCCAAGGACATGGGTACAGTAAACAGAGAGAGGTGCCCAGTGGTCAGTATGCTTGTCTTTGGGGAAAATGGGACCAAGAGGTCCTGGATAACCTTGGACAGACAAGGTTTGCAGAGAGAGAAGTTGGCAAGTGCAGGCTCCTGGGCGTGTTCATGTCTGCATCCAGCCTGGAGGGGACTCAGGCAGAGAGCCCTAAGCTGGAGTGTCCAGGCTCTGAGGATCACTGAGGATTCAGTGCTCACGAAGAATGCCTCTTATTCCCCAGGGTGGAGCAGGAGCCCACATCCCTTGGACAATTAAGGAGAGAAGGGAGGGAGGGGGATAGGTTTTAGCCCCTGAAGGCATTCTCATTAAAGGTACTTCTCCCAGCCTCCCCAGAACTTGGTTAGGGTACTAGAGTGGGTTGCGACTTGTAGGAAGAATGAGATGAGGTTGTGTGGGTGCATGACAGGGATTGAGTGTAGGTTATCAGACAGCCAAGGAAGCAGTAACCAAGTGAAAAATCTCTTCTTCCTGCTGCCTCCCTGTGGCTGGTGTAATATTATGGCATCTATGATCCATTGTTTTTCTCTCAGGATACTCTCAGGATATTTCTTTTTATATATATATATACTTTAAGTTCTAGGGTACATGTGCACAACGTGCAGGTTTGTTACATATGTATACATGTGCCATGTTGGTGTGCTGCACCCATTAACTCGTCATTTACATTAGGTATATTTCCTAATGCTATCCCTCCCCCCTCCCCCCACCCCACAACAGGCCCCGGTGTATGATGTTCCCCTTCCTGTGTCCATGTGTTCTCATTGTTCAGTTCCCACCTATGAGTGAGAACATGTGGTCTTTGGTTTTTTGTCCTTGCAATAGTTTGCTGTGAATGATGGTTTCCAGCTTCCTCCATGTCCCTACAAAGGACATGAACTCATCCTTTTTTATGGCTGCACAGTATTCCATGGTGTATATGTGTGCATTTTCTTAATCCAGTCTATCACTGATGGACAGTTGGGTTGGTTCCAAGTCTTTGCTATTGTGAATAGTGCCGCTATAAACATATGTGTGCATGTGTCTTTATAGCAGCATGATTTATAATCCTTTGGGTATATACCCAGTAATGGGATGGCTGGGTCAAATGGTATTTCTAGTTCTAGATCCTTGAGGAATTGCCACACTGTCTTGAGATACCATCTCACACCAGTTAAAATGGCGATCATTAAAAAGTCAGGAAACAACAGGTGCTGGAGAGGATGTGGAGAAATAGGAACACTTTTACTCTGTTGGTGGGACTGTAAACTAGTTCAACCATTGTACTCTCAGGACATTTCTAGTCCAAATTTACACCAACACTCTGAGAGGAAGGACTGCAAAGTAGGTACCTTAGTTTTCCACTGACTTCCACTTTTCCTGCTTACACCCTTCCTCCTAGACCTCTCCACACCCCTCCTAGGACACACCTAAAAGGTACTGACATCATGTCACCTCCTCATCTTTCAGGGTAGCAAGGTTGGAATCTCCTGAATACAGCCCCTCAAGCCCTAAAACCTCTTATCTATTACCTTGGGTTCATTGTCCAGGAAGGGGAGGAGAACTTGAACTTGTAGTCACAGAAGGGTGCTGAGAACTAACCAGCAGGACGGCTCAGCCCTGGGAACTGCAGAGGGGTGAGGCTGGGGAGAGAGGAGGCTGGAGCAGCACTGGTGACACTGAACAGTGTCAGGAGGAAGTGACGGATGCAGCGCCCCCATCCCATAGGCAGAGCTGTCATGTGGGATGAGGGACAGTGTTGGGAGCCACCAAGGAAACCCAGAGGTGGGGGAGCAGAGAGCAGAAGGGAGCATGTGATGCTGGACAGTGAAAGGGAGGACAGGCAAAGGCTGGGTTGAGGTTTGTAGGGGGAATGAGATGAGGCAGTGGAGCCATGTGACAGGGACTGAGGGTAGATTACTGGAGCTCCCTGCGTAGAATGAATGTTCAATCAAAATTTGCTGGAGGGAGAGCTGGAGCCATAGGGGAGTGGGTAAAGTGGGCAGGGCTGATTCCACAATTCCCTGCATGCTCCCCCAACTCCACACACATCCCCAACCTCAAACAGGGCACAAGACCAAAGGGCTGAGGAGCCAGGCTATAGCTTAAAGAGGCTGGGGGAGAAAAGCTTGGCTGAGACAACCCATAGGGAGCTAGAGGTTTTTAATATATCCTATTCTGAATAAGAGACGAATTCATTCAGATCAGTGGTTTCAAACCGTGCTCTGGGCAACTCAATTGCTAAGGGTTCCACAAACAGGATAAAGTTTCTTATATACAAAAAAAAATGAAGGTTTCAAATTACACCATAAAACCCCTCATTGCTTATGTCTACTTGGCAGGTAAAATTCCATTTCAAAAGTTAAATGTACTTAAAAAATTACCTAAGACTGGGTAAATTAAAAAAATTAAATGTTGCAAAGAAAAAATTCAAAATTCTTATTCTTGAATGAAAAACGTTCTCTTACTGGTGATTGAGGAGGAGAAACAAAGACTAACAAATGAAAATGGGAGAATCCACACTCAGAGTGGGGCAACTGAACAGGCAGGGGCGGATGGATGGCAGAGGAGGAGGAATCTGGACTCAAGGAGCTGGGGGGCTCTGGGCCTGGAATTTTAGGGTCTGGGGCCCAAGGCACCAGGAGAAGAGGCAGGTCAGGATATCTGAGTCAAGACCTGGGATCTTGCCTTAGCAATGACACTGGAGACTAAAGGTGGACTCCATGGTGCCCTTGAGCCCAGCCCTACCCCATCTCCACTATCCTCTGCCACCAGCTGTGCAACTTCTGCTAGGGGTGAGGTTAATAAACTGGAGAAGTTAATTTGTGGAGCATGAAACAGATGAGCAGAACAATCACAGCACCTTAATTTCCCCAGTGTGCCCAAGAACAGAGCAGGCCTGAAGATACTCAAACAGAAACAAACATGTGCCGTGTCACTGATAATTCTGTGTAGACACACACCTGCCAGACACTGCTCATGGCACTCCCTAGGAAGAACAGCATGTGGGAAAGGCTGCCAAAATTGTTCATGTAAAAATTACATCAATGCTGTCTTCCTCGGTGCTGCCTATGCAGCTGGCAGCCATCTCTTCCTCCACATCATGGCCTCCCTCAGACTCCTCATGAAGGATAAGATCCTCAAAAAGAGGACCAACAAGTTCATGAGGCACCAATCAGACTGAAATGTCAAAATTAAGCATAACTGGCGGAAACCCAGAGGTCTTAACAGTAGGGTTCGTAGAAGGTCCAAGGGCCAGATCTTGATGCCCAACATTGCTTATGGGAGCAACAACAACAACAAAAAAAACATGCTGCCCAGTGGCTTCCAGAAGTTTCTGGTCCACAGCCTCAAGGAGCTGAAAGTGCTGCTGATGTGCAACAAATCTTACTGTGCTGAGATCGCTCACAAAATTTCCTCCAGAACTGCAAAGTCATCATGGAAAGAGTCACCCAGCCGGCCATCAGAGTCACCAACCCCAGTACCAGGGTGCACAGCTAAGAAAATGAGTAGAAAGTTCATGTCCACGTTTTGTGTGTAAATAAAACCATAAAAACTGCCAAAAAAAATTACATCAATGCCTCTAAACCCAAAGGACTCTACCCCCACAGGTCCCTGGTTGTTGTGGTGATTTTCATTGTGTAAAATACTTTCCACATCTTTTGACACCAAGTCTTTCTGCAGCCATGTTTGAAAATTAACTTTCAGGCTACAGAGTCTTTCTTATACCAAAGTTGAAGAAAGTTTTAAGAAATATATTTCTACATCTCCTACATGCAAAACAACAGGAGCAAGTTGAGGAATTCTCAAGAAACTGGTCGAGAAGAGAGAGCGCTTAGCTATGGAAAAGAGAAAGAAGGAAGGGAGGGCTTCCTGGAGGAGGTGGCATTTGAACCAGGACTGACATCAGGATGGAAATGTCAGTCAGGGAGTTAAGTAGGGGGAGCAGCTCCGCCCTCCACGTCCCCAGCTCCTCCCGCCCCTGTTTTTTCTCCCAGTGACCCCACGTGAAACGTCTCCGCCTCCTCCAGCCACCAGCAGAAGGGACTGCCTTCCCCTCAGTGCTCGCCCCTCCCTAGTGATCACTCAGTGCCCCTGAGCTCATTCTTTTCAGTAAATTCTCTCTCTGCGTGGTGAGAAAACAGGCCTGGAGAGGCTCTGCGACCCGCTTAGGACCACAGAACTCGGTACTAGGAAAACTCCTATTTTAAAATCCAGCCCTGGGTGGGAAGATTTGGGAAGAATCGTTAATATTGAGAGAGAGAGGGAGAAAGAGGATTAGATGAGAGTGGCGCCTCCGCTCATGTCCGCCCCCTCCCCGCAGAGAATTACCTTTTCCAGGGACGGCAGGAATGCTACGCGTTTAATGGGACACAGCGCTTCCTGGAGAGATACATCTACAACCGGGAGGAGCTCGTGCGCTTCGACAGCGACGTGGGGGAGTTCCGGGCGGTGACGGAGCTGGGGCGGCCTGAGGCGGAGTACTGGAACAGCCAGAAGGACATCCTGGAGGAGGAGCGGGCAGTGCCGGACAGGATGTGCAGACACAACTACGAGCTGGGCGGGCCCATGACCCTGCAGCGCCGAGGTGAGTGAGGGCTTTGGGCCGGCGGTCCCAGGGCAGCCCCGCGGGCCCGTGCCCAGGGCGCAGGAGCAGCCGGGTTGGCCTAAGGGACCTTAGTGCCGGGCGGAAAGGGGACTTTGGGTTGGGGATTCATGGGGGGAGCCCATCTGGAGCTTGTCAGGGGAGCGAGCGCGGGGACCTGGACTGGGCTGAGCATGGAGTGAGGAGGACGAGAGCAGAGAGACCCCCGGGACTTCATCAGGCCTGGCAGCTGACTGCATGTGGGGTGAAAAAAGGAAGCCACAGGACAGCGCACAAGGGTATGGTGTGGAGATGGAGGTGGAGATGGCACAGCAGGCCACACAGAGAAGAAACCTACAGGGAGGTAGCTGGGTTTGAGGTGCTTGAGGGGCAGATGGGTGGTCTGATGGGCAGGTAGACAGAAGGGTCTGCAGCCGGGGAGGAGACTGAGATACATGAGACCATCCAGGGAGAGGGGACCCAGGGGGAAGAGCAAAGGACCGGATCCTGGGAACTGGACAGTTGTGATTTGGCCAAGACAGAAAAGCCTGTGAAAGAGACCAAAAAAACCCAAGTGCAGTGTGAGGAGAGGCCCGCAGAGAAGAGTCTTGGAAGCTGAGGGGAGGTGACCTCAGCAGCACAGTGGACAGCGGTGCCAGTGACTTGGGAAGGTCAGAAAACAGAAGATGGAAAGTGGGTTTGGAAACCAGGGAGACCTGGGGAGAGCAGGTTGGCCGCAGCGGCAGGAGCTGGAATGGGAGGGGGTGCATGAGGCTGAGTGTGGCGCATCCTCCTCGGGGCTGAGATGGATTTTACTTGTCTTGGGTTCCCCACGGCTGTCACAGGGCAGTGTCTCAGTTCATTCGTCTTTTTCCTTCAGGAAGTCTGGGTGTAAAGGGATGGAGAGAGGTGAGGTGTGTGCAGTAAGAGGATTTCTCAAGGATGGGACAGGAAGGCCTTGGAGCTTTGGCTTCCTCCTGTGAACTTGTGGGGTGGGGAGCCTGGTGCACCAACCTGAGGGACTTGAGGGAGTAGTATCAGGATGTGGGATTGAGCCCTGGACCTTTTTTCTAGAAAGAGGAAAAAAATGAAGGGAGGAGGAGGAGGAAGCTGGGGAGATCACACCTTTGATTTTCTTGTTCCTGGAAAGTGAAAGGAAGTTCACCTGCTATGAGTGAGAAGGTGGACACACTGGGTGGGGATGAGGTGAGTGACATGAGCTTAGGAAAGTTGCTGAGGTAATTGGTTGAGAGAGGTGTTCAAATAAAAATAACGCAATTGGCAAAAACTGTTACTAAGACTTTGTAGAGGCACCAATCAGTGACATGGCAGCATTTTCTTTCACAGTAATCAACTGCCAGATTGCAGACAGCCCTGATGCCAGCCTAAGGAGTGTGGGTTTCTCCTCCAGGCCCGCAGGTCCCCAACCTCACTCCTCTGAAGACTCTTCTGGAGATCCTCTGTGATGCACAGATCTCCAGACTCAGTGCCCCCAGACTCAGATTCCCTGGGTGGGGAGGTCTGGGGATCTCTGCTTGTAATCAGCTCCCTAGAGGTTCCCATGTAGCCAGATAAGTATTGTCAGAACACTGAAGATTTTTGAAAAATGAAAAAGAGAAGGTTGGAGATGTGTCTTCAGAAGACTACTAAGGGTGCTGGCTAGAGGAGGGACCAGAGGCAGGGAGATGAGGTAGGAAACTGCTATTATTTGTCAGGGAAATTGCAATCAAGGCATGAGTTAGAACAGGGAAAACACAGAGGCAAGGGAGAGGTGGAAGGGGGAGGAAAGAAGTAGTGACAATTCCAGGGTGGATGTCCACCCAAATCTAGAAGTAATTGAGCAAATGTTTTCTGGGCATTAGAGAAGGCAACTAGAACAAACAGGAATCCTTGCCTTGGTGAAATGTATTTGAACTGGGTCAGAAATGAGGCCATTGGGTATCAGGCCTTAACTCCAGCGCACCCTGGAGGTCACTGATGTGGCTCCAGGCTGACCTGCTCCTGTCAAAGAATATTGAGCAAGATGCCTCTCGTGGAATGTTCTGGGACCTTAAAACAGATACCCAAGTATTCCCCCTGATTTCATGGTTCCCAGAAGCTCTATGGGGAAGAAATTGTAGGTAATTCACAACTGAGATTTAGACATAAGTTGAATAGTGTAATGGACATTGAGTTAACCGAGGTAATGAAGTAGTGAGACACAGGTGCCCCTGAAATAAACTCACATTGAGGGAAGAGGCTGACAATGTGGATCAGTCTGAAAACAAGGCAAAAATACAATAGGGAGTAAGGGTTGTGTGTCAGTTCAAGACTGTACTTTTACCTGGCCCAGCGCCATGTTAGGGTATTTGTGTTCTCCAGGAAGTAGAAAGGAAAGAACTGAGTGATTAGGGACCTAGAAGACTAATTTGAGACATTCCTCTTGATGAGCTGTTCTCTAGGGTAGTCCTCTGAAAGAGCTGTTCTCTAGTGGATCTCCCTGAATGAACTGTTCTCTAGGAGCACTTGACCCTTTTCTGTGTTTGTTTTTTGTTTTGTGTTTGTGTTTGTTTTTGAGACAGGTTCTCACTTTGTCTCCCAGGCTGGAGTGCTGTGGCACCATCATGGCTCACTGCAGCCTCAACCTCCTGGGCTCAAGTGATCCTCCTGCCTCAGCCTCCCATGTAGCTAGAACTACAGATACACGTACCACCATGTCTGGCTAATTTATTTTTCTTTTTAGAGATGGGTTCTCACTATGTTGCCCAGGCCGGTCTCAAAACCCTGGGCTCAAGTGATCCTCATGCCTCAACCTCCCAAAGTGCTAAGATTATAGGCATGACCACCATGCCTGGCCTTTTCTGCTTTCTGAGGAGGAAAAAGGTACTGGTGGCAGAGATCCAAAAGAAAAGTTGCCAGTGGCAGTGTGGAAATTCACCTGAGAACAACAGGACAAGCTGGGGCACAAATGCAAAGATGCAGAGGGAGGCAACACCTGGTCATCTGTGAGACCTTCATGGGACCTGAAGACGCAGCACAGAGGAGGAACTTGAAAAAGGACGGGATTTCTACTACTCAAGCATGTAGGAGCTCAGGATATTCTGTAAATATGAAGATTTTGAGTTTTTGTAGGTGAGGTAAAAAAATACATAGGTTTTTTACAGAATAAGACATGTAAAGCTCTCTTCATTTTCTTTGTATTTTCATGAAGTTATTAGATTCACAGGCCACCATAATGCCATTGTCTGTATATCTTAATTTCAAGATATTATTTGAGTAAATTTTGCTTCCTTTGTATCAAGATAGAACTTTGAAAAGGTAGGTAATTTCACAGTTGATCAAATATTCTTTGCCCAAATTACTTTTGGTTAAAATTTCTCCTAAATGTGCTACAGAGTGCAAACTCTGTCTCCCTGCCATTCCGCTATATACTTACTAACTATTATTTTATTCAAGATCATGCATGCTCTACTTGAAGGTCTATTTCTATCTTTTCAATGCTACCCTTACCCACTAGCCTAATCACATTATTCCTATTTTCAACATCTAGGAATCAATTACATAGTGAACATGCCTAAGAAATAATAATCTGGGCAGATGCAGTGGCTCAGGCCCGTAATCCCAGCCCTTTGAGAGGCCGAGCGGGTGGATCACTTGAGGTCAGGCGTTGGTCAAGTGCTCCTAGAGAACCAGGCTGACCAACATGGAGAAACCTTGTCTCTACTAATAATACAAAAATTAGCCAGGTGAAGTGGCAGGCACCTATAATCCCAGCTATTCGGGAGGCTGAGGAAGGAGAATTGGTTGAAGCCCAGAGGTGGAGGTTGCAGTGAGCCAATATTGCGCCACTGCATTCCAGACTTGGCAACAGAGTGACACTCCATCTCAACAAAAAGAAAGAATGAAAGAAAGAAAGAGCGAGATTATGTCTCAAAAAAAAGGAAGGAAGGAAGGAAGGAAGGAAGGAAGGAAGGAAGGAAGGAAAGAAGGACAATCTCAAATTCTATTTCATTATTTTTCTTCCACGCTCCTAGTCCAGCCTAGGGTGAATGTTTCCCCCTCCAAGAAGGGGCCCTTGCAGCACCACAACCTGCTTGTCTGCCACGTGACGGATTTCTACCCAGGCAGCATTCAAGTCCGATGGTTCCTGAATGGACAGGAGGAAACAGCTGGGGTCGTGTCCACCAACCTGATCCGTAATGGAGACTGGACCTTCCAGATCCTGGTGATGCTGGAAATGACCCCCCAGCAGGGAGATGTCTACACCTGCCAAGTGGAGCACACCAGCCTGGATAGTCCTGTCACCGTGGAGTGGAGTGAGTCTCTGATGACCCTCTAGACCCCACCTCTGAAGAGCAGGGGACTCTCTGGCTCTGGGGTCCACTCATCTTATCTTCTGCATCTATACCCTGGGGCCATGTCCAAACCCCATCTTTCTTCTATACCAGCTCCTGAGCATAGTTTGAAGCCAGGGAAATGGAGACTTCCTGACCTTGGCTTAGGGGTTCCTGAAGATTCATAGTTCTCCCCCTTGTCAGAGAATCTAGGGACACTGACTGGTCTCGAAACCCTCACACTTAGGAACTGACCTCACACATAGGAACAGTTCTCTTCCTTCAGCATTTTAGCCTCTTCTCAGGCATTTTGAGAGGCAACTTCCAGAATCAGCATTTGCCACCTTGTTGAGGTCACACCCCTGTTCCAGATATGAGGGTGGCTCTTTCTGAATTTCCTCTTAGCAAGCTTTTTCCGCTGCACTGTCCTCATCCCGATATGCTGCATCAGGCTCCAGAATCTCAGACAGGACATGAGTAGGGATGCAGCTGGTGGAGGTGACACTAAACCTGGGTCTGTCCTTCCCAGAGGCACAGTCTGATTCTGCCCGGAGTAAGACATTGACGGGAGCTGGGGGCTTCGTGCTGGGGCTCATCATCTGTGGAGTGGGCATCTTCATGCACAGGAGGAGCAAGAAAGGTGAGAAAGCCTGCAGGGTGAGCGGGACTTACCTTCCCCTGGCATATTCACACTTATTCCACGATGAGGGGTTTGACAGAAAAGAAATGTCAGAAAGCTCTAGAGGCCACTGATATCAGATAATCGGGGAACAAACATGACCTATAGCGAGAGAGGGATCCCAGGCTGGGATCTTAATGCAGCCAGATGCATGAGGTCCCAAGTACTCAGGCTCCTGCGGAGCGTCCATTGAGTGATGGGCAATGGAATTTGGTGGGATGGAAATGTTTCTCTAATTATCTGAGGTGGTTTCAATGGCTGATTATATAACCTTTCGTCTTTCATTTCAGTTCAACGAGGATCTGCATAAACAGGTAATATTCCTGCTTTGATTTCCTTGTGGGGTGGGTTGCAGGAGGATATGAGTCCTTTCTGTGCATTGTAACACTGAGGCTCCTCCAGGAAGGGAATCTCAGGCATGAACCCCTCTTTCAATGTCAGCCTTCAGGCAAGTGGGGAAAGAGCATTGCTTGGCTCCATTGCTGAAGGAAGCAGAGATCAACTCTGTTATTTATCAGCCTGAGACGCATCCTCTCACCATAATTTTTCTCTCCTGGACTTACAGGAAGGAGGCTGGCAACCTGGGATAACTTGTCTTTTACCCCCACAGGGTTCCTGAGCTCACTGAAAAGACTATTGTGCCTTAGGAAAAGCATTTGCTGTGTTTCGTTAGCATCTGGCTCCAGGACAGACCTTCAACTTCCAAATTGGATACTGCTGCCAAGAAGTTGCTCTGAAGTCAGTTTCTATCATTCTGCTCTTTGATTCAAAGCACTGTTTCTCTCACTGGGCCTCCAACCATGTTCCCTTCTTCTTAGCACCACAAATAATCAAAACCCAACATGACTGTTTGTTTTCCTTTAAAAATATGCACCAAATCATCTCTCATCACTTTTCTCTGAGGGTTTTAGTAGACAGTAGGAGTTAATAAAGAAGTTCATTTTGGTTTAAACATAGGAAAGAAGAGAACCATGAAAATGGGGATATGTTAACTATTGTATAATGGGGCCTGTTACACATGACACTCTTCTGAATTGACTGTATTTCAGTGAGCTGCCCCCAAATCAAGTTTAGTGCCCTCATCCATTTATGTCTCAGACCACTATTCTTAACTATTCAATGGTGAGCAGACTGCAAATCTGCCTGATAGGACCCATATTCCCACAGCACTAATTCAACATATACCTTACTGAGAGCATGTTTTATCATTACCATTAAGAAGTTAAATGAACATCAGAATTTAAAATCATAAATATAATCTAATACACTTTAACCATTTTCTTTGTGTGCCATCACAAATACTCCTTAACCAAATACGGCTTGGACTTTTGAATGCATCCAATAGACGTCATTTGTCGTCTAAGTCTGCATTCATCCACCAGCCTAGGCCTCCTGTCTTAATTTTCATACAGACAGAAATGACTCCCCACTGGGGAAAGAGCAAAGCAATACATGTAGCACTCTTTTTCAAACACTGGTCTTTTTTTTTTTCTTAACAATCCAACATTGTTATGTGTTTTGCGTCTCATATTGACACCTTTTGGTCAAGGTAGAGGACATGTTTGTTGTAAGCTTTCTTTTTCGTGTAGAGGATGGATTCTTCACTCCTGATACACACAATCAGTGCACAGCAGCTCTCTTATACATCCAGTTGATGCCTTCAGTCTCCCTGGCTTCTTACAAGCATCTTCTGGGCCTTGTGTGTCCCTGGGCACCTGTCCCTGGTCAATTCCCGAAAGCTACTGTGCTCCTCTTGCCCATCTCCCCTTGCAAATAATATCTTCCATCGGGGGACCGGCTTCCTCCAATTTCAGGAGAGGTGGGGCTGAAGGCACAGACTTGGGCGTCACTGGCACAGATATAAGTAAATACAGCTGGAGTCTGCAGAGAGGCTGGACTGAGTCAGGGAGTCAGGAAAGAGAAGCCACACACAAGGACAACCAATCATGTTTCTCATAATCTTCTTAACCTAGGGAATAGGACACAATCATTTTTTCTTTTTAAAACATCTTTATCCCTGATCAGCCTCATTTCCTCAAAAACTATAAAGGAAAATGCTGCTGACTTGTTTTTGCGTAGTAATTTCAGCTGTCACATAATAAGCTAAGGAAGACAGTATATAGTAAATAAGGACCCTTTATCTGTCTTATTTTCCCTTTTGGCTTCACAGGAAACTTGTGAGAAACCTATGCAGCATAAAATTAATATGATTTCAATCCAGGGATTCAACGATGGAAGGAGGTCATGAGAATAGCAGAAAGTCTTCAAATCGAGATCATTATGAAATCCTCAGACCCAGAGCACATAAATCCTACCCTCAGAGTCACTGAGCAGTTAACATTACAAATTACAAACCATATCCAGTCAGAGTCATTCTCTTTCCTGCTTGTCTCCTGTACTCATGTTACAGGTTAGGGCAGTACCCCGAGTGGAGTGAACAATCTCTGGACTAACACTTGTCAGGATCAGAAGCTGAGGTATCTGCACCCACATTACAGGAACAGGATATGTGCTCCTAGGGAACTGAGGGTGTCAGGAGATGAGGAATGTCCCTGGAGTCACAGAAAGAAGGTATCAGATGTGTCTCACTCTGACATATGCAGGTGTTTATGAAACTCTGGGATTTCTAAGGAAGGATGCAGTGCAGAGACAGGTCCCAGAGGAGACAAGAGCTGAGAGACCATCCAAACTGGGACCACCTTGTCACTAGACTTCAAATTTTCAATATTGATAGAGTGTTTTCTAAGAGTCAGGCCCTTTGCTGAGTGCTATGTGCAGCAGGATCAAAGGCAGCCAGGAGGTAGAGGAGTCTTGAGGTACATCAGTCATTGGAGTTGAAGAGCAGAGATTCAAAGGAAAGTTGGAACTGGAGCTTTAAAGGAGATGTGAAGTGGGTGACTCAACCTCTGACTCAGAAAAATTGATACCTGCAGAAGAAAAAACCCGGCGGGCTTAGGACTCCCAGCTGAGTGTTGTATCCTCCATCCCTTTCCACCTGGTCCCTTCATTTTCTACCCCTCACAGTTCCCTAACGAGAAGGTGGTCCACCCAACAGACAACGCTGCCTCAGATGGTTATCAAGGGGTACCCTAAGAAGAAATCATCTCACCCTCTCTTTGTCCCCATTTGTCAAGTAGCAGTGAGGCCGAGCCAGGGGATGGTGAAAGTGGAAGGAGGTGGGAGTTGGGCATCGGGTGTGAAGATGCTCTTGAAAGGGGTTTTAATAACCACTTGCTACCAGGCCAGTGAACACTTACCATAGTTGATGCCTTTTGAGCATGTTGCATTGTAAACTGTCCCTGAAATTACTGTGCACTTGGCTTATGGGATGAAACATCCTCCTAGTTCTTTTGTCTCTCAGCTTCTCTGAAGTCTCATTGAGCACCTTCTCTTCAATTTCTTTTACACAGTAAGAATAGGATCAGCTGTGCTAAACTAACAAATACCCAGATATCCAGGTTTGGCTCATGTTACACGTCCAAAGTAAGTCATGCAGGAAGCTCTGCTCATCATCGTACTCAGGAAGCCAGGCTGACAGTCTTTCTCCTGCACATCTGCTCCCAGAACCTCCCCAGCAGAATGAAGGGAACCTAAGAATTTATTCACTGGCTTTTAATGATCCCTCCTAGAAAGAACACACTTCTCGCATTTCATTTTCCAATGTAAATCATATGGCTGCAACTAACTTCAAATAAGTGGGAATACTTGAAGGTGGAAAACATTTAAGAAGTACACACTAAATAAATAATAAAATACTTCTACAAGAGATATTTATGGAGGACCTACTGTGTACCAGGAGCAATGCTAGGCATTATGGATATCAGCAGCCTTTGGCTCCTGAAAAGCTTACACACTACCTCCTGGCCTAAGGAGGGGCACAGGGATGCTGGCAACAGTCTATTTCTTCACCCGGGTACTAGTTACATGGGTGCTTGCGGTGATAACCATTCAACGTACATTCTATTGGTTTGTGTGTTTCTTCCAAATGTCCCCTAGTTCACAATAGAAAGGGCTTAAATAGAGAAGTAAAGGAGAATTTGGGAATTTGAAGCAAAAGCAAGAAGCCACTGAATCAAGCACAAATATTGAGCTTTGATAAAGATTGGAATAAGAAACATAATAAATGAGACAAGAAATAGGACTTTTGCAACTGAAGTGTAATTAATAAACAAAAAGCCAAACTGAGAAACTGTCCCAAGGACAATATGATCGAGTAAACAATAGAAAATGTAAAGGACAAGTGAAGAGAAATGAAGGATAGAAACAGACATCTGACATCTTAATAATTAGACGTCTAGAAAGTCAGGGAAATAGTGGAGGAAGAGGAAATAACTGAAAACATAATAGATGTTTAGTCTTTATAGAAAGATGAAATAAGTTCATTCAAAATGCTGCATAGAATGTCAGACTGTTAAACAATTTTGTTAGAGTAAAATGACTGTAAACAAATGAGCTAATTATGTGAATTAAGAGGATGGAAAAGCAGAAAAACAGCAAAAAGAAAATACATGTAAATAATAAGGACAAAAGCTGAATTCAATGAAATATAAAAATAGAGAAGATAAAATCAAATTTTGAGGCAATGAAAACTTTAATGAGACCTCTGGCAAGACTCCTAAGGAAAATACAGGAGATTCAGAACGAAAAGGGTAAATGACATTTATACACATTTTAAAATGCAAAATCTTACGACCAATTCTATACATATAAATTTGAAAATTTAGATAAAACGGATACGTTTCTAGAAAGATATAAAGGTCAAAACTACAGGAAGAAATAGAAAACTAAAATAGAGTAGAGAATATCAAAGAAATTGTCATGGGAAGCAAAGAATCGCCTTCCAAAGGGCCCTGTCCTGATCTTATTGCAGATGAGGGCGTCCTCCCACATTTCCAGGAGCAGATCATGCCTCTTACACGTGTGATTCTAGAACATAGAATGGAACAGAATTTTTGAGATCATTTTATGAGGTTGGTTCATTTATATTTCCAGAGCCAGCTAAGAATAGTACAGGAGAACAGGATTGTGGACTAATTTTAGCCATGTCACTGAATCCAACAGTACATTATAAAAACAATACGTTTTGACCAATTTTAGATTTATTCTAGGAATGCAATGATTCTTCAGTGTCAGAAAATATATAATGTGGTTAACACATTAGTGGACTCCGCAAAATTCATATTAATTTAAACTGAATTCAGCTCAAGACATAGACAGAATTTAATCAATTTCATGACATGTTAAAGGTAGTGAACCAAAAATCTATAGCATATATATTTCAAAGAAATGAGGTGGATTGCCTTTGAGATTGTGCAAAAGATAGGATGTCCTTCGTTGCTGGAAATGTTTAACATAGCATTGGAAGTTCTGAACATCACTCTGCGGGCAGAAGAAAATTAAGGCTGTGTAAAATGTAGGAAGACAGATAGTGACTGCAGATGAAATAATCTAAATACTGGACAAGACTGCAGCCACTGCAGGCCCAAAGCCTGGGTTTAAATCCAAGCTTTGCACTTTGAAGCTGTGTGGTCTTCACCTCTCCCGGTGTCTGATTCCTGCTCTGTAACATGAAATAAATAAGAACCAACCTCCAGATGTAAATAAGTGAACACATGAGAAGCACTTAGAATAGTGCCTAGAACATAGTAAGCAACTCAATGAATGTCATTTCTCATTACATTTGTTAATGTTTTTATCCAGCCCAATGGCAGTAAAACATCAATGCTCAAAGAGCCCCTGGTGAAGTGTTTCTCTTTCCCACTCTTCACCCCTAACTTGTTACCTCGTCTTTTCCACTCTGTCCCTAATACACCTATAGGATGACTCATAGGAGCCCCTGGACCCGGGGATGCTGTCAGATCGCTTGGTCTTTGAGACAATGGTGCCATTAAGGACCCCCGCCAGGCCCACCAGCAGGCCGAGGGCACAGACCAGCATCTCCATGGTCTCAGGCACCTGGATTAGTTCATGGACCTCTGGGGCACCAAGGGAAGACAGAGTTATAAGGTACAGAGAGCAGGGGCTGGCCTTGGATGTGGGAGGTGTTGGGTATTCGAAACCATGAGATGGTGAAATTTGGATAAAGTGACCATAAAACATGGGATTGAGGAAGGCAGGTGCTGAGGGGCGATGGGCCCAGGAAATAAAGGTGGTGCCAAGGCCGTGAGGGCAGAGGGAGGGCGCTCCATACCCCAGTGCCTGAGGAGAGGCTGGTGCAGGCCCCAGTGCTCCCCCTGGAGGTCACAGGTGTCCTCGGCCATGGGAACGAGGGTCAGATAGTGGAACCTGTGTAATCTGAGTTTCTTGCTGGGCAGGAAGATGGTCTCTGCAATACCCTCAATGACTGGCTCCCCATTGCGCAGCCACGTGATGTTCAGCACTGGTGGGAAGAACTTGTCAACATGGCAGACGAGGGTGTTGGGCTGGCCCAGATCCACAGGCTCCTTGGGAAAGACGCTTACCTCGGTGGGGGCTCCAAAAGGGGATAGAACCCAAGGAGCCTACTGCCATTGGCTGATTCTTAAAGGTTCCACCACCCCAAGTCCTATATTCACCAGATTAGGGGCCACCTCTCCCAGGCCCATCCTCCTGCTCCCCTAGGGCTCCTGGACAGGGTCACAGCTTCTCGTGCTCCTGACCTGGCCCCCTCAGCCCAGCCTTTCTCTTGAGTAAGAAGAAAATGCCTCCTCCTCTGCTGTCCTAAGAACCCAGCTGTGTGGACCCAAGATTTCTCGCTCTCAGGGAAGGGGCTCATTCATGAGTGGGCATCATGGCCTCTAGTTCTATGTGTGGCAGAGAGGCCCTCCCATCCCTCCAGCTGGACTCTAGAGGAACAGGCAGCTATAGGCAGTGCCATTTGTGGCCCAAGTCTGTTTGGACCATTGATCCGGGTGTTCAAGTGCTTCCTTGCCATGACGATGCCAGCAATACCCCTCTGAGAGGAACAGGCAGCTATAGGCAGTGCCATTTGTGGCCCAAGTCTGTTTGGACCATTGATCCGGGTGTTCAAGTGCTTCCTTGCCATGACGATGCCAGCAATACCCCTCTGAGCACCAAAGTCAAAGGTGTGAATAAACTCTGGTAGAGGCCAGACCATCTCCTTCTCATCCAGGTTCACGTAGAACTGCTCCTCCTCATCAAATTCAAACATATACTCCCCAGAGGTTCTGTGCGTCTGCACAAACTCCGCATATGTTGACACATGGTCTGCTGCATGAAGGAGAAGATGGAGAATGGGTGAATACGTAGGATGCTACACAGAATGCAGGAAGCAAACAGGTAACAGGAAGGTTATTGGGAACATGAAGGAATAACACAGAAAATGAGAAATGCAAATGAAAGAAAAGAAAAGGAGTGAGAAGAAACAAAGACAGAAATGACCCATGGACGATATAGGTTGTTTCCCTTGTCCCTGAAGACTTAACATCCGTCTATGATAATGGTAATGCTGAATACAGTAAGATAATATTTATTGGGCACTTACTATGTGCTAAACTTACTCATTGAATCTTCACACCCCCATGTAGAAGAACTTATTTTCCATAGTAGGGAACTGACCCCAGAGGTAAAGTAACTTGTCCAAGTCACACAACTCCTGGTAGAAACAATATTGAGTAGTCCTCCTACCTCATTCCTGTAGGATCTCAGAAACCCTACAGGACAATACATTAAAAATTACTGATATAGCCATAAAGCAAGGCAGGGAAGTGGAAGGATGGAATAAATATTTCAGAGTGGAACAAAATCGTGAAGGACATGAAAATACCTCCAGAGTCTTAGTGACATTTATAGACTTCAAGTTACATTCTTACTTTTAGAAGAAAAATGATACCTTCTATAATTTTATCCACAACACTTACATTTTAGGCAGAGTAAATTTAAAAGTATTATCATTCACATAACATTCACAAAATTGTCTTGTGGAGTGTAGTTTTCAAGTGTAGTTTCACCTGGAAATACAAGTTGTTGGCATTTGAAAGACCTATGGGATAGTATCTTAGCTTTACCTGATACATAAGAAGCAGCAACTGGTTGATAACAAAAAGTGAATTATTATTACAGTGAATTACAGAGAGTTTAGGGTTCGGCCTGGAAGAGGAAGTGAAGCCAAATGACACTGCATGGTTGGTGGTCCCTAAGTGAGGATTTCCCCTCCCAGCCCAGCATGGGGAGAACCAGTCCTCTACTTAGATGCATAGTGTGACAGCAGGTTCAGTGCCGCACACGGATGGTGAGGGTCCCCCACTGAGTTTAGGGTCTAGAGGATTACTCACCTACAGAAATGAATCCCAAAGGAAAAAGAAAAATACATGGTGTATAGACTGGGCTACACAGATGTAATTGGTTCAGCTTAGGTTACTTTGTATTTATTATATTTACAAAATCTGAAAACTAAAGGTTGGCACATTTTGAAGCAAATTCCACACTTCAAATGTTAATTTTCATTCAGTTAATAAATGCTTTTTGTGAACTTTCACTCTCTAGGTAATAAGGATGAAACTCTAAAGATGGGAACTTTGTCCTTAATCTACTTGAAATTCAAGAATAAAACAGACAAAGAAAAGATGATTGCTACATGTGTGGTTTGATCACCACTGAGTATCACAAGGTATACACAAGAGCTACTCAGGAGCAAAATTAAAATACGATTTAGGAAAGGTTCCTAGGGACAGTGTTCACCTGCAGATAGCAAAACAGAGAAAGGGGAAATGGCATTTCCAGCAGGAGAAGCAGGCTCAGGAGCAGAGAGGCATGAAGTTGCAAGGAGAACTGCAGTTCTTCAGTGTGACTGAAGCCAGGGGAGATGTGGGCCAGGCAGCACTGTAACCTGCCTTGTGTGCTGATGGCAAGTGTTTGCATTTTATCCCACAGGACATAGGAAGTTGTGAAGTATCTTAAGCAGGAGAGTAACACGGTCAGATTTGTGTTTGGATGGGGCACCTGTAGGAAGGATGGGCTGGAGGAGGCGGGACTCAAGGCAAGACCAGTAGCACTTTTAAGCCCTCTGGTGGGAAGTAATGAAGGCGTAGGCCAGGGCAGGAACATGGGGTGAGGAGGACAGCAGATGGATTTGATGGCAGTAATGACATGAGAGGCCACAGGAATCACTAAATCACATGCCAGAAGTAGGGATATGAAGAAGTCGAGAATAACCACGCAACGTGGAGAATTGTGGCATCCGTGCCTGCAAAGGTGATAATTAAGTGATTGAGAGAAGGTAAAATTTTCTGTTTGAGACATACTGAATTTAAACTTCTAGGGGAAAACATACAGTTGATTTGAAGGCAGTGAAATAAATGGATGAGTGTCATGCTACATTAGGTTAGTGACATAAACTGGAAGGAGGCTCATGGTGGGTGAAGTTCTAATTTTGGGTCAGGTCACTCAAGAAAAGTACACAAAGTCAGGATAGCAGGGATCTGAGTGTGTGCTCCTGCATCCAGACAAACACAGACATGAAGAAAGAGGCTGAAAAGCAGAGGACTAGAAATTGGTAGGAAAACAGAGAGGAAGTGGGTTCATAAAAGACAAGAGACAGGAGAAAACTTCCAGGAAAGAGGAGAGGGGGCATCTCAAACACACTAATGACACACATAAGACAGAAACAGAACAGTGACCACTGGCTTGAGTTGTATAAAAGTCATTAGTTGCCACCCTGAGAGGAGCATCAGAGATGAGGGAAAGAAAAAGAGAGAGTACATTGGGTTGAGGACTGAATGAAATGGGAGAAAATCGATAATAGGCTGGGCACAGTGGCCCATACCTGTAATCTCAGTGATTTGAGAGGCCGAGACAGGAGGATCACTTGAGGCCAGGAGTTTGAAAGCAGCCTAGGAAACATAGTGAGAGTCCATCTCTAAGAAAACAATTTTGGATTCCCTGCCTTCCATGAGCAACACAGCAAACATAAGCTCTGCAGATGTGCTCAGACTTGAGCCTGACTCACTGAAGAGAGTGTGGTGCTGCCAGGCCTCAGACACCAGATTATAATCAACCTCTTCCCAGGCCCTGCACAGGAGAGGCCCACTCTGTGGGGCATACAGTGCCCAGGGGTGGTACAGGCCCTGCAGAGACCACAGACTGTTCACCTGACAAGAAATATCTTGAGGAACTCACTTCACAGATCCCTCAAGAAAGGAACCACTGCAGGAGAATACCCAGAAAATCGAAAGAATTCACAGATCCTTTTAAAGAAGGGAGGGGCCACTGCAAACTCCACCAGACAAGTGAAAAACTGTGCGTTCCCAAAGCGTGAGAGGGGAAAAACCTGCCTCCGGACCCATGTCCCCACTGGGGAACTCGAAAATCCAGATTACAGGAAAAGGATTTAACTTTACCTAGACCTGAAACAGATTTAGCATGAAATACAAAAGTACGCCGGGCGCTGCCGCTCACACCTGTAATCCCGGCACTTTGGGAGGCCGAGGCGGGCGGATTACAAGGTCAGGAGATTGAGACCATCCTGGCTAACACGATGAAACCCCGTCTCTACTAAAAATACAAAACAATTAGCCAGGCGTGGTGGCGGGCGCCTGTAGTGCCAGCTACTAGGAAGGCTGAGGCAGGAGAATGGCATAAACCCGGAAGGCGGAGCCTGCAGTGAACCGAGATCGCGCCACTGCACTCCAGCCTGGGTGACAGAGTGAGACTCCGTCGCAACAAAAAGAAAAAATATATATATATATATGGTAGATGCAGCAGTGAGAAGAGCCTTGTAGGCACGCCCAGTCTTTAGCTCAAGCCCAGGGAAGCCACCCCTGACTATATCTCACAAGGGCCCTGGGGGAAGGCAGACGGCAAAATTTGGAAGGGGTCACAGTGTGAAAGGAGCGTCCAACTGAAATTTGTTATAATTCTGACTGGGCACAAATCCTCTGGAGCAGAATCTGGGGGCGAACGGAACTGCTGGAGAAAGAGCAGAAGTTACTGCCAACATTGTGGGCAGACAGGGAGGCACATGGCCTGAAAGCTGTGCTTGCTTTCTCAGCAGGAAACTTATAGCCTGGAGTGAGGTCTGAGTCCATCCTGAAGGCTGCAGGGAGATAAATTCAATGCTGTTAGTGTGGCACAGCAGGAGCAAAACCTGCCTCGCCAACTGCATGGGAGCTGGGTGAAGCCTATTGCTACCAGGTTTCCCCTACTTCTCTGGTGACAGAGGCAGCCATAATGCCCTCTGGAACATAATTCCATTGGCTGGAGAAAAACCCTCCGCCCCATCCCTCACAGTGGCTGCCGCAAGCCCCCCGCCCGAGGAGAGTCTGAGCTCAGACCTGCCTAACCCTGTCCACACCTGAGGGCATTTCTCTACCCACCTGGTAGCCAATCACAAAAGACGTAAACTCTTGGGAGCTTTATGACACCACTCATTGCCTGAGAAACTGAATATTTATCTTGGCCAACTTAGGGCAAGCTTATATCCACCTTCTACTATTGTAGCTGGTGCCCTCTTGAAAGCACCACATCCTGGCTGGAGGCCAACCAACTCAGGACATTACAACAATTCACGACAGAATAACTGCTCTAAGAAAGGAGAAAACAGCTAATTCCACTGGCTGAAAAATCTTGACTAACCAGTGGTCTTCGGTCTGTTCACATGACAACTGCACTGCTAGCATAACCAGCATTTGAGAAAGCCACCACACTAAGTCTATCTACAACCAAGGATTCTCACAGAGTCTACTTCACTCCCCTACCACCTCCACACTGGACCCCAGCAATAGATCCAAACTAAGAAGAAATCTCTGAATTGCTAGATAGAGAATTCAGAAGGTTGATTTTAAGCTACTCAAAAAGATACCAGAGAAAGGTGAAAAACAACTTAAATAAATTTTTTAAAAACACAGGATATGGATTAAAAATGCCCCAGGGACGTAGATATCATAAAGAAGAAACAATCCAACTTCTGGAAATGAAAGACACACTTAGAGAAATACAAAATGCACTGGAAAGTTTCAACAATAGGATCCAACAAGTAGAAGAAAGAACTTCATAGCTCAAACAACAAGCCTTTCGAATTAACCCAGTCAGACAAAGACAAAGAAAAAAGAACTTTAATAAATAAACAAAGCCTCCAAGAAATTTGGGATTATGTTAAATGACCTAAGAATGATTGGCATTCTTGAGGAAGAACAAAAATCTAAAAGTTTGGAAAACATATTTGAGGGAATAATCAAGGAAAACTTCCCTGGCCTCGCTAGAGATCTACACAACCAAATACAAGAAGCTCAAAGACCACCTGGGAAATTTATCACAGAAAGATTATCGCCCAGGCACATAGTCATCAGGTTATCTAAAGTCAGGACAAAGGAAAGAATCTTAAGAGCTGTGAGGCAAAAGCATCAGGTAACCTATAAAGGAAAACCTATCAGATTAACAGCAGCCTATAAGCCAGAAAAGACTGGGGTCTTATCTTTAGCCTCCTCAAACAAAATAATTTCCAGGCAAGAATTTTGTATCCAGCAAAACTAAGCGTCATAAATGAAGGAGAGATAAAGTCTTTTTCAGACAAACAAATGCTGAGAGACTTCACCGCTACCAATCCAGCACTACACAAAATGCTAAAAGGAGTTCTAAGTCTTCAAACAAAACTCCAAAATACACCAAAATAGAACCTCCTTAAAGCATAAATCTCACAGGGCCTATAAAACAGTAATGCAAAGGAAAAAAATAAGGAATTCAGGCAACAACTAGCATGAGAAATAGAACAGTACTTCACATCTCAATATTAACACTCTCCACTTAAAAGATACAGAATGGCAGGAAGGATAAAAATTCAGCAACCAAGTATCTTCAGTCTTCAAGAGTCATCTAATGTGTAAGGACTCACAAAAACTTAAGGTAAAGGAGTGGAAAAAGATATTCCATACAAATGGAAAACAAAAGCAAGCAAGAGTAGCTATTCTTATATCAGTCAAAACAGATTTTAAAGCAACAACAGTTAAAAAAGACAAAGAGGGACATTATACAATGATAAAAGGATAACTCCAACAGGAAAATATCACAATCCTAAACATATATGCACCTAACATGGGAGCTTCCAAATTTATAAAACAATTATTACTAGACATGAGAAATGAGATAGACAGCAACACAATAATAGTGGGGACTTCAATACTCCACTGACAGTACTAGAAAGTCATCAAGACAGAAAGTCAACAATGAAACAATGGACTTAAGTTACACTAGAAGAAATAAACTTAACAGATATTTACAGAACATTCTACTCAACAACTGTAGAATATACATTCTTCTCATCAGCACATGAAACATCCTCCAAGATAGACCACATAATAGGCCACAAAACAAGCCTCAACAAATTTAAGGTAATCAAAATTATATCAAGTCCCCTCTCAGACCACAGTGGAATAAAATTGGAAATTAACTCCAAAAGAAACCTTCAAAACTATACAAATACATGGAAATTAAATAATTTGCTCCTGAATGATCTTTGGGTCAACAGTGAAATCAAGATGCAAAATTCTCTGAACTGAATGATAATAGTGACACAACTTGTGAAAACCACTCGGACACAGTAAAAACAGTCCTAAGAGGAAAGTTCATAGCATTAAATGCCTATATCAAAAAGTCTGAAAGAGCACAAATACAAAATGTAAAGTCACACCTCAAGGAACTAGAGAAACAAGAACAAACCAAACCCAAACCCAGCAGAAGAAAAGAAATAACAAAGAGAGCAGAAGTAAATGAAATTGAAACAAAAAAATACAAAAGATAAATGAAACATGAAGCTGATTCTTTGAAACGATACATAAAATTGATAGACCATTAGTGAGATTAACCAAGAAAAGAGAGGATCCAAATAACCTCAATTAGAAACAAAATGGAAGAAAATGCCACTGATATTACAGAAATATAAAATATCATTCAAGGCTAATATGAACACATTCACAGGCACAAACTAGAAAACCTAGAGAAGACAGATTCCTGGAAATATACAACCCTCCTAGAATAAATCAGGAAGAAATAGAAACTGTGAACAGACCAATAAAAAGCAGAAAGATTGAAATGGTAATTTTTAAAAAACTGCCAACGATAAAAAATCACAGATTCACATGGACTCACAGCTGAATTCAATCAGACATTCAAAGAAGAGAATTGGTACCAATCCTACTGAAACTATTCCAAAACAGAGAAGGAGAGAATCCTCCCTAAATTATTCTATGAAGCCAGGATCGCCCTAATACCAAAACCAGGAAAGGACATAATAAAAAAGAAAACTACAGACCAATATCTCTGATGAAAATAGATGCAAAAATCCTCAACAAAATACAAGCTAACATAATCCAACAGCATATCAAAAAGATCATACATGGTGATAAATTGGGTTTCATGCCAGGGATGCAAGGATGATTTAATACACACAAGTCAATAAATGTGATAGATCACATAAACAGATTTGAAAACAAAAATCATATGATCTCAATAGATGCAGAAAAAGCATTTGACAAAATCCATCATCGCTTTTTTATTAAAACCCTCAGCAAACTTGACATACAAAGATCATAACTTAAGGTAATAAAAACCATCTATGACAAACCCACAGCCGACCTTATACTGAACGGGGAAAAGTTCAAAGCATACCCCCTGAGAACTGGAACAAGATAAGGATGCCCACTCTCACCACTTCTATTCAACATAGTACTGGAAATCCTAGCCAGAGCAATCAGACAAATCAGTAAATAGGAAGTCAAACTGTCACTGTTCACCAATGATATGACTGTATACCTAGAAAACCATAAATACTTATCCAAAAAGCTCCTAGATCTGATAAATGAATTCAGTAAAGTTTCAGGATACAAAATCAATGTACACAAATCTGTAGCACTGCCATATACTAACAGTGACCAAGCTGAGAATTAAATCAAGAACTCAACCCCTTTTATAGTAGCTGCAAAAAAATAAAATACTTAGGAATATACCTAACCAAGGAGGTTTACTGGGGGAACCAGCCCCCAATATTTCAAAGTATGTTCTTTTCTATTTTCCCTAAGTGTGGGCCAGTCTGAGAAATAAAGAGAAAGAGTACAAAAGAGAGAAATTTACAGCTGGGTCTCCGGGGGTGATATCACATGTCAGCAGGTTCCATGATGCCCACCTGAGCCGCAAAACCAGCAAGTTTTTATTACGGATTTCAAAAGGGGTGGGGGTCTATGAATAGGGAATGGGTCACAGGGATCACATGCTTCAGAGGGCAGTAAAAGATCACAAGGCAGAGGGCAAAACTAGAATCACTGATGAGGTTCCACATCCCGCTGGGCACACATTGTCATTGATAAACATCTTAACAGGAAACAGGGTTCGAGAGCAGAGAACCAGTATGACTAGAATTTGCCAGGCTGGAATTTCCTAATCCTAGCAAGCCTGAGGGCACTGCAGGAGACCAGGGCATATTTCATCCCTTATCTTCAACCATGTAATTCAGACACTCCCAGAGTGGCCATTTTAGAGACCTCCCCCGGGAATGCATTCTTTTCCCAGGGCTATTCCTTGCTGACAAAAGAATTCAGCGATATTTCTCCTATTTGCTTTTGCAAGAAGAGAAATATGACTCTGTTCTGCCTGGCCCTGCAGGCAGTCAGACCTTATGGTTATCTCCCTTGTTCCCTGAAAATTGCTGTTATCCTGTTCTTTTCAAGGTGCCCAGTTTTCATATTGTTCAAACACACATGCTTTACAAACAATTTATGCAGTTAACGCAATCATCACAGGGTCCTGAGGTGACATACATCTTCAGCTTACAAAGATGACAGGATTAAGAGATTAAAGTAAAGACAGGCATAGGAAGTTATAAGAGTATTGATTGGGGAAGTGATAAATGTCCATGAAATCTTCACAATTTATGTTCTTCCACTGTGGCTTCAGCCGGTCCCTCCATTCAGGGTCCCTGACTTCCCGCAATAGAGGTTAAACACCTGTACGAGGAAAATTAAAAACACTGCCGAAAGAAATTATAGATGACACTAACAAGTAGAACCACGTCCCATGCTCATGGAAGGGTAGAATCAACATTGTGAAAATGACCATACTGCCAAAAGCAATCTACAAATTCAATGCAATCCCCATCAAAATGCCATCATCATTCTTTACAGAGCTAGAAAAAAACAATCCTAAAATTCATATGGAACTACAAAAGAGCCCACATAGCCAAAGTAAGATTAAGCAAAACGAATAAATCTGGAGCATCACATTACCTGACTTCAAAATATACTGCAAGGCTATAGTCAC
This sequence comes from Homo sapiens, assembly GCF_000001405.40. Lineage (NCBI taxonomy): Eukaryota > Metazoa > Chordata > Mammalia > Primates > Hominidae > Homo > Homo sapiens. Next base: position 4,296,805 of record NT_167248.2, read on the forward strand.
CAAAACAGCATGGGAATGGTATAAAAACAGGCACATAGACAAATTGAACAGAATAGAAGTCCCAGAAATAAAACCAAATACTTACAGCCAACTGATCAAACAAAAACATAAAGTGGGGAAAGGACAGCGTATTCAACAGATGGTACTGGGGAAATTGGCAGTCCACATGCAGAAGAATTAAACTGGATCCTCATCTCTCACCTTATACAAAAATCAACTCAAGGTAGATCAAAGACTTAAATCTAAGACCTGAAACCATAAAAATTCTAGAACATTGGAAAAACTCTTCTAGACATTGGCATAGGCAAAGAGTTCATGACCAAGAACCCAAAAGCAAATGCAAAAGAAACAAGATAAATAGATGGGACCTAATTAAACTAAAAAGTTTCTTCAAAGGAAAAGAAATAATCATCAGAGTAAACAGCCCACAGAGTGGGAGAAAATATTCGCAAGCTATACATACAAAAAAGGACTAATATCCAGAATCTACAAAAAACTCAAACAAATCAGCAAGAAATAAACAAATACTCCCATCAAAAAGTGGGCTAAGCAGAGGAACAGACAATTCTCAAAAGAAAATATACAAATGGTTGACAAACATATGAAAAAATGCTCTACATCACTAATTATCAGGGAAATGCAAATCAAAACCACTATGTGATACCAACTTACTCCTGTAACAATGGTCATAATTTAAAAATAAAAAAAAAAATAGACGTTGGGGTAGGTGTGATGAAAAGAGAACACTTCTATGCTACTGGTGGGAAATTAAACTAGTACAACCTATGGAAAACAGTACAGCGATGCCTTAAAGAACTAGAAATAGATCTACCATTTGATCCAGCAATCCCACTACTGGAGGAAAAAAGCCATTGTATGAAAAAGACACTTGCACACACATGTTTACAGCACCATGATTCACAATTGCAAAAATATGGAACCACCCCAAATGCCCATCAGTTAATGGGTGAATGAAGAAAATGTGATATATATATATGTGATATATATATATGTGATCTATATATATATAGATCACATATATATATATGATCTATATATAGATCACATATATATATATGATCTATATATAGATCACATATGATATATATGTGATCTATATACCTTAGAATACTACTCAGCCATAAGAAAGAATGAAATAACATTTGCAGCAACCTAGGGGGAATTAGAAACCATTATTTTAAGGGAAGTAACTCAAGAATGGAAAACCAAATATTGTATGTTCTCACTTATAAGTGGGAGCTAAGCTATGAAGACACAAAGGCATAAGAATTATATAATGGACTTTGAGGACTTCCAGGTATGAGTAGGAGCTGGGTAAGGGATAAAAGACTACACACTGGATACAGTGTACATTCCTCAGGTGATGGGTGCACCAAAACCTCAGAAATCACCACTAAAGAACTTATCCATATAACCAAACACCACCTGCTCCCCAAAAACTATTGAATTAATTTTTCGAAATGATTTTTTAAAAAACTTTTATTGGAAGGACCCTCCGGAGTTCTGAGGAGGAGGCCTGAGCATATGTGGGGAAGGCACAGATGAACACATAGGAGGGATCTCTAAGAAAACAATGGCCACCAGGTCACTGCTAGACTCACCACAGGGCCTTCTAAACCAGGGGGCCCCTCCACGAGCATACCCTGTGGAGTCAAAGGTTAAAACTCACAGGTGACAGGGCCAGCACACTAAACCCCACTTGCTTCTCCTCTTTCCACCACCTCAGCCCTGTGACCAGCATGACTTACAGGTTCCAGCACTGCAGGCTCTCTCTTCTCTCCCTTCAGCCCCCGGGGCCCATGGGCAGCCTAAGGGAGACACACATGTAACCCCAGTGGGGCCCATGAGCAGCCAGGACACCAGGCCTGCCCCCATCTCAACTCCAACCTCGATTTTGGGTCCTCTGGAGACCAGACCAGCCCTACCCACAAGCCCCACAGGCTTCCTCTAAATACTTCTGTTCACAAAACTCTCATGCCTGCCAAGGAGATCTCAGGGTTCCCTGCACCCCAGTTCTCAGTCCCACCTCAGCAAACACAACCTCTCCAAATCCTGAAGAGCCTCTTTCAGAAAGAGGACTTTGAGTCTTTCAGTCTTTCTCCAAAAAAGAAAAGGTATATGCCCTTATGCACAAAATTTTATTTAGAATTTGAAGGAGTTCAAAAATGTAAAAACCCTGCACAGGTTAAGTATCCATACTCCAAGTAAATTTGGAGAGCATTTCCCAGAGATATTCCAAACTCAGGCCTCATAACTGCCTTTTGCAAAACATACAGTTCTTGGGCTCAGTTATCCAAGCCCCAGAGCAGCCCCCTACAATGCACCCCACAGTTCCTCTCCCAGCAGGATGCTTTGCCCTTCTTCTGGCCCTCATGTACACTCCAAGCCAACCAGTTCCCTCCCTTGCACACCTCCATTCAGATGCCTGTTCCCAAATCCAGGCCATAGCCAAGATAAGGGTGGGGAGAAGGTGAAACATTCACCACCACCCCAACTCCCCAAAACAAAGATCTTCAGAATGCCCCTCTCCACCTTCATCCTGACAGCAATGATCCGTTTCAAAATTCTCCCAGATCCCACATCAACCCCAAAGACCCAGACAGCAGCATAAAGGAAAGGCAGCAGAAGCTCACGGGTGCCAAGAGCAGGAGGTGTGGGATGCAGCAGCAGGGTAGAAAAGGCAGCCATAACTGCAAGGCAGGCAGAAGATGTAGCAGAGTAGACAGGAAGCAGTCCAACTGACAGAGAATACTGGAAGATATGAGAACAACTAAGGGACACAAAATAAAATGACAAACACTTGGATGCAAGAGTGATGCCAGGGCCAAGGAAAATTAAACATGGCCAAGATGGCCACAAAACAAACTGGACAAACAGGAAGTGGCTGTACAGACAGGAAGCAGCCAAGAAAAGAGGATCTGGGAAGTGAACCTTCAACAATATGGCTACCATGACCCAGAGTGAAAAGAAAGGCACAAAACAGGTACAATGGGACTCCTGCAGAGGGAATTATGCATGCAAGGCTTAGTGGGTAGATGAGCGGGAGGTACAGAGTAGATGGAATCAGATGAGTGAATAGATAGATGGGTGGAATTGAGTACATGGTTGAGTGAACGGTTGGATGTGAAGTGAGTGGGTGAGGAGATGGGTGCATGAGTGTATTGAAGGAGAGAGTGGTTGAGTTCCAGGAAGGATAATGGATAGATGGGTGGCTGAACAGATGCATGCATCCTTGTATGCATGGGTAGATGGGGTGTGTGAGTGGGTGGGTGAGTGAATAGATGGATGGATAAGTTGAAGAGGACAGATGAACAAAAGCATAGTCGAATAGATGTGTGTAAAGAAGGGGAGAGTCATTAAGCAGGGGGAGGATGGACAGGTGAGTGGATATAAGCCTTCATGCATGAGTAGATGGGTAAGTTTGTGATGCATAGGTGGGTAAATGGTTGCGGGAGTGGGTGGTGGATGTGTGCGTAGGTGGACTGGTGAATGAGTGGATGGATGGGGTGGATGAGGAGAGAGATAGGTTCAAGGGATGGATAGATGGAGAGATGAAGACTGAAGGATAGAATAAGTGGCTGTGGACAGTCCTGCCACATAAGTGGACATCTAGTTATTCTGCAGAGATCAGCAGTCCTGAAGATAGGAAATGCAAATCAAAATTCACAAGAAAAAAAATGAAGGCTTAGGAAATAGGAACATTGCATACTGGGGCCAGAAGAGGAGTGGGCACAAAATAAGGGACCAGAAGTCACTCCTTTCTCTGATTTTTGTGGTAACCTCAAAGACTTTCTTCATCTGGGATACAGGCACCAACAATTATCACCCCACAGGTGTCCAACACTGGACTAGTTCTTCAGGGGAGAGGCCGGGTGACTCACATCTTGCAGTCAACAATGAGGGTGACAGACTGGCCCTTCATGGCCATAGCCACAAGGTGCCACCTGGTCATGGAGTGAGAGGTTCAAGTGACTGACTGAAGCAGGGGCGTCAACAGGGTTGGAGATCTGTTGATGAAAGTTGAAACCAATGACGATGAGAGCAGTAATCACAATAGCTGCCATTTATCAAGTGCTTACAGTGCAACAAACACTGTGCCATCACTTTCTCACTTGTTTGTGCCAATTCTATTTACTGTCCATCCTAAGATGTAGAAACTGAGGCTCAAAAAATTTAAGTAACTTGCCCAAGGTACAGGCTAACACAACTTGCAGAGAAGGATGCACTCTAAGCCCAAACTCTGGGCTAGAAGTGACTGAACTTTGGGCAGTGCGTAGGTGTGTTGTGGCCAAAAGAAGGAACAGGGTTTCACAGTTTAGAGCGTACAGGTTCTAGGGCACTTTCTCACAAAAGTGTGGGCCAGGCAGACCAGAGGAGCAAATAGACTTACTTGCCAACTACTAGGGTGAGGCCTCAGAAGACGGGCTAAGCAGGTTGAAGTCGTCCAGTCTGATCCTCATACAGGAAGCTGACAAGTTGGCCTGGCTCCAGGCTCAACTGTTGGACACCTGGGCACTGCAGAGAATCAGGAGGGGAGCTTGGAGACCAGGACGGGTCCAGAAAACAGTCAGGAGAAAGAAATCTTTAGGAAATCCTCCTGGTACCCGAGAGAAATACACACAGAGTGAGAGGCAAAGAGAGCCACCACCCCTTTCCTCCTGGTGTCTGATTCCAGACCCCACCCCATTACCTCCCTCACCGTGTCACTACACTTAGGAAGAGGTAGAGGGTGGGTGTGCTGAGTTGGGCAGTTTATGACACTCAGTAGATAGACAGATACCCCTTGCCCTCCAGACACCATCAGGGAAGTAGGGGAAACTCAGGCCCAGGAGCAAATCCACAGGGGGTGCACCTGGGAGAGTCCATGAGGGTCAGGGGAAGGGACACGCCCTCAGGAGGGAATAAATGGGGGACTTTGTCTCAGAAGGGAGTGCAACTTGCACTTGTGGTCACAGAGGGCTGCTAAGAACTCCTCAACAGGACAGTTCAGTTATGGGAACTGGGAAGGGGTAAGACTAGGAAGAGAGGAGGCTGGAGAAGTGTGTGATGTCGCTGAACAGTGTGCAGCAGGAGGGAAGGGGTGCAGATGAGAAGAGAACTTGAAGGGTCAGCAATTCCATCAGCCTTTGGGGTAGAGAGCACATGAATTGAGAAAGAAAGCTGAGATATAGCTTGTAAAACAGCTGGAATTCAGATCTCTCCTAAGTCCTCTTCCTTTCACATATTTTGTCACCTGCCTCGAGACACACACAGTTACTGTCATCCCTGGGTTCAGTACTGTAAGCCCAGACCCATCTTCCCTGCTCCCTTTATACCTGATCCTCCTATTTCTCTGCCCTGTTTAGGTCCCAGGCAGAAGCTAGGTGGTCATCTCTGTGCCCTCTCTGGTCCTCCAGGTGAACAGAACTTAGCATTCAAGGAGTTCCCTAAAGTCAATTAATTTCACCCCCAAACCCCAGCTGACTTTGAGGGCATCCGCATGCATCATGTCGCCAACATATCCTGACAAGGGGAAGGGCCACATTTCTGAAGCCAGAGAAGAAGCTCAATTCTGGAATGATGGGGATGAAGGAGAAATAATTGCTCACATTATGTAAAACTGCTCTCTGAAAGGATTTCAAAACCAAGGTAAGATTTCTGAAATGACTTCTGTTGAACTTCTGACTCCACTCTACTTCCTCCTTCCTGGAAATCTTTACCTCCTTGGCTTATGTGCCAGTATATTCTACTAATTCTTCTGCCTCTCTGCTTCTCCATTTTCTTTGAATAGTTCTCTTTTGACATTTTGTTCATTATATATTTTCCATTAATTTAGATTTCTTAAGATATTTCATTAAAATATGATTGACTTTTATTACTGAGTTCTTTTGGTATCCTCCTAAATTTTGCACCTAAGGTAAGTGCATCCCTAGTCCCAGCCTGGCTTTCCACACTGTCTCTTAATATCTAACATTCTCTATTTATTTCATTCATTTCATGTAAATAATTGTAAATCCTTATAGATAGAATTATAAATGTGTGTAAACAATGAAAAATTGAAAACAGAGAGAATATATCCTATGTCCTACTGGATATTAACATATACTACAATGTCATAGTAAAAAAATAGTATCAAAAGCCTACTATATGTCGAACATTGTTAGATGCTAAATATTCAAATAAAAGTAAGACATAGGTCTTGTCCTCCTGATGTTTACAGTTCACAGAAGAGAACACAAGTGACAAGACAACAGCAGGCCCAGATGGATAAGTGCAGATATGGGGCAGGCACAAGATGCTGCTGTCAAGGCATCAGGGAAGGTTTCCTGGGGAACAGATGGCTTCAATGTAGGCAGTCCGAAAACAGGGCAGAAGCCACTTCTCACACAGGAGGAAGCAGGTTCAAAAGTGTGGGCCCAGTGTGGCAATGACATATCTGAAGAACTTCAGCTGCTTCAGTATGAATGGAGCCAGCTTTGGATGTGGAACAGCAGCAAGAAAAAAGGAAAAATAGACAGGCAGGGGCTGGATCATGACAGATGTTACATGCAAAGCTCAGGAGTAGCTACTCTGTCCTGGAAGTCATAAGGAATCATTGAAGGATTTTAAGCAGGAGAGTGATGGCGCATTTGCAATTTAGGAAGATCACTACGGCAACAGTGGGCAGCATGAGTGAAAGAAGTTGGTTCAAGAGGCAAGACTAATAGTGCCTGAACAAAGAGTGAGGAAATGGGCATAGGAGTAAAATGATGGAAGAAGAGGACTTAATTTGATTGACATTAAAGGGATTATTGGTGAGTGATGTCGGTGGCATCCGACTTAGAAAACTCCCAGATAACTCTTATTCCTAGACTGGCCAATGCAATCATCTCTTTTGTGTGTGTGTGTGTAAGTGTGTGTCACTTTTCTAAATTATTTTGATTGACAAAAATTATTTATATTTATCATGTATAATATGTTGTTTTGAAATGTATGTACATCATGGACCGGCTACATCAAGCTAAAGAACTTATGGCTCACCTCACATACTTATTTTTTGTGGTGAGAACACTTAAAATCCACCCTTTTAGCAATTTTCAACAATACATTGTTAGCAACTATAGTCCATGTTATACAATAAAACTCTTAAAATTATTCCTCCAATCTAAATGAAATGTATCTTTTGAAATGTATCCTAAATGAAATGAAATGGATGTATCCTTTGACCAACATCTCCCCAACCCAATGCAAACATCTTGATTCCATTCATTAAAAAGGGTAATGAGAGAAGACAGCCTGACTGAGAGAAGAGACTGAGTTCAGTGTGGGGCTATTGCACTTAGAATATCTAAAAGTTATCTAAGGAAAAATAATATGTAAACATTTTTGTATGATGGGTGGTCTCAGTAGAGGAGTTTAAGCCAGAGAACTGAGAGTCATCAAGCATAGGTGCAGGTTAGATGAGCTTTTCCAGGAAGAGTGCCAAAAATCAGAAATGCAGGGATCTCAGGGTATGATGAGAGAACATAATAATTAAGAGGAGATTTCAAAGGATGATAAGGAGGATTCAGTAAATAGGAGAAAAATAAGGACAGAGTAGCTCATTAGAAAGAAGTGGATTATGGTGCAAATATTATCAGTAACTCAAGTCAGAGGCACTGACAAGAACCCACTGGATTTGACCTTCTACAGAGGTTTCTGATGGCCGTGATGAGAGGATCCTCAGGGGTGTACTGGAGACAAAAGTCAGAAGCTTAGCTCCAAGTGTGAGGACACAGAGAGAGTGTCTCTAGGGTAGGATGCAGACTGAAGGCAAGGTTGTTTTTTATTAGTTGGTTCATGGTTATGTTGCTTTTTTCCCCCGTAGGTTATAGTGGTACAGGTAGTATTTGGTTACATGAGTAAGTTCTTTAGTGATGATTTGTGAGATTTTGGTGCACCTATCACCTGAGCAGTATCCCTTGCCCCCTCCCACCTTTCCTCTCAGGTCCCCAAAGTCCATTGTATCATTCTTATGCCTTTTCATCCTCTTAGCTTAGCTCCCACATATCAGTGAGAATATATGTTTAGTTTTCCATTCCTGAGTTAGTTCACTTAGAATAATGGTCTCCAATCTCATCCAGGTCGCTGCAAATGCCATTAACTCATTCCTTTTTACGGCTGAGTAGTATTCCATCATATATATATCACAGTTTCTTTACCCACTCGTTGATTGATGGGCATTTGGGTTGGTTCCATGATTTGTGATTGTGAATTGTGCTGCTATAAACACGTATGTGCAAATATCTTTTTCATATAATGACTTATTTTCCTCTGGGTAGATGCCCAGTAGTGGGATTGTTGGATCAAATTATAGTTCCACTTTTAGTTCTTTAAGGAATCTCCTCACTGTTTTCCACAGTGGCTGTACTAGTTTACATTCCCACCAGCAGGGTAGAAGAGTTCCCTGATCACCACATCCACACCAATATCTACTGTTTTTTTATTTTTTTATCATGGCCATTCTTGCAGGAGTAAGGTGGTATCACATTGTGGTTTTGATTTGCATTTCTCTGATCATTAGTGATGTTGAGCATTTTCTTATGTTTCTTGGCCATTTGTATATCTTCTTTTGAGAATTGTCTATGCATGTCCTTAGCCCACTTTTTGATGGGGTTGTTTGTTTTTTCTTACTGATTTGCCTGTGTTCATTGTAGATTCTGGATATTAGTCCTTTGTCAGATGTATAGATTGTGACTACTCTGTGGGTTGTCTGTTTATTCTGCTGATGGTTCCTTTTGCCGTGCAAAAGCTCTTTAGTTTAATTAAGTCTCAACTATTTATCTTTGTTTTTATTGAATTTGCTTTTGGGTTCTTGGCCATGAAATCCCTGCCTAAGCCAATGTCTAGAAGGGTTTTTCCAATGTGATCTTCTAGAGCTTTTATAGTCTCAGGTCTCAGGTTTAAGTCCTTAATCCATCTTGAGTTGATTTTTGTATAAGGTGAGAGATGAGGACCCGGTTTCATTCTCCTACATGTGGATAGCCAATTATCCCAGCACCATTTGTTGAAAAGGGTGTCTTTCCCCACCATATGTTTTTGTTCGCTTTGTCGAAGATCAGTTGGCTGTAAGTATTTGGGTTTATCCCTGGGTTCTCTATTCTGTTCCCTTTGTCTATGTGCCTATTTTTATACCAGTACCATGCTGTCTTGGTGACTATGGCAGGGAACGTGAGCTTTTTCCCCGCAATCCTATACTGGCCCCTTCTACTGCATAATTATTTTCTTCTCTTGAATTTTACATGCTAGTCTTCTATTTACATTTTAACATTTATATAAACAAATGATGCCACTTTTACATTTTCTTTATTAGATTAGGAGGTCGTACAGGATCACATTTATAGGTCTTTAAATTAAGGAGTAATATTCTTTGAAAGTTTATGAAACTATTCAGTATAAACACCACAGAATCAGATGTTTTGGAAAATGTAGGGTCTTTTATGACATTTTTTCATTTCTTCCTCATTCACTGTATAATTTTTAGTCTCATTTTTCCAAAGCAATTACAGATCCGTTGATCTAATTTGACCTTAAGAGCCCTGCTGTAAAGGCAGGTCATATCATCCCCATACTGAAGACAAAGAACTGAAGTCCAAGACAGGCAGTGTCCTTCAAGCTGCATACTTCCATGGTAGTGTAGGTGGTGTGTCCATGCTCCCAGGTGTAAGGCCCCTAGACTGAGCCCTGCTGACCCTGATGACAGTCCTATGGAAGGAGCCAGTATCCCCCGCACATCTCAGGACTCACAGACATGTGGGAGGAAGAAAATATGAATGTGCACTAATCTGAAGCACGGCCTTGAACAAAGGCAAAACAGACTCCAGGCCTCATTTTCAGTTCTGGGATGGATACTCTAATCTCTCTAAATCATGCCACTGAATGACCTTTTACACATTGAGATAGCATTTCTTCCACACCAGGCCATGTCCTGTGGGTGTGTGAGGTGTGGCAGAATTGGGGAAATGATAATCCCTGTAGGTGGGCCAGCAGAATATCTGAGATCACCTTCAGAGCAAAGAAAACACATCATCTCCCCAAAACTCATGACTCTGACTGGTTAAAATGAGTGTCAGTGTTCTCCATCTGTCCTCGTAACAGCATCACTGGCTCTATATTGTCAGATCTTTAATACTAACTTTCTGCCCAGTGAGCAATGACTCATACAAAGCTCAGTGCCCATTGGTTCTTTTCTCAGAGTCTGTCCAATCCTAGGGTCACAGAAGACTGCTTGGGTTCATGGTCTCTAATATTTCAGACAGGAGCTCCCTTTAATGAGTTCTTGTTTTCCTGACTGCAGCTCTCTTCATTCTGCCAACCTTTTCCAACTCCATGATGATCCTGCAGGTTTCAGGGGGCCCCTGGACAGTGGCTCTGACAGCATTACTGATGGTGCTGCTCATATCTGTGGTCCAGAGCAGGGCCACTCCAGGTAAGAGCAGAGCTGCTATTCCTGGAGGGTCTGGCTCAGGGAACAATTCCTAGGGGACTTTCTCTTTATGGAACCAGACTCTGAGACAGCATGTGGGGCTCCTGCCACGGCCTAGTGTCCTTCTATCACAGCTGGAGAATCAAACTCACCTCCTATAGGATAGGTTGCTATCCACCAGGTCTATTCTCTCTCCAGGAACATGGACACAGTAAATAAGGGGAGGTGCTCAGGGGTCAAGTTGCTTGTCTATGGGGAAATGGGGCCAAGAGGTTCAGGATAACCTTGGACAGACAAGGTTTCAGAGAGAGAGGTTGGCAAGTGCAGACTCCTGGGTGTGCTCACATCTGCATCCAACCTTGAGGGGACTCAGGCAGAGAGCCCTTAGCTGGTGTGTCCAGACTACAAGTATCACTGAGGATTCAGTGCTCACAGAGAATGCCTCTCATTCTCCAGGGTGGAGCAGGAGCCAATGCTCCCTGGACAATGAAGGCAAGATGGGAGGGAGGGGGACAGGTTCGAGCCCCTAAAGGCACTCTTGTTGAAGGTATTTCTCCCAGCCTCCCCAGAACTTGGTTAGAGTATTAGGATGGGTTGAAACCTGTCAGAAGAATGAGATAAGGATGTGTGAGTACGTGAAAGAGATTGAGTGTAGGTTATCAGACAGCCAAGAAAGCAGTAACCAAGGGAAAAACCTCTGTCTCCTGCTGTCTCCTTGTGGCTGGTGTAATATTATGGCTTCTATGACCCATTGTTTTTCTCTCAGGATGTTCTTACTTTTCTGGTCCAAATTTACACCAACACCCTGAGAGGAAGGACTGCAGAGTAGGTGTCTTAGTTTTCCACTGACTTCCACCTTTCTGCATAGACCCTCCCTCTGAGACCCTTCCACATCCACCTAGGACACCCCTAGAAAGTGCTGTTCTCATGTCACCTCCTCATTTTCCAGGGTAACAGTATTCGAATCTCCTGAGGACAGCCCCTCAAACCCCAAAGCCCCTCACCTATTACCTCAGGTTCATTGTCCGGGAAAGGGTGGACAAACTGCACTTGTAGTCACAGGGGTGCTGAGAACTAACCAGCAGAATGGCTCAGCCCTGGGAACTGGAGAGGGGTGAGGTTGGGGAGAGAGGAGGCTGGAGCAGCGCTGGTGACACTGAACAGTGTCCAGCAGGAGGTCCATAGCAACAGTGTCCATAGGCAGAGTTGTTTGTAGGATGAGGGGTGGTGTTGGGAAACGCCATGGAAACCCTCAAGGTGCGGGGTAGCAGAAAGCACAGGAGGGAGCGTGATGATGGTGGGCAGTGAACAGGTGGACGGGCAAAGACTGGGTTGAGGTTGGTAGGGGAAATGAGATGAGGCAGTGGAGCCATGTGACAGGAACCGAGGGTGGGTTACCAGAGCTCCCCGTGTAGAATGAATGTCCAATCAAAGCCTGCTGGAGGGAGAGCTGGAGCCAAGGGGAGTGGGTAGAGTGGGCAGGGCCAATTCCACAATTCCCTGCATGCTCTTCCAACTCCACACACATCTCCATCCTCAGAGCACAAGAGGAAAGGCACAAGGAGCCAGGCTGTGGCTTAAAGTGAGACAGGGGAGGGTGGAGAAAAGCTTGGCTGAGACAACACCTAGGGAGCAGGAGATGACACGGCCGGTGAAAAAACCAGACTCCTGGAGGCAACACCCTTTTGTCTCTGACAAGCTTTAAAATGGGCTTTTTACAGCTGAGTTTCTTACCTCACCCCACCCACTACCCCAAGCATTAGGGCCACACTCCCGAGTCCTCCTGTCACACCAGCTGGGCACTTGCAGAAGCTCATTGTGCATTTGAGTCTTTGGGTACTCACTCTTCTGTTAATCTAACTCCTCAAATAAAATCACTAGCACAAAAGAGAGGGGGGAAGATCCAGTCAGCAAACAACCAACAAACACTTTTCAACCATTAAGATCTGGTGCCCATGGAAAGTCTTCCTGAGGTTTTCCAGTAGCTCATAAGCTGATCCAGTTCCTCTTTCATATGCATTTATTTAGAATTTTGCTCCTATTCAAACAGGTCACACAGTGAAAAGAGGAAGGGAACCAACATAGATTGAGCAGTGACAGATACAATACTATGTATTTTACGTATGTGAGCTCATTTGGTTCTCACAGCAGTTTTGCAAGGTAAATAGTATTATTACTATTTTGCCTTTCAAGAAATGGAGAGTTAGAAGGTTGTTTCTTGTCCAAGATAACTTAGTAATCAGTTGTAGTGCAAGAACTGGAATCCCTACCTGTGACATGTTCCTTTTCTTACCCATATGGCCTCCATTATATCTTTCTGCAATTATATTTTAATATATCCTATTCTGAGTGACAGATGAATTCACTCAGATCATTGGTTTTCAAATTGTGCTCTGGGTAACTCAATTGTCAAAGATTCCGCAAACAGGATAAAGTTTTCCATATACAAAAAAAAAAAATGAAGTTTCAAATTCCACCATATACTCATCACTTATGTCTGCTTTGCAGGTAAAATTCCATTTAAAAAGTTAAATGTTGCAAAAGAAAGTTTTGAAATTCTTACTCTTCACTAAAACATGTTCTCTTATTGGTGAATGAGGAAGAGGAACAAAGACTAACAAATTAAAATGAGAGGATACACACTCAGTGTGGGGCACTTGAATAGGGAGGGGCGGACTAAAGGGGCTGGGGGCGATGGGCCTGGGTGTTTAGGGGGCTGGAGCCCAAGGCACCAGGAGAAGAGGCAGGTTAAGATATCTAAAGTCCTGGGATCTTGCCTTAGAGATGACACTGGAAACTACAGGCCGAGTCTATGGTGCCGCTGTGCCCAGCCCCACCCCTTCTCTACTGTCCTCTGCCACCAGCTGTGCATCTTCTATGAGGGGTGAGGTTAATAAACGTGAGTTGCTAATTTGTAGAACATGAAACAGGTGTCCAAAACAAACCTTAATTTGCTGTGTGCAAATCACAGCACCTTAATTTCCCCACTGTGACCAGGAACAGATCAGGTCTGAAGAGGCTCAGACAGAAGCAAGCAGACATGTGCTGGGTCATTGCTACTTCTGTATACACATGCACCTGCCAGACACTGCCCATGGTGCTCCCTAGGAAGAACCGCAGGTGGAAAAGGCTGCCACATTTCTTTATGTAAAAATGACACCATCAATGCCTCTAAACCTAAAGGAGTCCAGTCACTTAGTTTTCTGGTTGTTCTGGTGATTTTCGTTGATTAAGATATTTTCCAGGTGTTTTGAGATCAAGTCTTTCTACAGCCATGTTTGAAAAGTGAAAATTAACTTTCAGGCTATATTGTCTTTCTTATGGCAAACTTGAAGAAGTTTTAAGAAATGCATTTCTGGCCAAGTGCGGTGGCTCATGCCTGTAATCTCAGCACTTTGGGTGGCCGAGGAGGGCAGATCTCGAGGTCAGGAGTTCGAGACCACCCTGGCCAACATGGTGAAACCTGGTCTCTACTAAAGATACAAAAATTATCTGGGCGTGGTGGCGCACGCCTGTAATCCCAGCTACTCAGGAGGCTGAGGCAGGAAAACTGCTTGAACCCGGGAGGCGGAGGTTGCAGTGAGCTGAGATTGCACCACTGGACTCCAGCCTGGGCGACAGAGTGATACTCTGTAGAAAGAAAGGAAGAAAGAAAGGAAGGAAGGAAGGGAGGGAGGGAAGTATACTCCATTGAAAGAAGAAAGAAAGAAGGAAGGAAGGGAGGGAGGGAGGGAGGGAGGGAGGAATGCATGGAAATGCATTTCTGCATTTCCAGCATGCAGAGATTTCCAGCATGCAGAACAGCAAGAGCAACTTGAGGTATTCTCAAGAAACTGGCAGAGAAGAGAGAGAACCTAGCTGTAGAAAGGGAAAGAAGGAATGGAGGGCTTCCTGGAGGAGGTGGCATTTGAGCCAGGACTGACATCAGGATGGAAATGTCAGGCAGGGAGTTGGGTAGGGGGAGCAGCTCTGCCCTCCAGGTCCCCAACTCCTCCCATCCCTACTGTTTCTCTGCCTGAGGGACCCTCCCCCTGATGAGATTCTGCTCCTCCCTGAGACTCCACGTGAAATGTCTCCCCCTCCTCCTCCAGCCGCCAGCAGAAGGGGCTGCTTTCCCTTCAGCGTGCGCCCCTCCCTAATGATCACTCAGCCACCCTGAGCAGTGAGTCTCATTCTTTTCAGTAAATCCTCTCGCTGCGTGGTGAGAAAACTGAGGCCTGGAGAGAGTCTGTGACCTGCCTAGAACCACAGAACTCGGTAGTAGGAAAAATCGTATTTTTAAATCCAGCCCTGAGTGGGAAGATTTGAGGAAATAGCTAATATTGAGGAGGGGGGTGTTGTTGGGGGTGGCACCACCCCCATCTCTCCCTGCTCTTCACAGAGAATTCCGTCTACCAGGAACGGCAGGAATGCTATGCGTTCAATGGGACTCAGCGCGTTGTGGACGGGCTCATCTACAACCGGGAGGAATACGTGCATTTTGACAGCGCAGTGGGGGAGTTCCTAGCAGTGATGGAGCTGGGGCGGCCCATAGGCGAGTACTTCAATAGCCAGAAGGACTTTATGGAACGGAAGCGAGCCGAGGTGGACAAGGTGTGCAGACACAAGTACGAGCTGATGGAGCCACTCATCCGGCAGCGCCGAGGTGAGGGCTGTGGACCAGGGCTCCTGGGGCAGCCGGGGGGGCCGGGCCCAGGGAGTAGGGGCAGCCGGGCCGGCCTAAGGGACCTTAGTGCCAGGAGGGAAGGGGACTTTGAGCTGGGGATTGATGGGAGGAGCCCAACCGGAGCTTGTCAGGAGGGTGAGCACGGAGATTGGGCTGAGCATGGAGTGAGGAGGATGGAGGGAGAGAGACCCCTGGGACTTCATCAGGCCTGGCAGCTGACTGCATGTGGGGTGAGGGGAAACGAGGCCACAGGACATCGTGCAGGGGTGCGGTGTGGAGATGAAGGTGGAGATGGCACAGCAGGCCACGCAGAGAAGAAACCTGCAGGGAGATGGCCGGGTTTGAGGTGCTTGAGGGGCCAGATGGGTGGTCTGATGGGCAGGTGAGAGAAGAGTTTGCAGCGGGGGAGGGGCCTGGCCTACATGAGACCACCCAGGGAGAGAACACCCATCGGGAGGAGCATAGGACTGGATCCTGGGAACTGGACATTGTGATTTTGTAACGGCTCCATTGTCTGGGGTATACACCCTGGTTCTTTGTCATGGCCGAGAAAATTAACAACACAGACACACATGAGGAGTGGGTTTGGGAGTGGAAAGTTTAATAGAAAAGAAGAGAGAGAAAAAATCCTTCCTCATGCTGAGAAAGTGGGTTGCCCAAAAGAGGGTCTGCGGTTTGTGGTGGAATGCAGTCGGTTTTGTACAGAGGTTGAGGAGGCGGTGATTGATTTACACAGCGCTCAGGGAATTGGTTTGACCAGTTGTGTCATTTACATAGCCCACGAAAAGACTGACTCTCCCACCCTAGTCTTTTATTATTCAAATACGGTCTCTAACTGGTGGTGGACAGGATACCTGTACATGTGGTTTTACCTGGAGGCTGCCATGACACCTGTAAACGTGGTGACAAGGAAAAGAGAGTGGGAACCGCCATATTGGATGTACCTGACTTCCAGGTACAGCTGCCAGCATTTACATATAAAAGCTTCTAGTTTGCATATCTATGCCTGAGTTTTCAGGCTGCTTTCTGTTAGAGAAGAAATGGTTTGGGGCTGCTTTTTATTAAAGGAAAATTCCACTGAGAATTTTTACCCTTTCTAGCTGCCTAAAAATAATTTCTTAATAACTCCTGTATTATTTCCTCCCTCAGGAGACGTAACCATAACTGCTGTTAGGGGGTGTTGGACGACGATTCTTTCTGGCTACTTCCTGCTGAAAAGGGGCGTCGTGTTGGGGGGCTGCAGTTGGGGCTCCTCCTGAGGTTGATCTAAGGCTTCTTGGAAGAATGGCATGTCCATGTGTGGCTTTGTTTGCAGCACCATTTGAAGTTTGATTGCTTCTAGGCAAAAAGAGATAAATTTTACAAGAAGGTTTAAAATATAGGGTTACCATATGAGTATTAAGATTACCACCTATAGACTGTAACTATGGCAGTAAAGTTTGATACCTGTTACACCAATGGATTGTAATACTGGTTTGTCTCCACTAGATGTCGCTGTACATTACCAGAAACGTTAATATAAAAGCATCATTTCCTTTGAGAAAAACATGTTTCCCCCTTGACTTGCTATTAGGGCATAATTTTTGGTTTAGGCCATTCTTTATAACTTATGATATGATTGGGAGAAAAACGTTATTGGATGGCTAAAATAACTTTGGTGTTAATCTTGGCAATTCCTTTCCTTTAATTATTAAATTTCTTAATTATTAAATTCTTTCATGACTTTCACAGACCCTCTTACAATGTACTCAACTTTCTGACTTGTCTTAAACAACCAGTCATTTCCTTTTAGGACAAGAATTTACTATACAAGATCCTTTCTTATATAAAATCTCTTTATTTGTAACCTTCTTTCCATAGCTTAGAGTGCACCATTTACCAATCTTCAATAAAAAAGTCCTATCAAACTTAGTGATAGTAAAATTTTCATGCTTACTTCTTGTCTGTAACTATTACTCCTGCTATAAGCAAAACAAACTTGACCAAATCCTTCCTGCAATTATTAATTCTGTCATAAAGATGATAATTAGGCAAAATATTACAGGAATTAGAATTTTACAACCAGAATTCCACATTGTGGGTGCCACAGTATACAGTTCTATTGCAAATAACAGCATGATGATAACAATTCCCACAAAAGTGACGTAGTAAATAATTTCCATTTAAAACTTTACTTGCCAAGATATAATGTTTCCCTTTGGGGATTTACAAAGTAACAAATGCAGTCCCATGTATAATTAAAATCTCTCTGCAAATATGCATTAAAAAAAAGTTCTAATACTGAGCAGTGAATTTTGAGAGGAAAGGTAGAAATGATAAAGAGTACCTGGTGAGGTAGGAATGGCGCTAAGGCGAGTAGCCCTCACTCATTTACTTACCTTTTATGATTTTCAGCTTAAGATCTTCTATATCTCCACATTGATATTCAGGATGTTCCTCTGGGCTGTCAAAGGTTGCTCCCTCAGCTTTTCAGGCTTTGACTTGAGTGTGATATAT